>NC_000004.12:46552106-46861530 GCF_000001405.40 Homo sapiens | reverse complement strand
TTTAAGCCTTCTAATTTGAATTTGATTTAATTGCCAAAAAGGCACCCCAGCAGTGAGTCCTTCTGGATGCTTACCATTGTCCACATGTCTAACAAGGTTCTCTACCAGACACAGAGGTTTATCTAAGTCTAGCGAAATCTCCGTTATTTTCTCTTTTGCATTCCCACCTACTTTTTCTCAAGAATAGTCAGTACACAGTTGCTGCCAATTCCTGCAAAGAGGGCATAGGTACAGGGTACAACAAAAGTAAATGATGAGATATGAGTGGGCAGTGGAGTGATAACTGCATTCACCAGCAAACAGAATATGACAAAAGAGGTGGCTTTTCTTTTACTAAGCCAAGTATAAAAGGAAAGGTAAAAATAGAGTGACAGGATTAAGAACCCCCTAGAGAGGGACTCTAACCCACCACACTCGTAGAAGGGAAACTAAGGAATAAATGAACCCCCTCGGGTAGGACTCTAATCTGCAATCTTAGAAGGATATGCCAATGCTGAAAACGCCAGAGCATCTGAGGGTAGCCAACAGGACCAAATGCTGAAAAACCTGCAGCACCTGGGTATTGGCCAGTGAGGGTCCCCTCACCATAGGCCAAAATCCCCAGAGCATCTAAGGGGTGCTCAAGAGTGAACCCCAAAGACCACGTTGGGGCCAAAGAACAATGTGACTCTGATGTCTCAGGGTCCCCTCACAACAGGGGACCTCTCACAACCGAGTATCCTGCCTTACACAATTGCTCAAATAAAGTTGGCAGGGAGTAAAAGCAAAAACTGTAAATGAAACGTACATTGCAGGGAGGAAAATAAAAAGGACCCATGGAAAAATAAAATGGCATTAGAGTAAAAAGGACCTAGAGAAGGGGCAATGATGATATAGTTGGTCAGATGTACTTCTGTCTAGGGCACCCAAACTATGGGGGATTTTGAATTGACCATCTAACCAGAGACTTCATTTCCTGATTCACCAGATGTCAAAGAAGGGGCAGAGGGAACATTTACCCATCTGCAGAAGCCAAAATGATGCTGACTGGTCTCTAACTTGGGCCCCTGGTGAAGGTCTCCCCTAGGTTCCCAAGCTTGGGAGGGTTTGACTGCTGCAAGGAGACCAATGTGCAGACCATCAACTTGCTGACCACAGTTGATCCCAGTGAGGTGTCAGCCCCTTGCCCATCAGCTCAATCTGCTGCTGTCACCTGACAAGAAAGATGATGGCTCTGAAAACAGCCTTTGACTGGTTTTACAGCTCTTCAGTGTTAGTAGGTATTTGGTGTTACAGTCTCTGTGCTACAGCTCTGCACCTTGGATTGTCACCTCACTGTCTCTCTCGACTGTATCATCAGTCACCATCTCACTGCCTTGCCACCTCGCTTTACCATCTTCTAACCTTCTATTTGCCATCTCACCATCTTACCAACTCTTGCCATCTTCTCGAGCCACATGCTGGGCACCAGAAGATACAGGGCAGGTGAGCTTCAAAATTTGGGCTCATCCAGGGAGTATTCATGGCTTCACTCAGGAAATAATTCAAGAGCAAGCTGATGGTGGGAAAAAGCAGGTTTATTAAAGCGGCAGTGTACAGAAGAGTAGCTGCTCTTTGTAGAGCATGGATAACTCATAGGCAGTGCACCCAGAGTAGGAAGTTACAGGCTGTTGACTAGCTGTATTTGTACCCACTTTTAATTACATGCAAATTAAGGGGTGGGTTATTCAGAAATCTCTAGAAAAGACATGGCAACTTCTGGGTGTTGCTATGGCATTTGTAAACTATCATGGCACTGGTGGGACTGTCTTATGCTGATTAGCAGCAAGGGCAACCAGAGGTTGCATTTGGTGCCATTTGCTGGTTCTGGATGGTTTCTTTATTTCATCCTATTCGAACCAGAAAATAAGTTCTGCCAGTCTCTGATCTCAAGGTTATGTATTGTTGAAATTCAGATAAAGATATAGAGGAATCAAAATTACCATTAATCTCATAAATATGACAGTAATAGTTACCAGACAGACCTCTCGGGCTTTCATAATTAAAAGTCCTTCAGTTATTCCACTTCCCCAGCACCATTTTCCAGATGAGAAAGGTAGAGCTCAGAGATGTGAAAGCTCCTTCATCAAGATCACAGACTTGTAAATGTCAGATTCAGAATTTGAAAATAGGTATCTGACCCCTAAAATCTGTGCTCCTTTCAATAGGACCTAGTAGTTAAAAAAGAGGGAGTGTAGAGAGCAGTTGAGTCAACATTGTGAGAAATGTTTGGAAGAAGCTGTACCTGTGGCTATGGCAGTAAAGGGAAAAGAGGTAGCTTGATAGGGCTGGGGTCTGGGTGGAAAGGTGGAAATGACTTCAATAGGAGGAGGACACTACATTCCTTGTGAGACACGACATTTTCAGCCATCTCAGCCCATTTATGGAGCCCAAGGGTAAGGACTATTTCATCTAATCATGCATTCTTCCTCATACTCATCCACATATTTTAAGAACAACACATTATCTCTGAAAGAGTATTTTTTACATCGTAAGTTGACAGATCTAGTTTGAGGTTCTGACTTTGCCAGATATAAGATGAACAGTGAGAGGAAAATCATCCTTTATGAGCAATAAGAAGCATTAATCTCATAAATTTGTAAGTAGCATTTGATGATGTTTGTGAAATGACTTTTAAAAGTGGTTAATCCCTTCCTACATGTTAGGCTGTTATAACTGGTTACCTTTTATTTCCTTATATGTCTGAAGAGTAAGTCACTTCCACATCAGTTACTGAAGTCTAAGGCTGTGACTGAGAATCTTGACAACTCCTATGACTCAGGCAAATGCCACATCTGTACACACACACACACGCAGCATTCATCAGGAATTGGAGTAAGCAGAGCTGTAGTGTTTCCAAAAGTCTCCTACTCCCCCCAAATTATTAAGTGCTCCTTCTACGGGGTCTCAACCTTCACCAAACCAAATAATTAGGTCAGGTATAACTTTGAGATGCAGCATTTTAAAGCTCTAGAATTATATCTTTCCTCCTCTTTTTTTTTCCTAATGTTTAAAATGTATTAAATATAAAACTAATATTTTCATGAATGAAAAACGGCCTGAAACCAACATGCTACTTGCATTAGTGTACCAATATGTCTTAAAATATAAGCGATGTGGCCAAGCGTGGTGGCTCATGCCTGTAATCCCATAGTGTGGGAGGCCGAGGCAGGAGGATCACTTGAGGGAAGGAGTTTGAGACCAGCATGGCCAATATGGCGAACCCCCCCATCTCTACTAAAAATATAAAAATTAGCTGGGCATGGTGGTGTGCACTTGCAGTCCTAGCTACTCAGGAGGCTGAGGTGGGAGAATCTCTTGAACCTGGGAGGTGGAGATTGCAGTAAGCCGAGATCATGCCACTGCACTCCAGCCTGGGTTAGAGTGAGATTCCATCTGAATGTGATGCTACAATAATTGTTTACTTTTTTTCAGTATATATTGGGGTGGAATGGGATTGGGATGTCAACCAGTGGCAGGATGTAATAAAGTTATTCAAAAACCCCACCAGCTTCGAGTAGTTAAACAAAATGATAAGTTAAAACATGCTAGTTAAATTAGATTATGAGGTAAAAGGATGTAACTATTTCAGTAGAATACATTTTAGACTATAAAGAAGAGAAACACAGAGAAACAAAACAAAACAACACAAAAAAGCTCTTATTCCTTTTACTCTTCCCAACACCAGGGTTAGTTTTTCAGGTCTTTTCTCCCATTCATTGACTGGTTCACTGAAACTTTAGTATTGCATACATTCTGAAAACTCTGTGTTTTGATCTGTTTTTACTTCTGTAGCTCTTCCACTGGGGAATTCTACTTGCCTTTTGTTTAATTTGGCTGTTACATAAATATGTTGAAATGTTCCACTATTTTAGTTCCTACTGTGAAAATATTTTGTAAGCAGCAGTATTAAAATTCTTTTTCTCCCAGCTCTATAGATCATAGGAATTTGAAAGCAGCAAAGGAGTATGAGGCTTTATTTAATACACTCCCTCATGACACCACTGAAGCCTAGAAAAGAAAATGGTTTGCCCATATGGTTCACCTGGAGGTAGAAGACCCTCAACTAGGATTCAGCATTCATGACTCCAGTGCAAACTGATGTTTAAATTATAAAAATAAATTTTGCTTTTTATGATATTTGTAAAACAAATTAAATGGATTTCACTGAAAAATGTTTTCCATCTCACAGTCCAAATCAACTAGTACTTGTTAACTATGTGGTGTAATTCTATTCTCACAAGAGCCAGATAGGGTAAGTGTTGTTATTATCTTCATTTACCATGGGAACTTTGAGGTATAGAAAGGTTAAGTAACTTGTCGAGTTACAAAGCTAGTGAGAGGTGGATGGGAGATGTGTACTGTTACCACCAGGCTCCAGTTCTGTGCCCTTAACCACTAGGCTTGTCACCATGTGCTTGTTTTCTTCACTATGTAATACAGTTATGATGTGCATGTAAGAACTGGTATAATGGCAAAGTTTTTAGTTTTTTACATCTGATTACTTGAAGTTTAACTTTTAAAGTTAAAAGTTTCTGCCTTCATTACACGGGTCTATCAAACTCTATCTCTATTGCCCAATTATTTTATTCCTAGTCACCATTTCACCTATCTGTGAAATTCTGAAATTACTATAGTTGTGATGTTTTCTGGTGCAAATATATCTTACCATTCTTTGCCTCTACAAAGAAACCTTCAGGTATTGGATGAGTAAAAAAATAAAATTTATCTTAATAGCTTTGCCTTAAGCCCTTTCTCAATTATTCAAAACAAACCAAAAATACCTCTTTGCCTCTAGGGGTAGTTTTGGCTTTCAACTATTAATTTCACCCTTTTCTGAGAGAAAGGTGCTTTCTAGGATGAAAAACTGTAGTTTCTATTTGGGGTTGGGGCAGGGGCAGTGTCCCCTGTCCAAAGTTTTGATGTCATTTTTGGCTCAAGTTATATCCTGTACTGAATGAGTCACTATGGGAGGAAACCAAAGAATAGAAACTGGACTTTGCAGTTGAGAAGGAGAACTTATGAATTCCATGACAAATTACCTTAGTCCATGTAAAATAATCTGAATAGTGAAAGTTAATGCCCCAGTCCTCTAGTGCTGAGCTGAGGTGAATTTGTGGAGTGAAGCAGGACTGAATTTGCTGATGTTAGCTAAGGGCTTTGAAAAGAAATACTGGTCCCATAGTCACACCCTCTGCCTGGTTCTCAATCTTCACTGGTCTTTAGGAATTGGAGAAAGCAGATAATTTAGGGATTTATTTTATTTTATTTTTTGAGACTGAGTCTTGCTCTGTTGCCCAGGCTGGAGTGCATTGATCTTGGCTTACTGCAACCTCCACTTCCCAGGTTCAAGTGATCCTCCTGCCTCAGCCACCCAAGTAGCTGGGATTACATGGGTGCACCACCATGACCGGCTAATTTTTGTATTTCTAGTAGAGACGGGGTTTCTTTATGTTGGCAAAGCTGATCTCGAACTCCTGACCTCAAGTGATAAACCCGCCTTGGCCTCCCAAAGTGCTGGGATTACAGGAGTGAGCCACCGCGCCCAGCCAGGGATTTTTTAAATAAATATTAATTTGTCTTATTATTAAAGAAAACCAGACTTATTTCAGTGTTTTAAAACTATGAAAGTGTTTTAAAACTATGAAAATTACTTGTCACCCCAAGACCCAGAGAAGCTCATTGTAAACAGTTTTCTGTTTCTCTCGTTTCATGTATTTAAATACTTAAACACCTGTCTGAATGAAAAATGATCTGAAACCCACATGCTACTTGAGTTAATATGTTAAAGTATCTTAATATCATGTAAAAAATATTACATATCTCTTCATTATATGAGTTCAACAAATTTGGGTCTTGTTATTTACATGCTTTTTTTTAGTTTTTTTTGTCAATCTGTAAATCAGAGTATCACAATATACATGGATAGTTTACCATAGATTAATATTATTCAAAAACATATTTTTAATGCCTTCATCATATTTTCTTCTATGAAAATTAGTATCTATTTTGTCATTCTCCCTGTATACTTTTCTCTCTTTATTTTAAATCAGGAATAAGTATTGAAAATCTTTACTGAAAATCATTATTTTCGATACTTACTCCTAATATAAAATAAAGAGAGAAAAGTACACAGGCACATAAATCATTGATTTTTTCCTTTTTTAATCAAATAAATAATATATAAATATTTTTGCTAATAATATTTTGTTAATTTCTTGTGCAGTGGTGCTATCTCAGCTCACTGCAAAATCTGCCTCCTGGGTTCAAGCGATTTCCTGCTTCAGCCTCCTGAGTAGCTGGGATTACAGGTGTGTGCCACCATGCCTGGCTAATTTTGTATTTTTAGTAGAGATAGGTTTTCACCATGTTGGCCAGGCTGGTTTCGAACTCCTGACCTCAGGTGATCCACCTGCCTCAGCCTCCCAAAGTGCTGGGATTACAGACGTGAGGCACCGCACCTGGCCTAATAAACTTTTGTTAATTTCTTTAAAATTAATTTAAAATTCTATGACAAAGTACAACATTATTACAGAAACTTCATAAAATACATAATGACAAAAGAAAAAATATAATCTGATAACTTGATATCACTCTTAGCTTTTGATGTTTATATTTTCATTATTATTTCCCATTAAAATGTTACAATAGCATATTTCACTTAACTATAGAATATAACTCTTTTCAAGTCATTAATTTTTTGTAAGCGGCCTTTTTAATGGTTTTATAATATTCCATTTTAAGAATATATTACTTTAATGACTGCATCTTATTGGATATATAGGTTTTTCTCACTGTCTTAAATTATAAATATTCTGTAATAAACATCTTTTGATACATGCTGCCAGATTTTGTTCCTGATACTATTGCCATTTATTCACTTCTTTCCCAAATCTGTCCTTAGTGTCTACTGTGTGTTAAGGCACTGTGCTGAAACAAGAAAAATAGGCACTAGCCTTATGGATTTACAGTGTAGAACAGTGCTGCCCAATAGAACTTTCAGCAGTGATGGAAGTGTCTGCATTGTGCAATGCAGTTATTTTATCTTTCTAATTTAAATTTGAATTGAAATAGCCACATATGGCTAGTGTGGCTACTGTCTTGAATATCATCGTGAAGAATTTTCCTATTCATACCGTCAAATCTGTCAGCTTTCTTGATTACTGTATACTGTTAGCACTCTAATGGGATCTATATTAAGATGTCCTTTCATATATTATGTAAAGAGGAATACTTATTCTATTGCATGTTTTATAAATTCAGTACTACTTTTTAAAAACTCAACATATTAGCTAGCCAGTTACCCAGAGTAAATATGAGAACCCTAATATCTTGTATGTTGATACATATTGATGCATATGTTAATATAGATTATAATATATTTGTTCCAAGTGACTAATTAAGAGGCACTGGAAAATCAACAAGTAGTCTAATTTTAAAATAATCACTCTATATTCTACTCAACATATCTTTCTGCTTTGATTTATATGGCTAAAAAATAGTTCTAAAGAAACAGAGTTAACCTTCACTTGAATTATCCACAAGTAAGACATTTAATTATTTTGCTTTAAAATTTTCTCATTCCACCTGTGTGAAAACATGTACTTAAATATACAGCTACATGTGGTAAACTTAAGTTCCACAATTGAAATGGAAACAGTTTAAATTCATAATTTGTAGATAATGCAGAATCAGTTGAGTGAAAAGATAGCACTAATCACAATTCTATGGATATATCTCTTTCTATAACTAACTTTATAATTATAGTACTATTTTATATATTCACTTAATAAACAAACAGTTAAAACAAATACTGATGTTAGGGAAGCTAAAATAAAATACAAACAATAGAAGACAAGCCTAATTGTATTACAAATGAATAAGATAACCACACTAAAGAGAATAGAGAACAACTAACTAAAATTACTATGGTAAAACATTATCTTGACTGGATACTGTATGGTTAAAGTAAAAAAAAATGTACATAACTGCTGTAATCATATTATAAATGTTTTTACAGGAGTGTTGACTAGCAAAATGTGTATTTTATACACACATATTTTCTAAAATGTTTATGTATATGCCACAATTGAGCAAATAAGTAGACAAATTTTAGATGATGAGAGTCAGATTTCTGACTGTTGGAGAAAGAAGTATGTAAATAAGAAAAAGAGGAAGGGTTAAATGAATCCTGTGTTGTTATGTGGATTAGAATGAGAGGTATCCATATAAGTTCTTTGTTTTTAGCGTATATACTGATAAACAGATAAAGAAATACAGCTAATCCCTGTTACTCACAATAGTGATGGTCCATAAAATCACTGAGCTAGCAAATACAGCACCATTGCTCCTAAGGAAATACAGAGTTAGGTTCCCATGAGCCTCTGGTCACGTTTTCATCAATCAATCAATCAATCAATGCATAACCTTGTTTTATGTGTGTTTCTAGTTAAAGACATTTAATACATATTGCTGACTCATTACTATTGAATTCACAGCCAACAGCACTATAATGTATGCCTAAAGGAAGCTTATCTAACATACATATGTTCTCTGTAAGGCACACCACAACCGCCTTGTGCCTAAGAACACTAGCCAGTGCTTCGGCACTACACTCGGGATCTATTTTAAACAGCAAAGTCAGCAACACAAAGCACAGAAAAGCAAAAAATGTGACACTAGATAGATCTCCAGTGGGACATGTATCTACAGTATGAGAACTGAAACAAGATGGCAAAGCATTGCTTTGTTCACCTTGAGCTGTGATAATGTGCATTGGGTGACTCAGATTTTTCATATTCTGCCCAGGTCTGAGAATGACTTTGAAAATATCTTGAGAATTGATTTGATTTTGGGGTTACAAACAAATTTTAATGAATAGGTCAATTTGTGAATAAAATTGCAAATAATGAAAATCAGCTCTGTGTGTGTGTGTGTGTGTGTGTGTGTATTTGTGTATTCATATTTATATAACCTAGCTATGACTGGTAAGAGGGTCAAAAGCAATGGCACCCCTTTAAAAATGATGATTCCTAGCACCTAGACTTTGGTCCTTAAACACCACTACCCAGAAAAGGAAATTAGAACTCCTTAGAGAAGTAGTTGATTTCAGGGTTAGGGCAAGAAAAGTGCTAATTAAGTATTTAACATGTTGAGTTATTAGAAAGTAAGAAAGTGCGAAATGAGAAAAGAAAAAAGTGGTTTGTCACAAGAGCATAGGAGACAATCTGAAGGAGCTCCTAATGAACAAATTGAGCAATAAATAATAATAGTACTGGATTTTAACGTCCAGAATAAAACAAAATGCTCTTGAGTCTTTGCTGACATCAATAAATAATTCAGTAAATAAATAAATACATGAGGGAAAAGAGACAACCCCTTTTCACAGTAGAATTTTAATTAATAAATGCAGAAGGAAATAAGGAAATAGAGAACCACCATTAGGCAAACACCATAGTAATATATGTCATAAAGTCTCCTATGGATACAAAAATTAATTGGGAGAAACAGGATTTTGCATAGTTTCAAAGTATATTCCCAAGATACTTACCAACTACAAAAAGAAATCTGTGGGAGAACCTGGTTAACACCAGCTTTATCAAATCATCAAGGTAAACATCATTTGGAATAAGACACATTGATAAATATGTGAACCCCTTGGTCTTGATGCGCTAAGAAAGTCACAAAACCATTTTTGTAGTATTCTTATCAAAAAATACATAACGTCATTGTAATTTGATAGATCATTAGACAAACATAAATGGAAGGACATTTTACAAAACAATATTCTTCAGAAGTATCTAGGTCATTAAAGAAAAGGGAAGACTGAGGAACTATTACATTTTGGAGGAGACTAAGTAGAAAAACCAGCTAAATGCAGTGTTAGATCCTGAATAGGATCTTTTGGAACAGAAAAGGGCCATTAGTGGAAAAATGGGTGACTATCAAGTAAAGTCTAGAGTTTAGTTAATAATATTGTATCACTGTTAATTTCCTGTACTTTTGTTATGTAAGTTGTTAATATTAGGGAAATGAGTGGAGGATATAACAGAATGCTTACTAATTTTGCAGCTTTTATCTATGTCTAAATTACTTCAAAATAAAATGTTTAAAATGCTATTAAAATTCATTGAGTTCATTTTCCTTCTTTCATGTCTGATTTGAAATTAGTTTTATGTTAAATCTGGAGTAAGAGAAACTGAAATTCATAAATATCTAAGAATACTTTAAAACTAGTTTTGCTTATCTTAGATATGCAATTTCTTTATCTTTTCTGGTTCCTCTCAAATAATACTTGCTCAAGTTATCTCAAGACAAAGGTGTTTTCTTGTTACAAGTGGATTAATATCTAACTGCAAAACCAGTCCTCTCGGGAGTCACCTACCTTCTTGGATCCTGTCATGGGCCAAAAGATCTCTAATAGCAGCTCTACTGCTCTCTAAGCCTTTGTTCCCCGGTAACTTGCATTACCTCTTTCTTTATGCCTCTGTCACAGTCTGTCACTGCTTCATGTTCTTGGTATTTCTTAGTTCACATCCGAAGAGAAGGAAATAAATTGGCAACATCATTTTTTTAAGTTGAACCGGTCCTCATTGAATGTCACAAGCAAACTTAATGGATTCCTTGTCCTTAGATTACAATGGTAATCTTGTCAATTCTGGCCCTTTTGGTACTTGGACACATAATACAAAGCCTGACCACCTAATGATTGCACTAAACAGGGGCAGTGGGTTAAGTAGCTGAGCATAGTATTGGCAGGCAATATGTTCGACCTATGTACAGTAGTGAAGAATAACAGTTTGCTGTCGCTTATATAATACTGTGGTAAATAATTTTACTTCTTTACAGTGTTAGTAATTTATATATTTTTTCAGTGCTTTACAGGCTAACAATGTGTTCACTCATGTAACTTCATGTGGCACTTTATATTAAAATGAAGTGAAGTCTTACACTTTTAGGAAGTGGAAAATAGATATTAATACTGAGGTATATTGAGATTTTTTATGTGAGATATCTATATTATTTGAATACATTGTGCACTTTGAAAGTACAAGAAATTTTTGTTCATTTAGCAGTCTGCTTTTCCCGCTCCGTCTTGAAAATGCTCACCAGCTTGTCCTAATGATTAATTACTGAGGTGTCAATAACACAAAGAGTAATAGTTAACAGAATCAAAGTGTAAATCCTAGGAGGAGGCTTGTATCTTATTCAATCCAGTATCTCATTTTTAAATCATTATTTTTAAATCATTTTAAATCATTTAAATTATTTTAAATCATTTTAAATTATTTAAAATTAAATCATTTAAATTATTTAAAATTAAATCATTTTAAATTATTTTAAATCATTATTTTTAAATCATTTTTAAATCAGTATCTCATTTTTAAATCAATTTATCTATCTTCCCTAAGACCATTAAGGAAGACACATGCTTTAGTATAATCATCCTTGTAATAAATTCTTACTAGAATTTACCACTCAGGAAAATTTTTGTTGTTGATAAAAAAAACATCTTTTAGTTGGAAATACAATTACACAATCTATGTTTCTCTTTTTATGATAGCTGTGAGGAAGCACAGGGCTAGACTTAATTTTCAAGTATGGTAGTTATATGAACATATTCTTAAAATAGAAGGGGAACATCACACACCAGGGCCTGTTGTGGGGTGAGGGGAGCGGGGAGGGATAGCATTTGGAGATATACCTAATGTTAAATGACGAGTTACTGGGTGCTGCACACCAACATGGCACATGTATACATGTGTAACTAACCTGCACGTTGTGCACATGTACCCTAAAACTTAAAGTATAATAAAAAAAAATTCATTGTCTCCAATTCATTAAATTGTTAAGTAAAAGCTGTATTAAACATTATGTAATACCTTATTTAGCTGTAATTTATACATGCTTATCTAACAGCATATGTTCTTCTCTAAGTCTCTATTTCCATTTTCATGCAAGCCACCTCAAATCATTTTGGAAAGCTGCTAATCAGTCAATGCTTATTGAGCATATACTATCCATTAAAAGCTACATCAGTGAAAAGTTCACAGGAGCCTCTGCTGTGGAGGAGTCTACATTCAAATGGGGAGGGCATTTAAAAAATAGAAAATAGTTAGTAATAAAATAAGTTAAAAACTCCTCCATGCCATGATCTAATCTTATATTTCTCTGTGTTTCACAATGTCAGAGATATTACTGAGAGAAGTGAACACTGCTAAACTAAACAAAGCAAAACATAGGAGAAATTGATTTAATCTTTTAGCCTTGATGATGGAGCAAAACCTGGGGAGAAACTGATGGCGCAAGGGGCAGAGTTGTATTACTAGCACTTGCAGAGCCATATAAAGTGTGTATGTGTGTCTGTGTGTGTATAGTTAGCCCTCCATATCCATGGATTTTATAGTCATGTATTCAAATAACTATGGATTTAAAATATTTGGGGAAAGAATTGCAACTGTACTGACATGTACAGACTTTTTTTCTTGTCATTATTCCCTTAACAATGGTGTCACAGTAATTACATAGCATTTACATTGTAGTAGCTATTACAGGTAATCTAAAGATGATTTAAAGTATACAGGAGCATGTGAATAGGTTATATGCAAATATGACACCATTTTATATAAGGGAATTGAGCATCTGAAGATTTTGGTATCCAAGGGAGGTCCTGGAACCAATGCTCCATGGAATCCAAGGGACGATTGAGCATATATAAATATATATACACATAAACACACAAACACACACCATATATATTATGTATGTAAACATATACATAGATAAAGTGTATTGAATACATAAAAGGGACACATTTTGGATGTGTCTTACAGAACTTTAAATACGCTATTTTTTAAATCCTACTTTTCCACTTTGTGTAACTAAGTAAGTGCTCAATAAATCTTCATTGAGTGAATGAATAGAGGAATAATTGCTTTCAAAGAGTTATGGGAAAATAGTATGCTCCCTATAGATAAATATAGATTAAAGCTGAATACTAATCACATTAGGGCATAAAACAGTTTTTGTACAACAGTAAAAATAGCATAAGTTTGCATCCAAATTATAGGTATACAAAAAGCAACAGGGCCAGCTTTTTTCACTGAGCTATACCTAGTTAATTCAGGGCCTTTCGCATAATAAATGCTCATTAGATTTGATTGTATTGATTTTTTTGAAAAATAAATTAAAAGCCAATCCAAGCATGTCTTATAACAATGAAAAGTTTAAAAATAGGTATGTTAGTGATTTAGTAATTAAAATGAGCCGACTTTAATTAGCATTAGTTAGTGAGTTTTGAAATACCAACCTTCAAAGCCTCATAAACAGTGAACTAGCACAGCTCTGACACTAATTGGGTCTTAGGAGCCTAGTAAGGCTGAATGTCATTTACTTAGCAGTGAACAGCTTGGCTAGGTTACAAGGACTCCCACTCCCCAAAAAATTCATCTGTGATAAATCAGCTGTAAATCTTTATATGTAAAATCTAGTGTGGTTAGTGAATGAGCACCTAGAACAAAAAGAACAGAAACACTTTCTGGCTTCTACCAATTTCCATGCAACATCGCTGCCTCTTACCACCTTCTGCTAAGAGGGGGTAAAATAGAGGACCTTGAGGCTGGAGTGGAAGTGGCTGAACCCGGCTTCTCCTGTCATTTTCAATGCTGATTACCTGTCAGCTTCTAGAAGATTCAATTTTCCCTTGCATTTTTGTCTATTCCTCTCTGAGAAAGCTGGCAAGAAACTGCTTGCTGAAATGCTTTTCTCTTGGTTTTCCTCTTACCTCACTGGCCTTTCTCTTCCTTGGTCTTTTTATTGGCGCTTTCTTAGCTCCCTTGCCTGCAAATGCTGGAGTAACCCAGGAATTACATTACTTTTCCATTGGTGCATAACAAATTACTACAAATTGTAGTGCTTTAAAATAACAGACTTTTTTTTAATCTCATAGTTTCTGTGTGTCAGAAGTCTGCTCACAGCTTACCTGGGTCTTCTGCAAGGCTGCAGTCAGAGTATCATTTGGGCCTGGGATATCATCCGAATGCTTGACTTCAGAAGGATTTCTTTCTAAATTTACTCAAGTTTTCTGCAGAGCTTATTTTCTTCGAGCTATAGGAGGGAGGGCCTTATGTTTTGTTGGCTGGAGGCTGAAGGCCTTGCAAGCTGGCAGCTGGAGGCTGCCCTAAGTTTCTAGAGGCTTCCCTCAGTTCCTTGCCAGATTGTTTCCCCCACATGATGCTTGCTTCACATACATCTCACCGTCACATATTCTATTGGTTAGAAACAAGTTACAGATCCTGCCTACATTCTGGGAGATGGGAATCATACAGGGATGTGAACACGAGAAGGTGAGGATAATGGAGCACCTGAGTCTGTCCACTTGAGGGCTAGTTCTCTGTCCTCTCCCCTCTATCTGCACTCATTTCTTCTTACATCTCAACGGCTATATCTATGGTGTTAAATTTGATCGTCCTCAAACTTCACACCAGTATAGCCAACTGCATAGTTTATATATAGTTCCTCTTGGATAGATCTAGTGGACATCTCAAATTTCATATATCTAAACCCAGAATAATTATTTCCCACCAATCACCTGTTTTTTCCCACACTCTTCTAGCCTCACTAAATGCCAGCTCAGTTACTCAGATAAAAACCTTTGTATCATCCTTGACTCTACATTCTTCATACCCACATCTAGCTTATCAGAAAATCCTGTCCCGTCTATTTTCAAAATATATTCAGTCTCTGACCATTTCTCTCCACTTTGTAAAAATGCTTCCTGTTTTATTCCCAGTAAAAGCTACACCATCTGGCTTTTTTGTTACTTCTCTAGCCTCTTCTACTACTGTTCCCTTTTTCATTCCATTCCAGAATAGTGGCTAACTTGCTGTTTTCTGAGCAGCTCAGGTACCCTCTCACTTTAGAGCCGTTCAACTCACTGTTCCCTTTTACTGGAACACTCTTCCCCCAGAAGACTGCATGTCTGACTCCCTCACCTCCCTCATGGCCTTTGATATGTGAAACATTACAGATGAGTCCTACCCTATTCACCTTTTTGCTGTTGCAATCTATTTTTTTTCCTTCCTGTGTTCCAAGTGTCCTTTATACTGCTCTCCCTTCTCCTTTTTTTCCTGTACTTATAATCTTACAACATTCTATATAGGTTATTCATTATATTTATTGTTTATGGTCCCTGTTTCCTACTAGAATGTGAGTTTCATGAGGACACAGATCGCTGTCTCTTCTGTTCATTGCTTTATCTGAAGCCGTTAAATGTTCTTGGTATATAAATAGATGCTCATTAAGTATTTGTTGAATGAATGAACAAATAACGCAGTTAGTCTTGTTCTCACCTTGGTATCTGCAGCATCTTCAATTAATCCTGGATTCATAAGCACTTACAAAACTATTTTACCTTCAAAACGTTTGAAACTTGCCATTTCTTGTTTAGCATCTTCAGTTGGCACTAGGGTCTGATTTAAAATTTAGGTTACTTGGTAGCCCTCTGGTTACCATTCCAGCCCTAATGGGGGTAAAGTCTATCTCCATTTCCTAGCAACTGGCTCAGAACCTACTTCTAGTCAGATTGACCACAAAGAACCTCAACACCACTGCCTCTGACTTTGCTGTTGATGGATACTCATGCAGTTTAACCATATGCCAGATTATTTTACATCAAATGTTGCCTCTCACCAAACATGTACATGTACCTTGGTGAATATCTCAGTTCTTGTTTCACTCCAGGCATTAAGAAGGAGGTAAAACAGGCAGTGGTAGTCACCTGACTCCTCTCCCAGCATACCCCTCCAGGGTTTTTTCTTCTGTGGACTGTTTTTCTTTTATCCTATGCTCTTTTTTTCTGTGTCCCTACATCCTTGAGAACTATTAATATCTGCTTTTTGGGTGGGACTTTCTGTTATGCACATATACTCTAAAGTAGTAAATAAATGTATCATTTTCTCTAGATTTTTTAACTTTAAATCCTCACTATTGTTATAGAATGAAAAATATATTCCTTTCAACCACATTTGAGGCATTAGTCTGCTGGTTAATTTGATTTAGGGCTCAAACATTAGAGAAGTCCATTTCTGTTTCCTTGAACTTGCATGAAGGAAGTTGCTGAGAAGTCTCCAAGCATATTAGGCAAACCTTGGCCAGAACCTTCCATTTGAGGTTGGGTACAGGTGAGTGGTGACTCATGAAGGTAGCTGGTATAAAAAAGAGAGTTATCTCAACCACATGGGTTGAGAAAAGTTTAAAGACTCATTCTCTACCACTATTGGAAAACAGGTAGCTAGGCCCTTGTCATGTGCTTTACGATGCTTCCTTTTCAACTTTGTTTCTTAAAAATTATTTTAATCAGATATCATTTGTATGACAATATTTACTGTTAATGAAGTAGTATATGGTGATTTTCTCTGAGTAACATAGCCTGTACTTACCTCTGGCTTTTTCATTGTCTTTGAAATCTGACACTAATTTTCTAATTGCATTTTTTTAGGAAGCAGAATCTGAAACTTTCTGAGGAGAGCATTTGAGCTTCAGATTTCTAACAGGTAACGAGAAAATATGGAAAAGACCCACACTACCTACATTACACTTTCACAAAGTAAAAGTTAAAGTTCTGGTAGGAAATTTTGTAAAAAATAAAATTCACACTGAATTCATTTTTAAAAAATTGTATGTACTTTTAAGCACGATGTTTATTACTGAGAATCAGCCCAACTACACAAAGAGACAGATGTCAGTTTAAGTAGACAAATGTTTCAAAAATAAAATATTTTTTATCAGCAGTAAATGTTTTACTTGATAGACTAACTTGATAGTCTTAACTACACGAACAGTTGGATACAAAAGAAAATGTGTGTATTGCCAGCAAACATTTTCAAAAGATAAGCACTTGTGCCAAGTACTACATGCTTAGAAAATCTTTCATTTGGACAGCTGAGACCACCACGTGTCTTAAAATATGCCATCCATCATTTCAGTGTTAAGAGCGCCCCCTGGTGTGGTTGTATATTTATATGCTTCCGTGACTTTTAGACGTTTTAAAAATTTCATTTTGCTATTAGATGGTGATGGGCCTTTTTTGCCGGGTTGACTTGGTCAGTATGGTGTGTAACCATCTAGACATTTGTATTTAATATTTTTCTTGTCCTTATCCATGACCGTGTCTGGAGTCAGTGGTCAGCTTGAAAGCCGAATTTGGGAATATTTAATTCCTAAACTTCCTCAGTCAAGCTAATGGCCAATAATATGACATTTATTAAGTATGAAATTATATATTGCGATAAAATTTTACAGGATAATCAAGTTATTTGGTGGTAATAACTTTGTTAAGTGGCAAATTGCTGTGAACAATTTCTTTTTGGTAAGTTCATGGACATTATAATAATTTAACATGAGAATTCAGACAATATATTTTGCTTTTAAAATATCTATTGTGTAGAAACTAAATAACCCAAATGTTGATATTTCCTTACAAGCCAGAAACTCCTCTCTGGTGATATAACTTGCAAATATAAGCAAAATAATTCACCCATGTGTCATAAATAGGACTCTTATTTATTACCTGCCACCAGGGAATAACCCCATAGAATTGCAGCCAAAATTGGCAGCAAAGTACCTGTTTTGTAACTTTTTTTCTTGTATTTTATTTTTAATCCTTTAGGAATATAAACCACTCTTGCAAAGTGAAAGTACACATAATATTCTAAATCACATTTCTGTATATTTGATAATTGCAATTATTTTCCCTAATTGTCTCTTCTTCAGACTATATTATCTTCATTTAACCATTTCTCATATAAATTGTTTGAAATTTAATAATTTGCAGAACTACAATTGTGAACTGTTTGCAGTAGACTGCTTTTGCTTTTATTTTTTTCTCTATGTTCCTCTCTCCTTTGATTCTGAAACCATAAGCTCAGTACAATATTTACATTAATTCCTGGCTGGCTTGTTGAAAGAATGTTTTTAAAAACATAGATTAAAAAAATCAGAGCAATGAATCTGCCTTAGTAGACCTGTGTTTGAATCCCAGCTTTCATATTTACTTGTAAAAATCATGACTGTGGACAAGTTGATGACTCTCTCGGAGTCTCAGTCTTTTCTGTAAAAGAGGAATGCAAATCACTACTTCAGAGGATGTCCTTAATACATTCTTTACATTAATATGTGCTTAAAACTTATTATATGCCAGATATGGGTACCTTATGACACCCCTTATTTTTCACAAGTGTGTGAATGTGGTATTATTATTTCTCTATTATTGATGAGGCTTAGTGATGCTAAGAAGCCTCATAAATGGACAAGCCAAGATTCTAATTCAGGTCTTTCTGACTTAAAGTGAGCTCATCATCAGTGGCCATCAGAGAAATGCAAATCAAAACCATAATGAGATACTATCTCACACCAGTTAGAATGGTGATCATTAAAAAGTCAGGAAACAACAGGTGCTGGAGAGGATGTGGAGAAATAGGAACACTTTTACACTGTTGGTGGGACTGTAAGCTAGTTCAACCATTGTGGAAATCAGTGTGGCGATTCCTCAGGGATCTAGAACTGGAAATACCATTTGACCCAGCCATCCCATTACTGGGTATATACCCAAAGGATTATAAATCATGCTGCTGTAAAGACACATGCACACGTATGTTTATAGCAGCACTATTCACAATAGCAAAGACTTCGAACCAACCTAAATGTCCAACAATGATAGACTGGATTAAGAAAATGTGGCACATATACACCATGGAATACTATGCAGCCATAAAAAATGATGAGTTCGTGTCCTTTGTAGGGACATGGATGAAACTGGAAACCATCATTCTCAGCAAACTATCGCAAGGACAAAAAACCAAACACCGCATGTTCTCACTCATAGGTGGGAATTGAATAATGAGAACACATGGACACAGGAAGGGGAACATCACACACCGGGGACTGTTGTGGGGTGGGGGGAGTGGGGAGGGATAGCATTAGGAGATATACCTAATGTTAAATGATGAGTTAATGGGTGCAGCACATCAGCATGGCACATGTATACATATGTAACAAACCTGCAAGTTGTGCACATGTACCCTAAAACTTAAAGTATAATAATAATAAAATAAAAAAAGTGAGCTCACAACCACTGTGCTATGCATTTAATTTAATCATGCTTATTCATGTCTACTGATTTGTTAATTCATTTGTCATTACTGTCAAATAATCCCCCACTGCACATAGAGGAAAGCAACCTTCAGGGAAAGCATAGAGGAATCATTTTGTATGGATGCTCTTGTCTGAAAGCCAGAATTGCTTTGGGCATTTATTCTTCTATGAAGTTTTGTCAAACCAGGTGGTGCATTAAGACATTGCTTGTTATTACCATGATTGAGCTGATAATAGCAGTGACAACAAATAGGGGTATTAGGTTAGTGAACTTGAAGGCTTCTTTATGAATAATATAAAATCGGGGTAAAGGAATGTTAATTTTAGAAACTGTTGCATCCTTCTAATCCACCATTTATTTTGTGTTTTTTGTTTCCTGGACCTGGGAGCATAGTATAAGTTTGATGTGCATTGCCATTCAATTTAAGTGTCTAATTACTTGCATTGGCTTTGTGAAGCTTGTATCATTTTCTTTATGGGTTAAGAATTATTTTTTGATTTTTATATACCAGATTTCCTGTAATTGCTACAGAGGCCAATGTAATAAGTTTCTCATTTCATTAGTAAGTAGTTTTGAAGGCTACTAAGTAGCTCATCACAGAAATGCAGCGTGAACAGGCCTGTTGTTTGCTTAATAAAATCTAGTGCTGCATATTATTTCCTTGGTCCTTGAGATTTGCTCTAAGAATTAGGCTGTTCAGTCACAATTCAGAGCACATTGTTAGGCTCCTCAATGGCTGAGTGACTGTTTTCTTGTTTAGGTTGTGTCATGACCTGCTTGGGTCAGATGTATAGGCATTATTATGAGTATGTATTCATATTATTATGTCTTACTAAGATAGCACATTATCCCAAACACGAATTAACCTTATGAAAATCAGTTTAACCTTTAACAGAACCAATGAATGAGTGAAGAAATGGGAGTTTTCTTAGTATTTTACCCTCATTTCTGCCCTACAGTGGCATCTCCTGCCAGCCCATCTTAAACACACACACACACACACACACACACACACACACACACAGAGCACATTTGGTAAGTGGGCTCTTTGACTTGTTTACTGTCTGTGGAACCTCTGATATTGTTTTAGTTTAGGCCCTGATACTTTGAACAATTGGAATAGTTTCCTAACTGGATTCCACCTCTCCATTTTTACTCCTCTCTAATCAATTAAGAGCAGGCTAATTTTTCTGAGGCATAGAACTAATATCAGGTTAAAATAATTCAGTGTCTCATTGCTCAAAACCATCTTCTGGTTCTTGCTTACCTCTCTTCTAGTTTTCTCACTGCCTGCCATTGTCCTCACTCCTTGAATGTTGTGCTTTGCTCTGCTGACAAAATTACAGATCCTAGAATGCTTTTTGCTTTCTTTGCCTCCCTTTGTCTTTATGCACCAACTCCGTATGTCAGTGACAGCCTTCTGTACTTCTTCATTTAATGAGTCCTTTTATTTTTGTTTCAAAACCCAGCTCTACTTTTATTTTTTACTGTAATCCTTCCCAGACTAACTTCCCACTGCACAAGCATACACCCAGCCTGAATTAGGTATCTCTTCAGTGGGCCACTAAAGGCCTTATGTCCACTTCTGTTACTGCAAAGTTCTATTTACAGTGGACAACTTGAAGCAGGTATTATTGTATCACAGTACGAGGTACATTGAAAGTGTTCAGGAAAAGCATTATTTATGAAGCTCATGAAGAGGCTGAATGAAAAATATAAAGACGTTGTATTAGAAGTCCCATGAAGCCCATGCCTTCAGTCAGGTTTTAAAGCTGATAGATCAAATGCCTACTATCAGCCATTAGTGGGCAGGATGGGGAAGCAGCTGTTAGTTGACTTCATGTATGCTCTTTCTTCTATTTACATTGACTCTCTCTCAGCACTCATGTACTCCTCAGTGCACCCAACTATCCCTCATGACAGAGAGTTCTTGTGGCTTATTTAATATAATATCCTCTCTTTCCTACCTGCTGAATCCTATTATTGTTGCAGACAAAAACAAATACAGAAGTCCCCTGTTTTCTAATTCTCCTTGTTGGTATGAAAGATAATCTGCCATAATTCTATCCAGTGACATATAAACAAAAATCCGATGGAATTTCTGGGAAAGTCCTGCCTTATTGATACAGATTTTTGCCTCATCTTCCTTCAGGCCCCTTCCTCCTTTCTCATTCCTGGAAGGTAGACATGATGACTGGAACTAGAGAGTCACCTTGCAACCTTGAGGGAAAGGCCAGAAATTACTGAGACTTTAGCCCTGACATCCTTAAACTTCTAAATCAATACCAGCAATTGCCTTCCTTTGGATTTTTCACTACTAAGAGAACGTCCTCAGGTTGTGTTGAAGCCTTTGTTATCTGGGTTTACTGTTGCATCAATTGTCTCAGTTCCCTAATGGATACTCATTAGTATTACAGTTAAAATAAATGCATTAAAAGTTAATGGTATAAGTTTCTCACCTCCCCACCTATATTTTGTATTTTTTAATTCAACAACCATATATTAAGACCCACCATTACCATGTACTACCTTAGACACTAAGATATAAGTATTGACACACCATTATTATGCAAATGGCTTTCAGTCTTATGAAGGCACAGAAACATAAAATTAATTGCAATAAGCAATACAGTGTACTATAGAATATATAATATGATAGGCACAACAGTAGTTACGTAGAAAAGCCTGAGAATTGACAGAAGATATCATTTGCATTTTGATCAGGATGCCCTAAAATATGAAAAATTTCGATAATCAGGAAATGAATCTCTCGTGTGGAATTTCTGGCAGCCTGGACAGGACTAATTCCTTGTGCCTTTTCAATAACACAGTGTAGGTGGTCACCTACTTGTGTCGGCCTTACTGCCTCTTAATAATAATGAAAATGAGCTCAATCTAGGGGACTTTGAGCTGCTGACAGGCTGTCTTTGGAAAGCCAAATTGGTGAAAAGCAATCTGTGGAGAAGGAGGGGCTGGGGATGACACAGGAAGTTACCAAGGATGCTATTGACAAGAGGACTGAAGCACTAAGCAGAGAGCTGTAACAATGAGGGCAGTAAACAGGAAACTGAAGCTCTGTGGTTGAAAGGCAAGAATTAGTTAATGGACAGAGACATCAAAACATCAGGCAGCCCACAGCCCAGAACAAATTCACAATGAGGGAGGGCTAGGGAACAAGTCTCCTCAAGAGAGCACAAAAATAGGCTGCTCTACTCTGGGAGTCTCAGCAAAGTCTCTGTGAGAAAAGCCAGAAGCAGACCATAATAAGGATACTATTTATAAAATCACAGAGGCTCAAAGGAGTTAAAATGAGAAAATATTCCTAAAATAAAACATAAAAATTATAATGAGTTGATGTTTTGAAAAGGCGCTAAATGCATGAAGAACCTGATTCAAAAACAGGGCCTGGGGACTTTGATTTCATGGCATGATCTTGAGATGTATTTGGTGCAGATTTTGAAATTAAAAAAAAAAAAGTTCCAGGAAAGGTAAAATTAATCTGGAATAAAATTTCTATGGTTGGGCCAAATGCCATTCGGAATTATCAGGTCTTGGGATAAGCTACAGAAGGAAATTTAAGCACATTACCACTTCTTCCAACTGTGACACACAGAGTTTTCCCAGAAGACAAGTGAAATGAAAGCTGCCAATGATCTAGGTTTTGAATAGTAAGGACTGACCATCTTCAGTGTGCCTTAACACCACCCACTTGAGAGAAACTGTGAATACCAATAAGGCATCAAGGTATGTTTATGCTATCACAAAATACTCCATACTGTTACTCTACCCAGGGTTAATGGACCAAGTTATGCTTTGATGCATGACCACCACTTCTGATAGTGAATTATAGATACTTTTCTTTGGCACAAGTCCAACCTTCCTTAAAAATAAGTAAACTGGCTTCTGTGACTATAGTCGGCCTGCACACTTCATCTAATACAGAATGCCAATTATGTCATCTAATTTTACTGAGAGTGATTTTCTGAAATATATATATTATACATGTTTGCATGTTGTATAGAAATATATATTAGATCACTTATAATATTACAGATGATTTAAATTATTCCCAGTGCAAGACATAATGCTAGTACATGCATGATTTTTTTTTCTTTTAAAGTGCTACCTATGAGGCAGCATAATTATTTCACAGGATGTCAAATTCCATAGAATAGAGATGTAACCTATATACCTTTTAACTTTCCTTGATAATTTGATGCTGATAAAGAATGTACAAATTAACCCACAAATTTTTTGAAACTATTTTGCTTGTAGTTGGCAGACTGCTTTGATCTATGAAACACAGTAATGAAACTCTAGAGTATACTGTTTTCTAGATTTAAGTTCTAGGCATCTAGGATTCCATAAATATCTATGTTGACTTCCATGTCTTCAATGTTTACAATAATTTCGGTTATTTCGACCTTAGTTTTTAGATTGAGAAGTTCTGACCTTTTGTATCTTTCTTCATTTGTAAATTTGTTCTATGGTTAATTATTATTATTCCCCATACCTTATCCTGAGCTTTGATATTTCTAAAATGTGGCAACAAACAGCATAAGGCAGTATAGGAACACACAAAGCAGAATGTTACCAAAAAACCTCTCAGGGATATTTAATTGCTATTAGTTTTCTAAAAGTGTTATCTTATCCTTATTTTTATTTTTTATGTAGAAAAATATATAATGTAAAATTTTTAATTCTAGCCATTTTTAAGTGTACAATTCAGTGGCATTAGTTACATACACAGTGTTGTTGAACCATCACCACTACCCATTTCCAACATTTTTTAATACCCTAAAGAGAAACTGTAAACCCCTTAAGCAGTATCTCCCCATTCCTACCTTCCCAACAGATTCTGGCAATGTAATGTGCTTTTAGTCACTATGAATTTGCCTATTCTAGATGTTTCATATAAGTAGAATCATACACTATTTGTCCATTTGCATCTGGCTTATTTCACTTAGCATACAGTTTTCAGGGTTTATCCATGTTGTAGTGTGTATATCACTTCATACCTTCTTATGGCTGAACCATATTCCTCTGTGTGTGTGTGTGTGTGTGTGTGTGTGTGTGTGTGTGTGTATGTCTTTGTGTGTTCATACTACATTTTATCCATTCATCTGTTGATGTACACTTGGGTGTTTCCACCTTTTGTGATTTTTAAAGCAGCTGTATTTCTTAAACTACTACATTTTTATTGAGCTAAGTCTCAGAGTCTCTTAAAGATCTTTAGGCACACTTTCTTTTGGAAACTGAATCCTGCACTGAAGTTAACATGTTAAGATGAACATATCTCAATTAAATGCTGCTGTATTTAAATATGAAGTGGATTAAACTATTGACTAATCTATATGTAAAACTGTACACATATTTACTTGTAATTCATAATTTTAGTGTCAATATATATTCATGTGCCGCATAACGATGTTTCAATTAAGGGTAGGCTGCATATGTGACAGTGATCGCATGAGTTTATAGTGGATCTGAAAAATACCTATTGCCTAGTGACGTTGCAGCTGTGGTGAAGTTAGAGCTGTTGTGACATTGTAACAGTCATAATGTCATAGTGCAATGCATTACTTACCTTTTTCTGGTGATGCTGCTGTAAATAACCCACTGTACTGTCAGTCATAACAAATCTATCACATACCATTATATACAGTTCATTATACTTAATACCAAATAACTATATTACTGGTTTATATGTTCACTCTACTATGTTTTTTATTCATTATTTTAGCTTGTGCTCCTTCTTTTTTTTTTTAAAATTTAACTGTAGAACAGCCTCAGGCAGGTCATTCCATAGGATATTCCAGAAGAAAGCATTGTTCTCACAAGAGATGACAGCTCTATGTGTGTTACTGCTTCTGAAGATCTTCCAGTGGGACAAGATGTGGAGATGGAAGATAGTAATATTGATGATCCTAACTCTTTCTAGGTCTAGGCCAATGTGTGTTTTTGCATTTTAGATTTTAACTACTTTAAAAAAATATAAAAAAAAAATTTTTTAAATAGAGAAAAAAACGTATAGAATAAGGATATAAAAATATTTTTGGACAGTTGTACAGTGTTTGTGTTTTGAGCTAAATATTATCACAAAGGAGTCAATAAAGTGAAAAAAGTAAACACACAGTAAAATGTTGCAATAAGCTAAGGTTTATTATTGAAGAAAGAAATTTTTAATAAGTTTAGCATAGCCTAAGTGTACAGTGTTTATAAAGTCTACAGTAGTGTACAGTAATGTTCTAGGTCTTCACACTCACTCAGCACTCACTCACTGCCTCACCCAGAGCAATTTCCAGTCTTGCAAGCTCCATTCATAAGTGCCCTATAAAGGTGTACCATTTTTATCTTTTATACCATATTTTTACTGTACCTTTTCTATGTTTGGACATGTTTAGGTACATAAATCATTACCCTCGAGTTATAGTTGCCCACAGTATTCTGCAAAGTAACTTGCTGTGCAGCTTTGTAGCAGACGAGCAGTAGCGTGTATCATATAGCCTAGATGTGTAGTAGGCTGTATGATTGAGGCTGTGTAAATACACTTTATGATTTTTGTACGTTGATGAAATTGCCTAATGATGCATTTCTCAGAACATGTCCCCATCATTAAATGGCACATCACTTATTTATATTTTTTCAGACAGTACACATTTTCAAAGGCTATTGAAAAAGCTTGTGGCTCTAAGAAATAAATGGACCTATGTTACTTTATGCATTGAATGTCTAGGTTGATAGTTGGCTGTTCTGTAACATGCTATATCTTACGCAGTTTTTTCCATTGAAAACCATTTTCACTTCTGTTTCACCAGGAGGACTAGGCCTGCTTACTGTCCCAAAATGTAGCCGTCAGACTCTTCTTCCACCATGATTCTCGAACAGTCTGCCTTATTAACATGTGTGTGTGTGTTTTTGAGGGGGGACTTGTTTGCGTATCTCGTAACAGTTACTGCATTTTTTTTTTCTGATTTTAAAAGCAACGCATTTTCATTTTAGGATGTTTACGCACTAGAGAAACATTCAATTTGCTAACTTTGCTATTATAAACAATGTTGCAACATATAGCCTTGTGCCTACCTTTCATGTCTGTGTGCAAGTATTCCTGAAGTTAAAACTAGGTGCATTTGTAATTTTGATAGATGCTTTCAAATTGTCCTTTATGTCATGCTGTCATACACATTACATTCTCATCAGCAGTGTGTAATAATCCCCCTTTTCTTACATCATCCCCATCAATATCATAAGTATTACCAGGTTTTTGAGTCTTTATCAAACTACTAGGGAAAAAAGGTCTTAACTTTTATTTCTCTTATTATGATTGAAAGTTTTTCTTGTTTAAGAATTACTCATATTTCCATTTTTATGAATTATCAGTTTATATAATTTGCTTCTTTTGCTTTCAAGGGATTTTTTTGTTTTGAAGTTTGGAGACTTGCACATTGCCTAGCATATTAGTTGTCAATATTTTTCCAAGTTTGTGTTTTGATATTTTTCCTCTGGAGTTTTGTCATTCATTATTTTTTAATGTGGTTTTGTTTTTGTCTTTCTGTTTATGATAAACAATAGCTTCTATGTGAGATTATTTTAAAATATTTCCATGATTTCTTTTAGTAATATTATGCACACTCTTCATATTCTATATTTAAATATTTGATTTATTGATAATGTATTATATTGGACTGATAAGGCAAGATAACAATCAAGTGAAGAAGAAAGTGTCGGGGAATAATTATAGTAAAATGCTTCCAAAGAAAGTTGGATAAAAGCATTTAAATGTTTTTATTTGTTTTCTGAATGGTAACTTAGTTGCCCTAATGTCTTTTATTGAAATATTCATTTTTTTACGTGAATTTGCTATGCCATGTTTATCCTATACACAATTTCCAAATGTGCTAGGGTTTATTCGCAGAGTTTTTAATGCTATTGACATTATATCTTCATGCTTAGCACTATACTAGTTTAGTTATTCTAGCTGTAAAATGTATTTCAACATTCGAGATAGATACTGTTTTTGTGTTTCTTTTCTTGTCTTTTTTCATCAATTTCACAGATCTTCATTCCTGTTTGTATTACCATCTGAACTCCAGAATCAATGTATGTACTTCTCCAGAAGAAGACAAAACTTGTTGGTATTTTAAAATTGGGATCATACTATATTTATAGTTTGACTTAAAAATAATTGTCATCTTTATGCTTAGTGTTTCTATCCAAGAATATGTATCTCTGGTCACAATTTTTATCTTTCAATCATTGTGATGTTTCTTCATAAATAACTTACATAAATCTTTTCAGATTTTGTTGTTGTTGATTTAATTGCTTTTGTTAGCTTCTCATTTACTCCCATTATTCTCCCAACTCTTCTTTACACTCTCTGTGACCTTGTTTTCTCAGTACTACAGTTTATAGCTACATCTTTACATTCTTGTTTTGAACTGGATCTTTACCTTCAAACTTAAATGTTTTTCATAGAATTCCAATTTGCCAACCCAACAACATTTCTGTCAACCCACCATATCTTCATTCCATATTTTTTTTGCACACTTCTTTTTTTTGCCTTATCTGTAAAGATTAATATTTACAAAAGCTGAAGTTTCTCACAATTCACTTATTCTGTCATCCTTTTTCATATGGTTTCTGCTCCCACAACTGTTAAAGTCACAGTATTATGAAGTGACATAATGGTCTCATAGTCATCAATTCCCATCAATGTTTCTCTCTATTCATCTTCCTTTCCCCAATACTTCTTATTGCCTCTGCTCTCTTAAAACACTCCTATAGATTTTTCATTGAGTTTCTCTGAGTTTTACTTTCCCTTTTGAATCTTACATCAAAAAGTATATGAATGCTAGTAACCTGCATTTGGGCTATACTTTTTCCATGCTTTCTCCATTGGAATGTCATATTTCCTATGAGTTCTGCATAGGAATTAAGCATACACCTCCCAAATTTATATCTCTATTTCTAACCTCTTTTCTCATTCTAGTTACATCCTCTTGTTTACATTTTCTTTGGTGAGCCATTTGTGAAAGATATATGCTCACTTTTTAATTGTAAAGTTGATGCCAGGACATACTGTGTTAGTTCTCACATTGCTACAAATAAATATCTGAGGTTGGGTAATTTATAATGAAAAGAGGTTTAAATGGCTTGGTGGGGCGCGGTGGCTCACACCTGTAATCCCAGCACTCTGGGAGGCCGAGGTGGGTGGATCACCTGAGGTTGGGAGTTGAAGACCAGCCTGACCAACATGGAGAAATCCCGTCTCTACTAAAAATACAAAATTAGCCGGGCACCGTGGTACATGCTTGTAATCCCAGCTACTCGGGAGGCTGAAGCAGGAGAATCACTTGAACCCGGGAGGCGGAGGTTGTGGTAAGCCAAGATCACGCCTTTGCACTCCAGCCTGGGCAACAAGAGCGAGACTCCATCTCAAAAAAGAAAAAAAAAAAGGCTCACAGTTCAGCAGGCTGTACATGAAGCGTAGTTTTGGCATCTGCTTCTGGTGAGGGCCTCAGGGAGCTTACAATTATGGCAGAAGGCGAAGGGGAGCTAGTGGGTCACACGGTGAGAGCAGGAGTGAGAGAGAGTGGGGAGGTCCCAGATTCTTTTGAACAACCATATCTTAAGTGAACTAACTGAACAAGAATCCTCTCATCATCAAGAGGATGGTACTAAACAGTTTATTAGGAATCTGCCTCCATGCGCCAATCACCTCCCTCTAGATACCACCTCCAACATTGGGAATCACATTTCACCATGAGATTTGGAGGGGTCAGACCTCCAAACCATATCAGTTAGCTAGCCAGTTACCTCAGTTTTAACTTTTACCTTGTCTTTAAATATGCCTATGGAACTGGTTTTTGCCAGTGTATTGGGAACAGAAATAATATGTGACACTTTTAACTTGATGTTGCTTGAAATTATGTGTGCTTTTGTGTCTGGAATTGGTGGGTTCTTGGTCTCACTGACTTTAAGAATGAAGCTGTGTACCCTCGGGGTGGGTGTTACAGTTCTTAAAGGCGGCGTGTCTGGAGTTTGTTCCTTCTGATGTTCAGATGTGTTCGGAGTTTCTTCCTTCTGGTGGGTTCGTGGTCTCACTGGCTCAGGAGTGAAGCTGCAGACCTTCGCAGTGAGTGTTGCAGCTCATAAAGGCAGTGTGGACCCAAAGAGTTAGCAGTAGCAAAATTTATAGCAAAGAGCGAAAGAACAAACCTTCCACGGTGTGGAAGGGGACCCGAGCAGGTTGCCACTGCTGGCTGGGGCAGCTTGCTTTTATTCTCTTATCTGGCCCCACCCACATCCTGCTGATTGGTCCATTTTACAGAGAGCTGATTGGTCTGTTTTAACAGGGTGCTGATTGGTGCATTTACCATTCCTGAGCTAGACACAAAAGTTCTCCACCTCACCACTAGATTAGCTGTGCTGATTGGTGTATTTACAAACCTTGAGCTAGATACAGAGTGCCCATTGGTGTATTCACAATCCCTTAGCTGGACATAAAGGTTCTCCAAGTCCTCACCAGATCAGCTAGACACAGAGCGCAGATTGGTGCATTTACAAACCTTGAGCTAGACACAGAGTGCTGATTGGTGCATTTACAAACCTTGAGATAGATGCAGAGTGCTGATTGGTGTATCACAATCCCTTAGCTAGACATAAAGATTCTCCAAGTCCCCTCCAGATTAGCTAGATAGAGTGCCAACTGGTGCATCCACAAACCCTGAAATAGACAGGATGCTGATTGGTGTGTTTACAAACCTTGAGCTAGGTACAGAGTGCTGATTCATGTATTTACAATCCCTTAGCTAGACATAAAGGTTCTCCAAGTCCCCACTAGACTCAGGAGCCCAGCTGGCTTCACCCAGTGGATCCCGCACTGGGGCCACAGGTGGAGCTGCCTGCCAGTCCCGTGCCATGCGCCCGCACTCCTCAGCCCCTGGGTGGTCGATGGGACAGGGTGCCGTGGAGCCGGGGGTGGCACTCGTTGAGGAGGCTCGGGCCGCACAGGAGCCCATGGCGGGGTGGGAGGTTGGGGGGGCACTCAGGCATGGCAGGCTGCAGGTCCTGAGCGCTGCTGTGTGGGGAGGCAGCTAAGGCCTGGTGAGAAATCAAGCGCTGCGTTGGTGGGCCGGCACTGCTGGGGGACCCGGCCCACCCTCCGCAGCTGCTGGCCTGGGGGCTAAGCCTTTCACTGCCCGGGGCTGGCAGGCCGGCCGGCCACTCCCAATGCGGGGCCCACCAAGCCCATGCCCACCCGGAACTCTAGCTGGCCTGCAAGCCTTGTGCAGCCCGGGTTCCCGCCCATGCCTTTCCCTCCACACCTCCCCACAGGCTGAGGGAGCCGGCTCTGGCCTCAGCCATCCCAGGAAGGGGCTCCCACAGTGCAGTGTCGGGCTGAAGGGCTCCTCAAGTGCGGCCAGAGTGGGCGCCGACGCCTAGGAGGCGCCAAGAGCGAGCAAAGGCTGCGAGGGCTGCCAGCATGCTGTCACCTCTCACTTTCTCCATACTTTGCCTCTTGTGAGATGACTGTACATTAATGCCCAGTAAAACTTTGAAAGCCATTTGCAGAGACTTTCAGCCAAGGTTCCTAAACTACTGTGGAGCAGACTCCCTTCCTCCTGTCATGCTCTTACTAGGCTTATATGAGCAAGAAATAAGCATCTATTGTGTTAAGCCACTTAGATTTCAAGGTTTTTCTATTATATCAGTTAGCATTGCCTCAACCAATACAATTGCTCTGTGAACACTTCCTGTTAAAGGTATTTTAGATGCTTCAAACTATGTCTAGAATACATTTTCATATGTTTTTTTAGACCTAATCTTTCTCCTTTTCCTTCTATTAATGAACACAATATACCATTATATTATTATATGCCAAATACCCAGACTAAAATAGTCATTTTAACTTTTTATTTCATATTTTCCTCAATGGAGTATAATACTTTCCATTGCCTAGAAAAGTTTTCCTACATACATTGTTTCTTTTCTCTCCGTTTTCTCTTTCTTTTTCTTTTTTTTTTTTTTTTTTTGGAGACAGAGTCTTGCTCTGTAGCCCAGGCTGGAGTGCAGTGGCATGATCTCAGCTCATTGCAACCTCCACATACTGGGTTCAAGCAATTCTCCTGCCTCAGCCTCTCCAGTAGCTGGGATTACAGGCACACACCACCACCCCCGGCTAATTTTTGTATTTTTAGTACAGACGGGGTTTCACCATGTTGGCCAGGCTGGTCTCGAACTCCTGACTTCATGATCTGCACGCCTTGGCCTCCCAAAGTGCTAGGATTACATGCGTGAGCCACCGCGCCCGGCCTCTATCCATTTTTATAGTATCTATTCTATTTCAGGTTCTTGTTATCTCTAATTTGAGAGTTGCCATAACTTACAACCAATTTCTCCGTTTAATTATTTCTTCACATTCTCCATACAACTGATTAATATTCCAAACTTGGTGTGATATGTCATTAGTTTTTACTCAAAACTATATGTAATAAAGTTCAAAATCTTTATCTGTATTCTGCCCTTCAGTTTAATTTTGCTGTTATTTTATGTCACTTCCTATATGGTATAATATATTGTGTAAACAAAAATACCTAACACATCTTTTACACCCTGCTCATTTTCCTACTTCCCTTTGTTCTGTTTACATGGAAATTGTAAACCTTCTTAAGATCCAGTTCAAATGTTGCTTCTTTCACAAAGCTTCTCTGATCCCCTTCTTTAATAATAAGTAATTTCTTCATCCCATGATGAAGTGCCATCAGATGGAGTGTCATTTATGACACATTGCTTTAATTATAGCTACATGTGTGTCTTATCTCACCTACTAGAGGAGATTCATGATGACATGCTTTAAGAAAACTATTACTAATTGAATGTTTTACCTGGAAAAAAAATTGCATGTTAAAATAAACTTATTTTCAAGAGTTGTATCAACAATTTTCTTATCAGCAATTTTTCCAAAAGATAAAAGTGGGTGCAAACTGAATTAGAAAATAGATCCTCAATGTGTTTCTAAATAGATTATTACTAGATAACATAAAACATATTCCATGGTCATTAAATGATTGTTATGAAATGAGAGACTATTACTTTATAATATTCAACTAAACTGACTCATGATTCTTTACATATTTTTCAATTTAAAACAAGATGAGTATGGGCAGTATCACATACACCATGAAAAATAAGTATATTCTCTTTGGAGGTAAAAAATTTGTGATGAAATGAGACTTTGATGTTTCCCAAGGAATGCTGTATCCATTTTAATATGCAGAAAGACGGTAATCTCAATCACGTGCTTAGAATACTGCTGTTGTCTTCATAGTTTTCTTCATTTGAGAAAGGAGTAATAATAGTTCACATATAAGGCTGAGCATTACAAAAGTATTAAGATTCATGAATGTAGAGAAATACATTTTTTTATTTTATATGCAGAGAGTTAATTATACTTCGCTGTTATCAATCTGCACAAGGGCTCTCTTATATTTTTCTGCAATTACCTTTTTTACATGATTTCTCATATTCACTGACATTTCTCTCTGCCCATATCCATAGACAAGACTTCATGTGTATCCCTGAAAACTATATAATATTACTCCATATATTGATGTGTTCATGTTTTCATTTGTATAAATGATGTTGAATTATTCTATTTAATAGTTTTATCGCTCATAATTTTCTTATGATTTACTGATTGTACTCTATGTGCACTTTTCTTCTTTTCGTTATTGCCTGGAATTCCATCTTGTGAATATTATCACATTTTATTCCATTTATCTCTTATGATTGGCACCTAGTATTACCAGTGGAAGGTTTTGTAATTTACTTGCACATATAATTTTTACTATTTCCTGAATGCTTTACAGAATGGCTGACTCAATTTCTAAGTCCGTCAGCAAAACCCAGCAGCTTAATTTCCCTATTATACTTTCTAACATTTGGTGTTATCCAACTTTCTGAATTTTGTTAATTTGAAAACTCATAATTTGAACTTTGTGCTTCTTTAGTAGGGAATATGAGCCTTATTTTCATATGTGAAGCTTTTGTCAACTCCTTCTATTGGGTTTTCTGTTTTTCTTTTTTGTTTTTCAGAAGTTCCTTGTATAATCTAGATTAATACTTTGTTAGTTTTAAACATTGCAAATATTCCTCCCTGTCTTTAATCTTTCTTTGAACTTTACATTGAGCAGAAGTTTTCTTTGTATTATGTCAAATTTGTTACATTTTGCATTATGTTTTCCTAAATCAAATTTATTAAGGTATAATTCATATACAGTAAAATGCAGCCACATTAAGGGTACAGTTTGATGAGCTTTGACAAGTGCATACATCTGTGTGCCCTCCACCGCAAACAACATATAGAAAATTTCCATCCCCTCCAAAAGTTTTCTTGTGACCTTTTGCAGTCAATTTCTGCCTTTGATCCCAGTCCCAGGCAACCAGTGATCTGTTTTCTGTCACTAAATATTACTTTTTCTTCTTCTAGAATGTCATATAAATGGAACCATGTAATTTGTACATTTTGCGTTTGGCTTCATTCACTAAGCAAAATGTTTTGAAAGAAAAGGAAAACAGGTATATATAGACACACACACATTCACACATACACTATATATATTGTTTGCCATTTCTGGTGCTCTTCATTCCTTCCTGTATATCCAGCTTGTTATTTGGAATCACTTTTTTTCAGTCCTTTCAACTTCGTTTAGCATTTCCTTTTAGTGCAGATATGCTACGAGTAGCTCATATTTTAAAGACACAAAAGGTTTTTATTTCAACTTTTAAAATTTGTTTGTTTTGCTAAGCAATTCTACGGACATAATTACTTTATTTTTGTAGGGTACTTTCAGTAGATACAGAATTTGGCTGAAAAACTTTTCCTTCTCTACTTTGGACATGCCATTCTGACGTCTTCTGGCCTCCGCTGTTTGTGATACAAAAACCTACAGTTGGTTGCATGATTGTTACCATCTACATAGTTTCATTTGTTTTTAGGTGCTTCCAAGATTCTCTATCTGTAGCTTTCATAAGTCGACTATGAGTTTCTCGGTTGTGATTTTCTTTGTATTTATCCTATTTGGAGTTTGTAAATTTCTTGGACCTGTAAATTTATAGCTTTTTCCTTTCTTTCTTTTTACCAAATTTGGGAAGATTATAGCCTTTTATTTCTGCAAATATTTTTTTCTTTCACTTTTTGTCTCTATTCTCCTGGAACTCCAGTGACATAAATGTTGAATCATTTGATATTATCCCTCAAGTCTCTGAACCTTTATTGTTTTTCAATCTTTTCTTCACTGTACTCCAAATTTTATTCAATCCATTAATCTATTTTGAATTTTATGGATTTATTTTCTTTTTCCATTTTAAAACCATTTGGTCATATTCAGTGAATTACATTTCAGTTATTGTACTTTTTGGCTGTAGAATTTCCATCTCATTCTTTTTTTATTGTTGCCATTTTTCTGCTCCTCTCCCTCCTCCATCCCTCCACATGCTAGTAGATCCCAGTGCCTGTTGTTTCCTTCATTGTGTTCATAAGTTCTTGTCATTTAACTTCCACTTATACGTGAGAACATGCAGTATTTGGTTTTCTGTTCCTACTTTAGATTGCTAAGGTTAAGAGCCTGTAGCTCGATCCATGTTCCCACAAAAAACATGATCTCATTCTTTTTTATAGCTACATAGTATTCCATGATGTATATGTACCACATTTTCTTTATCCAATCTGTCATTGATGGGCATATAGATTGATTCCATGTCTTTGCTGTTGTGCATAGTGCTACAATGAACATTCGCGTGCATGTGTTTTTTTATGGTAGAATAATTTATATTTTGGGGAATAATGGAATTGTTGGGTCGAATGGTATTTCCGCTTGTGGCTGTTTGAGGAATTGCCATACTACTTTCCATAACAGTTGAACTAATTTACACTCCCACCAACAGCGTATAAGCATTTCCTTATCTCCACAACCTTGCCAAAATGTGTTATTTTCTGAACTTTTATTAATAGCCACTTTAACTGGTGTAAGATGGTATCTCATTGTGCTTTTGATTTGCATTTCTCTAATGATGAATAACACTGAGATTTTTTCATATGTTTTTTGACTGCATATATGTCTTCTTTAAAAAAGTGTCTGTTCATGTTCTTTGCTCACTTTTTAATGGGGTTGTTTTTCTCTTGTAAATTTTTAAGTTTTTTATAGATGCTGCGTGTTAGACTGTCAGATGCATAGTTTGCAATATATTTTCTCTCATTCTGTAGTTTGTCTGTTTACTGTCAATATTTTCTTTTGCTGTGCAGAAGCTCTTAAGTTTAATTAGATCCCACTTGTTAGTTTTTGCTTTTGTTGCAATAGCTTTTGGCATCTTTGTCATGAAATCTTTGCCCATTCTTATGTCCAGGATGGTACTACCTAGGTTGATTTCCAGGGATTTTATAGTTTTGGGTTTTACATTTAAACCTTTAATCTATCTTGTGTTGGTTTTTGTGCATGTTATAGGAAGGGGTCCAGCTTCAATCTTCTGCATATGGCTAGTCAGTTATCCCAGCGCCATTTATTGAATAGGGAGTCTTTCCCCATTGCTTGTTTTTGTTAGGTTTGTAGAAGATCAGATAGTTGTGGGTGTGGCCTTATTTCTGGGCTCTCTATTCTGTTCCATTGGTCGATGTTCCTGTTTTTGTACAATTACCATGCTGTTTTGGTTACTGTAGCCTTGAAGTATAGTTTGAAGTCAGGTAACCTCATGCCTCCAGCTTTGTTCCTTTTGCTTAGGATTGTCTTGGCTATGGGAGCTCTTTTTTGGTTCCATGTGAATTATAATATAGTTTTTTTCTAGTTCTGTGAAGAATGTCTTTGGTAGCCTGATAAGGATAGCATTAAATCTGTAAATTGCTTTGGGCAGTATGGCCATTTTAATAACATGGATTCTTCCTTCTATGAGCATGGGATGTTTTTCTATTTGTTTGAGTCTTTTATGATTTAGTTGAGCAGTGTTTTGTAAATTTCATTGTAGAGGTCTTTCACCTACCTAGTTAGCTGTATTCCTAGGTATTTTATGCTTTTTTATGGCAATTGTGAATGGGATTGCCTTTCTGATGTGGCTCTCGGTTTGGCTGTCATTGGTGTATAGGAATGCTAATGATTTTTGAACATTGATTTTGTATTCTGCAACTTTGCTGAAGTTGGTTATCAGCTGGAGGAGCTTTTGGGCCAAGACTGGGGGGTTTTTAGATCTAGAATCATGTCATCTGCAGAGATAGTTTGACTTCCTTTCTTCATATTTGGATTCGTTTTATTTTTTTTCTCTTGCCTGATTACTCTTGTTAGGACTTCCAATATTGTGTTGAAGATGAGTGATGAGAGGGCATCACATCTTTGTCTTTTGCCTGTTTTCAAGGGGAATGCTTCCAGCGTTTGCCTATTCAATATAACGTTGGTTGTGGGTTTGTCATAGACGGCTTCTATTATTTTTAGGTATGTTCCTTCTATACCTAGGTTATTGAGAGTTTTTTAACATGAAGTTTTGTTCAATTTTATCAAAAGCCTTTTCTGTATCTATTGAGATAATCATGTGTTTTTTGTCTTTAGTTCTTTTTATGCAATGAATTACATTTATTGATTTGCATATGTTAAGCCAACCTTGCATTTGGTGATGAAGCCTACTTGATAATGGTGAATTTGCTTTTTTTTTTTTTTTTTACACAAACAGTAATACTCACATAATAAGCAGGCTCAGAAATACATCAGAAAGTTGAACTTCATTTTTGAGTAGGCTAACCAACAGTAAATGATTAAGTGTTTTTTTGTTTGTTTGTTTGTCTGTTTTTCTATCTCTTAACTGTAATCACATACGGCAGCATGACAGGTTAGTGAATAACGAAAAAGCTGATTGACTTTGGTACAAGTGAGGCTGATTCAACGGGCTCAATTTCATTCTCTCATGAGGGCCAGCGATGTATACCTCACTATCTTGCAAGGATTTCTTCCAAAAGATGTGTATGTTGCCAGATTTTGGTATGAAGATGATGCTTGCCTCATAGTATGAGTTGAGCAAGAGTCCCTCCTCCTCAGTTTTTTGGAATATTTCTGTAGGAATGGTATCAACTTTTCTTTGTACAGCTGTAGAATTTGACCGTGAATCCATCAGGTCCTGGGCTTTTTTTGGTAATGGTAGGCTATTTATTACTAATTCCATTTTGGAGCTCATTATTGGTCTGTTCAGGGATTCAGTTTCTTACTAGCTCCGTCTTGGGAGGTTAATTTCATTAATAGATATAAGGTTATTCAGGTATTTATTTTTCCTTCAGTGAATTTTGCTAGTTTGTGTATTTTTAAGGATGTGGTAAATTTCACTGAAGCTATTAAATTTGGGGGAATAGAGTTTTATAGTATTTTAAAATTGTCTTTTGGGTATTTGTGGTATCCAGAATGATGTCTTCTTTTTTTTTTCATTCCTGATATTAATAATTTGTGCTTTCTCTCTCTTTTTGATCAGTCTTGCTATAGGTTTGTCAATTTTATTAATTTTGAATTTAACTTTGTTTGCTTCTTTGATTTTTGTCTGTTGTTTTCTGCTTTAGTTTCATGATTTCCACTCTAATCTTTACATATTTTTTCCTTATTTTGGCTTTGTATTTAGTTTGCTACCATTTTTTTCAATTTTTGTAAGGTAATTTGTGTTGCTGACCTTACAACTTTATTTTTAATGTAAGCAATTAATGATATAAATTTCTTTCTAATACCACCTTAGCTGAATTCCACAATTTTTATATATTGTATTTTATATTAAAATTTTTCATTTTATAATTGATCCTTGAGAGTTCCTTTTCAATTGATAAGTTATTTAGAAGTGTGTTGTTTAATTTCCAAATATTTGGAGCTTTTTCAGATGTCTTTCTGTTATTGATTCATAGTTTAATTCCCTTATGGGCTAGAAATGTACTTTGTTCATTTCTATCATTTTAAATTTCTTAAAGTTTAGTATATGGTCAAGGAGATATACATACACACATTATATATGATATGTGTATGTGTGCACATACATAGAAATACATATACTAATATAATATATAATATATAAAATTCTACCTACAGATCAAGGCTTTTATTGTATAAGATAAATAGTGGTGATGTATCCGGATGGAATTTTGGAAATAGTGGCTATTTCCCACCCAGCAGAACCTTGGAGGCCACTGTTTCAGGATTTTCACTGATTTTCCTAGTTATCTTGTGGTGGGTTTCCTGGAACAAAAGGCTATAAAACAGAACACACCTATATCTGTAGGCCCTTGGGGGATTCACACTGTAACACTGGCACATTTCCATGTTAAGGAAATGCTGGTCCTGCTTCTCCATGCAGGCATCTCTTTCTCTCTGGATTTAGAGTAATTGTTTATATTGAGACCTCAGTTCTCCAATGGGCTTAAGAAAATTGTTAATTTGCTATTTGTATAGTTTTGTTTTTGTTTTTTGTTATCTAAAGATAAAACTGAAGTTCTTTCTAGCTATTTTTATTTCTGACCTATTATTTTTTATGTATTGGAATATTCAATTATCTAATAATTTATGTCTACATTCATGAACCCTTTTCTTATCTAGTTTTAGAATCTGGGATTTAATAGGCCCATGAAATACATTGGGTAATCATTTAAAAAGTTTATGTGAGATGGGTATCTGTTCTTTGAAATCTTGATAGAATTGTGAAAACATCTAGGCCATAAAGGCCATTTTAAAATAGAATTTAAGTTTATTTAATGGTTTTTTAATGTAGTTATTTTTTCTGTTTCTTTGCCAGTTTTTCTGTTTCTGTGTCAAGTTGGCATGGTGTTGTATTCCTTCCTGTGACAAAGGGTGGGCAAACATTCATCCAGGTCATGTGAGGAAGAAAAAAATCAACAAATAGATACTTCTCTCTTCCTCTGTGCCCCAGAGCCCTCTCCTCACCTGGATCCTCTCTATATTATTTTTTTTTTTATCTCCTCAAGTTTTTCTCCTAGTTTATTTTGTATTCTGGAGTCTTACGGCTATAATCTCTCACTTTTGAGGCTTACGCCATGTTAGTTTTGTGGAAGTGATTTAGTTCATGTTTGTGGTCCTCTCCTCAAGAAACAAAAACTCCCATATTTTCTATTGGAAACAATTGAGGCTGGGCTTGGTAGCTCACGTCTGTAATCCCAACACTTCAGGAGGGTGGGGCAGACGGATCACGAGGTCAGGAGATGGAGACTATCCTGGCCAACATGGTGAAACCTCGTGTCTACTAAAAAATACAAAAATTAGCCCAGTGTGGTGGCATGCGCCTATAGTCCCAGCTACTCAGGAGGCTGAGGCAGGAGAATCGCTTGAACCCAGGAAGTAGAGCTTGCAGTGAGCTGAGATTGCGCCACTGCACTCTAGCCTGGCGACAGAGTGAGACTCCGTCTCAAAACAAACAAACAAACAAACAAAACAAACAAAAAAAAATGAATAACCTCTGTACCTCTACTGTATTAAACACCTGGCAACAATTTTGGCAATGTGAGAGACATATGCCATGATTTTAGTTTCCTAGGCTTAGTTTATAATATAGGTAATCAGCAGAGACTCCATAACATTTCATTATAATCTTCAGTGTTCTATATTGATAATAAATATGTGTGACAATGATGATTATTTAACTTATACATTTGAATAACACTTCAGATTTTATACTGTTTACACTCTTTATTCTATTTTATTCTCCTTCCTACATGTGTAGTATAGGTATTAATAGCCACATTACTGAAGATTAGGGAACTTGTTGCACAGAAGAATTAAATGATCAGCTTAATATAAAAAAGTAAATGGTAGAGTTCTGTCACATTCTGTATCTAGTTCTTATATCACTGAACACACTGCTGCATAGGATTAAACATTCTTTGCTTATTGTGTTGTGTACTAATTTATGTCAGTTCAAGCATAGATTGTTAACACATAGAGTCAAATATATTTAAGGTTTATTTGGGATTTGCCGCAAACTTCAAAGAAGGTTGCTGCCAAATAGAGTCCATATTTTCTTCTGGAAAAGTAATTTCTCTCAGAAGAAATTATCTATGCTATCTAACAATATTTTCTTTGATGAGAGTGACTGAATTCTCTCTGGTGCGTCTTTCAAGTGTCTCTCATGGCTTTTACCTCATGATTCCTTATTGAATTTATTTGACACCTTGTTAAAAATAATTAATTGAAAATGCATATTTGAGACTGAATTCGGAGCAGAAGAGCTTTAACTAAAACAACCAGATACGAAACGCAGAAGTGGTTTTTAAAGAAGCAAGGGCAGCATAAGGCAGTGGATCTTACTTTAGCATGCATACAACTCATTTAAAAAAATTGTTAAAATTCAGATTCTCAGGTTTCGACTGTAGTAATTCTGACTGACTTTCTGTCATGGGCTATTAAATCTAAATTTTCAACTCTTACGTGAGATTGGATTACTTTTTGAGGTATACTGCCTGCCTACTGCTGTAATATCTATCTATCTATATATATATATATATATTTTTTTTTTTTTTGAGATGGAGTTTTGCTTTTTTTGTCCAGGCTCGAGTGCAATGGCATGATCTCAGCTCACTGCAACCTCTGCCTCCCAGGTTCCAGTGATTCTTCTGCCTCAGCTTCCTGAGTAGCTGAGGTTACAGGCATGTGCTACCATGCCCAGCTAATTTTGTATTTTTAGTAGAGACGGGGTTTGTTGGTCAGGCTGGTCTCGAACTCCTGACCTCAGGTGATCTGCCCACCTTGGCCTCCCAAAGCGCTGGGATTACAGGCGTTAGCCACTGTGCCCAGCCTCCTGTAATATCTTAACCAAAAGCAAGATATCAGATTAGATAGAGCTGGGATCCCCAACCCGCAGGCCATGGACCGGTACCAGCCCATGGCCTGTTAGGAACTAGGCTGCACTGCAGGAGGTGAGAGGCAGGCAAGTGAGTGAGGCTTCATCTATATTTACAGCTGCTTTCCATTGCTCACGTCATTGCCTGAGTTCCACCTCCCGTCAGATCAGCAGAGGCATTAGATTCTCATGGGACCGGAAACCCTGTTGTGAGCTGTGCATGCTGAATTGTGTGCTCCTTAGGAGAATCTAATGCCTGATAATAGGTCACTGTTTCCGATCTCCCCCAGATGGGACCATCTAGTTGAGGGAAAGAAGCTCAGGGCTTCCACTGATTCCATATTATGGTAAGTTGTATAATTATTTCATTATATATTACAGTGTAATAATAATAGAAAGAAAGTGCACAATAAATGTAACGTGCTTGAATCATCCTGAAACCATCCCGACTGGTCTGTGAAAAAATTGTTTTCCACGAAACCGGTTCCTGGTACCAAAAATGTTGGGGGTCATATGTCAGCTTTGAAGAAGAGATGCAATGCTTGGTGGAATGAAGACATCTGATTGAAATATCTGGCATATTGCCTTGCTTATCCTAATCCATATCTAAGTAGATCAGGATTCCCTGTCTAGTCCCAAGTAAGGATTAGGATGATCAAGGTAATTGTGACCATGCCACAATGACACTGAAAAAATTTTATTTATTTATTCAGTCACACATTCAAAAATAATTGTTGAGCACCCTAATATATAAAACAGCTGATACATTGTAATAAGTAGAATTATATACTGTTTTACTTTAACACAAATAATATACTGCTTTAACACAAGCTTGTCTAACCCTTGGCCTGTAGGCCACATGTGGCCCAAGACAGCTTTGAATGTGGCCCACCACAAATTCATAAACTTTCTTAAAACATAATGAGAGTTATTTGTCTGAATTTTTTTTTTTTTTTTTTTTTAGCTCATCAGCTATCGTTAGTTTTAGTGTATTTTATGTGTGGCCCAAGACAATTCTTCTTCTTGCAGTGTGGCCTGGAGAAGCCAAAAGATTGGACACCCCTGATTTAACTTTTAACCATGGTTTGTAATTGTTGTCTCTTTTAGTGACTTTCCTACCTCTGAACTGAAAGCTTCCTAAGAGTGGCATGTTAGTTTGCCGCTCTGCCTCCAGCCCTTAGCATGAGGAGTCGATATACCTCTGTAGAGGGAATGAATGAGGTGTGACCTTGAGGTGGTTCCGCTAAAGGGTTTTTGATAAATGAGAGTGGGTTGGGAAGTCCTCCAGATCAAATTTACCCTCATTTTATAGATTTTTTTGCATGAGAAGTGGTCATTTAATAATCTCTATTATGCAAGAAAATCTATCACCTATCAGCCAAGAGAAGGCTACATGGTTTTTTAAAAAGGCTTTGTTTTAAAAACGGCAAAATTCGAGGTGATTGTGAACATACCAAAGTGAAACTGAAAACATTTTATTCATTTATTCAATCATGCATTTAAAAATAGTTATCGAGCACCCTACTGTATAAAGCACCTGATACACTGTAATAAGTAGAAAGAATTTTTTATGCTTAAAACTTACAGTGTTGGGGGGAAAACAGCCAAATAAGTAATTCATGCAACACTGGCATATCTAAAGTCGTTAGCACAGAACAGAGGCCCTGTGTTTGTGGAACAGTTAAGACTAATATGCCATCTGTGGTTCATTTTATAGAGATGATTGATTACTCATGTGTGTGCCATGCCAAAGGGCACTGACCATAATAATGACAAAATTTTTGTGTACTTACTTGTTTTTCCATTACAATGAAAGATGCTTGAGATCTAGTAGTCTGTTTTCTTTCTTTCTTTTTTTTTTTTTTGAGACAGAGTCTCGCTCAGTCGCCCAGGCTGGAGTGCAGTGGCTTGATCTTCACTCACTGCAAACTCCGCCTCCTGGGTTCACGCCATTCTCCTGCCTCAGCCTACTGAGTAGCTGGGACTACAGGCGCTCGCCACCACACCCAGCTAATTTTTTTGTATTTTTTTTAGTAGAGACGGGGTTTCACTGTGTTAGCCAGGATGGTCGCGATCTCCTGACCTCATGATCCACCCGCCTCGGCCTCCCAAAGTGCTGGGTTTACAGGCGTGAGCCACGGCGCCCGGCTTCCAGTAGTCTGTTTTCTATGTTCATGTATTCTTTATCAAGTTCACTGCAATTCTCTGAACAATGGACCTTCAGTAAAAGACACTGACAAACTGACCCTTCCCACCTTCTGCTGGATGTGCAAAAGATTAGTAAGACAGGAGATTCAATAAAGGTCACTGACTGCATAGAGGGGCATTGATTAATTGAGAATTGACATATTATCTTTTCCTTTACCTATTCTAATTTTTCCAACCATCCTGTGTGTTTTCAAATAGTCCATCCAAGTGTGGATGCCAGTGTACTTACCTTTTGTAATGAGCATAATAAGACTCACTGGAAGCCTCTGCATAGTATTTTGGGAAGAAATCTCTATTTTGCAATTTTGATGTTTCTGAAATTTAAATTTCTAATCAGTTCCTTTTCTGTGTTCTGCTGAGAAATGCGTAGGTTCAAAGATTTATTCAAACATCTCATATACAAAGTAAGTTCTGAAGCTGAGGGAAAAACATGCTTGAAGGGGGTCTCAGTAGGGTGACCCTCCAGCTCTTCTCAGTAACAAAACTGTAATCTACTGAGATGCTTAGGGAACCTGCCCTTCTTTCAGCTGTCCCGGTTTTATCCTCACCTCCTGGCTTTCTTTAAATTTCATTGAGTCTGACTCTGCAACTAGACTATTAGCCTCTTCAGGCTATATTCACTTTATCATGTTTCCTTAAGAGGGAAGAGTATTTGAGAAAGTTTGATTTACTTTGTGACCTAGGATTATGACTTGATTATGTAATTATTCAGAATGTTTAGAGCCTAAAGTTAGATAACAAATTAAAGTTGCCCAATTAAAGGGTGTCAGAAAAGTTAGAGAAAAGAGTACAGTAAAAATGTGAATATTCAGCTTATATTTGAGTTTATTCAGCATGTTATAATGGAGAGCCTATAGACCTGGGGGACTGAGAGACTGAAATGTGTACCCCGGCTTTTCTATTGACCTTGTAGCTACATTTATATCCTGAAAACCTCAATGTCTTCATCAATAGAAAGGGGATATTGAATCTACCTATATCCCAAATTGTTATTATAATGGAAAAAATAATTTATGCAAATAACTTAGCAGAGGGCCTGACTCTTGGCAAACATTAAATAACTTTTACTTTCCTTCTAATTCTTCCTATTGTCCATGCATACACAGTTCAACCAAGATAAACTCTAGCAAAGAACAGTAACTGGTTGTCAGTTAACCATTTAGCTTGAATAACAGAGGCTTAAAATTAACTTGCTTCCCCTCAGTTATGACTCTATCCTCTTTTTTCTTGTATGTCTTTTTAAAAAATATTTCCCACTCTGTAGCATGAGCAGCTGCTGAAAGCACTGAGCTAAGATAGAATCACTCTTTCTCTTCATACACTAAATCTAAAAGACAAAGTGAAGCAAAATACTGAATCTAACTTCCCACTTAAAAAAATTCTCTGAGGCTTACCCTCACAAACAAGCTACAAGGACTTCAAAGTAGGACTCAATCAGTAAGCGGTGATACCTCAGCAATTACTTATTACATGAATGTCTGTAACACAGATTTATTTCTAGTCTACATACAACCTCAGCTATAGTGAAAACCTATCAATGAGAAGTTATATTCTGCTTCAAGTGAATCCCTCATAGACTATAATTCCTTTATTATTTGCAGCAGATTGTTTTTCTGCCTGTGGAAAAGCATCCTAATGCAAAAAAAATGACATTAAATAATATTTTCAGCATTCATTTGAGGTCCTATGATGTACAAGATGCTTTGCTCATAACTGCAGGGGATAACAAGTTTCAGACAAATTATAATTTTATGATGATTACATCATAATAGATATAATAACTATAAATAACTATAATACAGAATAGACCTTTTTAAAGAGTTATGAGTAAAGTACCATGAGAATTTAAAGAAGAACTTCAGTTCAGGTTTAAGGATGGTTGGAATTTCAAATGTGGTCGCATTTTAGTGGCCATTAGAGATAGAAGATAGAGAAAGAATTAAGAGGGGTCATTCAAGGCCGAGAGAACAGCCCAATAACATAACTAGAGGCCAGAAAGGACAAAGCATATGTTAACGATGGCAAAGAAATTCAGTATTCATGAGGTTTAAAGGAAGAATATGAGTTAAGATTTGACCATATCAAGGTCATTGAATACCAAACAACAATTTGTTTCATTCACAAATATTCAGAAACACAATAATTTTACAGGCTGTAATAGTTGTAGGGTATAATGTCAGTCTTGTACTCAGTATATATTTATATGTATACTTTATCACCCAGAGGACTGACCGAGAGTGGCCACCATTGGTGAGGATATAAGGAGGGCCTACATATCCATAATAGTCACGGGTCTCGTTTCCTGCCTGAGAGTGAGAGAGAAGAGGAGTGTTTGTGGTCCTCTTGTGGTTTGATAAATCTTATAAGCATTGGTATTTTTTCAAAACAGAAAGGTAAATATAAATATTATTACCAGGGAAACAAAGTGTTATCTGCTAAGACAATTAATCTGTATTAGAGACATTTTAGAGGTTAAAGCTTATTTTCACAGAACACTGCAACATTTCTCTGAAGCCCTGATATCATAAGAATCCTTTGTTCAAATAACACTTCCAGGGACAGTTTTAATAATAGAAAATAAAAGGATTACATATTCCCCTCATCTTGGACGAGAAATAAGAGTGATACTCTTTTTTTTTTAAGTTCTTAATTCACCATTTGTGCAAAATTGAATCTGCATTTCTGCAGCTGTAGGAGAATACAGATTATTTTTAATTTGTTGAAACTTCTTTTATTTACAGTTAACCTGTAATTTCCAAGGTTAAAGTCTGGAATTTTGTTGATTAGTACTGAGGAGAGGCAAGGAAGATTCAAGATGCACAAAACATACAATATAAAAAGAAAAAGGTTTTATTAGAATTAACAAGTAGGATAGATAATTATTACACTGCAGGCCATAATAATAAATGTGACTGTCATGAGTTCTGAGTAGAATCAACTCTGTGTCAATTTATTGAACCTATAGTTTTGTTCATACTTATTTCACAAAATTAATAGATACCACAAAATGTAAGAGAAGAGTCTAACTTTAAACCCCAGTTGGAGATGATTATTACTTGCTGTCTGAGTACTTTCATGCTTCTCAAGTGACATTTTCTTTTTCTTTTTTTTTTTTTTTGAGACAGAGTCTCGATCTGTCGCCTAGGCTGGTGCAATCTCGGCTCACTGCAACCTCCACCTCCCGGGCTCAAGCAATTCTCCTGTCTCAGCTTCCTGAGTAGCTGGGACTACAGGCATGCACCACCACGCCTGGCTAATTTTTGTATCTTCAGTAGAGACGGGGTTTCGCCGTGTTGGCCTGGCCGGTCTCAAACTCCTGGCCTGAAGTGATTCGCCCACTTCGGCCACCCAAAGTGCTGGGATTACAGGCATGAGCCAACGTGCCTGGCCCTCAAGTGACATTTTCTTAAACCACATCTAATTTATTGGAATATACTAAGGATATAGAAGAATGATAGAATTGTTATAATTTTTTAATCAACAGATACAATTCCCTATATTAAAAATGACTACTGTAAATGATCATAAATAATGCTGAAATATCTTCAACAGGAGCAGTCAACTCATCAGTGATACATTGACGTAAAAAGTGATCAATCCTGCAGTATAATTAATTAAAATCATTCATTGCCAAGGAGCTTATCATCACTTACTGTCGTTCATTAGTATGAGGTATATAACTCTTACTTTACATATATGTTTTTAAAGGAAACTTTTCTAAGCTGGCTTTATTAAAAAGTAACTATAGACTTAGTTTATATCCTAAATAACTAAGTAAACTTTTCTTTTGGCTATAAATGTTGTATAGTTTGCACTCAGGTTGACTATACAGTTAGTAATTTTTGTGGGAAAATGAACACATCTAAAAAGGATCCACTTAAAGAGACACATTATGGATCACTTTTTCCTGGTTTGCACAGGACTGGGGATTAAAGATTCACACTGGAAAGCCGAATTTTGTATCACCTTGCAGAAAGCACTTCTCCAGTGAATAAGGAAACAAAATGGAAGTCTATTTCTGAAATCTGAAACTGCTGCAAGTTTGGTGTTCAATGACAAACCAAGATTAGGCAAATAAGTCTTTAAAAACCGTCCCTTTAATATACCGATTTCCTTTCCTTTGGATAAATACCCAGTAATATGATTGCTGAATCACCTGGTTTTCTATTTTTAGGTTTTGAAGAACCTCCATGCTATTTTCCATAATGGTTACCAACAGTGTATAAGAGTTCCCTTTTCTCCACATCCCCACCAGCATTTGCTACTTTTGTCTTTTTGATAATTGCCTTTTTAATGGGGATGAGATAATATCTCATTACAGTTTTGATTTTCATTTCTCTGAGGATTAGCGATATTGAACTTTTTTTCATATATTTCTTGGCCACTTGTATGTCTCCTTTTGAGAAATGTCTATTCAGAATTTTAAAATCAGATTATTAGTTTTTTTTCTGTTAAGTTGTTTGTGTTTCTTTTATATTCTGGGTATTAACTGCTGGTCAGATGAATAGTTTTCATGTCTTTTCTTCAGCCTTACAAGTTGTCTCTTTACTCTGTTGATTGTTTCTTTTTTATTTTTATTTTAAGTTCTGGGATACACATGCAGAATGTGCAGATTTGTTACATAGGTATACATGTGCCATGGTGGTTTGCTGCACCTATCAACCCGTTATCTAGGTTTTAAGCCCAGCATGAATTAGGTATTTGTCCTAATACTCTCCCTTTCCTTGCCCTCCACCCCACGACAGGCCCCAGTGTGCGATGTTCCCCTCCCTGTGTCCATGTGTTTTCATCGTTCAGCTCCCACTTACGAGTTTCTTTTGCTGTGCAGAAACTTTTTCATTTGATATAATCTGAGTGATCTATGTTTGCTTTCATTATCTGTGCTTTTGAAGTGTTCCATATAACATCTTTGTCCAGTCCAATGTCCTGAAGTGTTTCAAGGAAAAGAAATTCATATATTGAAGAGATAATTTGCACTCCCATGTTTACTGCAGCAGTATTTACAATAGCCAAGATATGGAATCTTCTGAATGCCCATGAACAGATGAATGGATAAAGAAAATTTGGTAAATAGATGTACATACACAATTGAATATTATTTAATCATATAAAGGAATGAAATCTTGTCTTATGGCCTACTCCCTAGAGTCAAGCTACCACAAAGCTATTCTTTTATCCCCATCCCAGTTGGTGGTGCATTCTTCCCTCAGGGTCAAGCTGAAGTGGTGCCCTGCCCTGAGGGACCTGGAGCCTTTTAACTGTGGGGACAGTCATGATCTGGTGCCACAGCTGAGGCATCAACCCATTTCCCAGGGACCTCAAGCCACTGGCATACTGGAGCAGTAACCCCCTGCCCTGTGCAATAGGTGAGGCAGCAGCCTGCACCCTGGAAATATGAGCCCCTGGCCCAATGAAGCAGCTGTACCTCTAAGCATCATAGTTGATGCCACACCCTGAACCCAGTGATCCAGAGGCTCTGCTGACCCATGTAGCTGCACTTTCTGGGGCTAAACAGACACAGTGCCTTTAGTCCCAGGGAATCAGAGCATTGGCTGAGCTGTGGTTATGCACCTTCAGGTCGAAAAGCCCACAGTGTCCTCCCTACCTGGAACTGGACTAGACTCCTACAGTCTGAGCTGCCAAGACATCCCCCCTCTTCTGGAAGTGAAAGCATCACTGTACTGCTCCCTGTCCCCTGGGGCCTAAATCATATCAGGAACTTACATCCTTGCTGCTATACCTGGCCTTATAAAGTCTGGGATACTCCTATGTCCTATCATTTCCAGTTCCAGAGTCACCACCTCATGGTACCTTATTCCCTGGAGCCCACCTGCCAGTGTGCCCTGTTTGTTCTGGGTCCTGAATTGCAGCTGTGCCCAAGTTTCTGGGGCCTGAGCCTCTGTAGGACTTCTTTTTTTTTTTTAATTTTTATTCAGATCCATGCTGGTGCCTCCCAGGGTCAGAACCATAGCTACATCCAAGCTCCTGGGACAAAGCTACTGGGATGTGCCTCAGAGAGATAGGCCTCAGCTTAGTGGGAGAATTGCATTCTCTTGTGCTTTGGAGAGTGAGCCTATGGCCTCAAGTTCTGGGAACTACGGTATTTTGACAAAACCCTTAGCCCAGGAACCCAGTTCCACAGCTGTTCCAAGCATATGTGTCCTATATTCCAGTGCTACTGTATTATATACTGTATTATATTATAGTGCTGCACTATATTTCAGTGCTGCTTGAAAGCCATATCAGACCCAATTTCAAGAAAAATCCCCAGCTAAGACTCCCCACTGTGAGAAAAACAAGAATAAGAGGATCCCTAAAGCCTTTGCCCTAATAACCTATGCAGCCACCATTACTGAAACAAATTCCTACAGTCTAGGCCATGTAAGCACCTCCAGTCATCACTAACATTGATCACAGTGGAAGAAGCTGAATGTAGATTACACCTCTGGGTCCACATGGAGAGTTGCTTGCACCGTGTTCAACCTGTATGTGAAAGTCTCCCCCTATGAAAGCTGCTCTGTAAAGTTTAGAAGAAGTGACTGCACTGTCTGATGCACAGACATCAATTCAGAGACACAAGAAACATGAAAAGGCAAGGAAATATGACTCCACCAAAGGAACACAATAATTCTCCAGTAACTGACCCCACAGAAACAACAATTTACAAATTGCCTAAAAAGGAAATCAAAATAATGATCTTAAGGAAATTTAGTGAGATACAAGATAATAGAAATAAATGATTCAGTGTAATTAGGAAAACAATGATCCAAATGAGAAATTCAAATAGGAGCTGTATTAAAGAACCAGACAGAATTCTTGGAGCTAAATAATTCAATCAATGAAATAAAAAAAATATATATGGTTGAGGTTTAACAGCAGACAAGATCAAAAAGAAAGAATTTTTGAACTGCAGTATAGGTCTTTTGACATGACTCAAAGGAAAATTAAAATAGTTAAAAAAAAAAAGCCTATAGGCCTGATGGCACACCATTAAGTGAATAAATATTTGATTATTGGAGTCCCCAAAAACATAAGAGAAAGACAAAGGAACAGAAAGTCTATTTAATGAAATAATTGCTGAAAATATTCCAGGTCTGGGAAGAGATATGGACATCCAGATCCATGAAGCTCAGAGATTTCCAAATATATTCAACCCAAAGAGATTCCTTCTGAGGCACATTAAAACCAAACTGTTGAAAGTCAAAGATAAAGAGAGAATTTTAAAAGCAGTAAGAGAAAAACCATCAAGCCACATATAGGAGAATCTCTATTAGACTATCAGCAGATTTCTAAGGACAAATCTTGCAGTTTAGGAGAGAATGGAATTATATTGTCAAAGTGCTGAAAGGAAAAAAATAAATCTATCAGCCAAGAGTAGTATACCTAGCAAAGCTGTCTTTCAGAAATAAAGGAGAAATACTTCTTTGACAGACAAGCATAAGCCAAGAGAATTTATTACAACTGGAGCTGCCTTACTAGAAATGCTTAAGGAAGTTCTTCAAGTAGAAACCAAAGGATGATCATTACTATCATTAATACATATGAAAATATAAAACTCACTGCTAGAGGCAAATACATAGTCAAATCCTGAGTGTTCCAATACTTTAATGGTGTTGTGTAAGTCATACATATCTCTAGTATGAAGGTTAAAAGTCAAAATCATCAAAAATAACTAAAGCTGTAATAAATGTTACAAAGTACACAATAGAAAAAGATGTAAATTGTGACATCAAAAATTTAAATGGGATTAAAGTCTCGAGTTTTTGTATATAACAGAAATTATTAGCTTAAAATAGTAGACTATAAGATACTTTTGTCAGCCTCATGGTGACCACATACACAAAAAACCTACATCAGCTACACTAATGATAAAGATAAAAGAAACAAAAGTTAGCACTACAGAAAATTATCAAATTATAAAGGTAGATGACAAGAGAGAAATAAAGGAACAAAGAAACTACAAAAGAAGCAGAGAACAAATAGCAAAATGGCAGTAGCAAGTCCCTATGTATCAGTAACAACCTTGAATGTAAATTGATCACATTCAACCAATCTGTGTAATTTGATTGGATAATTTGATCCATTTACATTCAACACAGAGTGGCTGAATGGATAAAAATCAATATCCAACTATATGCTGCCTGAAAGAGACCCACTCAAGCTTTAAGGATATACAGAGGCTGAAAGTGAAGGGATGGAAGAAGATATTAGATGCAAATTGTAATCAAAGAAAGCAGCAGTGGCTATACTTATCTGATAGAATAGACTTGAAGTCAAAAAGTAACATGGGACAAAGAAGATTGTGACTGAATGTCATGAATAAGTTTATCAAGGTGACCTAATCATTGAAAATATATATTTACACAACATTGGACCACCTAAATATGTAAACTATTAATGAACATAAAGAGAAATAGATAGTAGTACAATAATAGGATGAGGCTTCAGTACCCCACTTTCAACAATGGATATATTAACCAGAGAATTAATTAGTAAATGCTGGACTTAAATTGCACTTTTGACCAAATGGACTTAGCAGACATATACAGAACTTTCCATCCAGCAGCAGCAGAAAAATAGACATTTTTTCCAGAATACATGAAACAATGTTAGGTGATAAAACATTTCTTTAAAAATGTATGAATATTTAAGTCCTATTGAGTATCATTTCTGACACTAATTGTATGAAACTAGTATTTAGATAAATCATGAAAAATTCATAAATTTGTGGAAATTAAATGACATGTTCCTGAACAACCAATGGATTGAAGAAGAAATCAAAAGATAAATTTAAAAAAATATCTTGAGACAAACAACAATGGGAACACAACATACCAAAACTTATGGAAGACAGCAAAAGCAGTTTTAGAGGAAAGTTTATAGAAATAAACGCCTACATTAAAAAGAAGAAATATCTCAGAAAAATAGTCTAACATTAAGCCTCAAGGAACTAGAAAAAGAACAAACTAGAAGAAGGAAATCAATAATAAACATCAGAATAGAAATAAATCACATAAAGAATAGAAAGCCATATGAAGAGTAAATAAAACTAAGAGCTTTTCTGAAGAAAAAAGAGTTGTCTAATCATAAAAAAGACTTAAATGAATGAAACCAAAGATGAATGAGAACAAATTACTGCAGACACTTTACAAATAAAAAGGATATCAAGGAACTATTACGAACAATTAAATGCCAAAAAATTGGATAATCTAGGTGAAATGAAAAAATTCCTAGAAAAATACAACCTACCAAGATTGTAGGTATCACCTTGATACCTAAGTCAGACAAAGACATGACAAGAAGAGAAAACTACAGACCAATTTCTCTGATGAACAGTGATGCAAAAATCCTTAGTAAAATATTAGCAAATCAAATCCAGCAACACATCAAAAAGATCGTGACAGAATGAGATTTATCCCTGGCATGCAAGGCTGGTTGAACATATGCAAATCAATCAATGTGATACATCACATTAACAGAATAAAAGATATAAACCACGTGATCATCTCAATTGATGCAGAAAAAGCACTGGTGTACTCCAACGTCCTTTCTTGATAAATATGCTCAACAGTTTAGGTATAGAAAGAAAGTTCCTCAACATAAGGGTGTTTTATAAAAAACCCACAGCTAATATTATAATCAATGGGGAGAAACTGAAAGTTTTTCCATTGAGATTTGGTACAAGGCAAGTGATGTCCACTGTCACTACATCTATTAAATATAGTACTGAAAGTACTAGCAAGAACAATCAGACAACAAAACAATAAGAAACAAAGGACATGAAAAGTCATCTAAGTTAAAAGGAAGAAGTAAAATTATCTCTATTTGCCCATGATATAATTCTATATGTAAAAAAACCAGAATTCCACAAAAAAACTCATAGAACTAATAAATGAATATGGCAAAGTTGAAGGATACAATATTGACATACAAAAATCAGCAGCATTTATATACACAACTGAAAACCCAGCCTAACTAAAAAAGACCCTAAGAAAACAATTCCATTTACAATAGCATCAAGAAAAAAATATACAAGAACAAATTTAACTGGGGAGGTGAAAGATCACTACACTGAAAATTATAAAACATTTAATGAAAGAGATTGAAAAGACACAAATAAATAGAAATGTACCTTGTTATCATGGATAAGAAGAGTTAATATTGTTGAAATATTCATAGTACAGAAAGTCATATGCAAATTTAACACAATCCATATCAAAATTCCAATAATGTTCTTCACAAAAAATAGAAACAACAACTTTAAAACCAATATGAAACTTAAAAAATCCTGAATTGCCAAAGCAATTCTGAGAAAGAAAAACAAAGTTGGTAGCATCATATTTCCTGATTTAAAATTATATTACAAATCTATAACAATCAAAACAGCATGGTACTGGCATGAAAACAGATACATGGACCAGTGGAACAGAATAGAGACCCCAGAAATAAACCTAAATATATACTATCAACTAATTTTAGACAAGGACATGAAGACAACATAATGGAGATAGGATACTTCCTTTAAAAGATGGTGCTGGGAAAACTAGATTTCCATATGCAATAGATTTCCATATGCAAAAGAATGAAGTAGGCCCTTATACCATACACAAAAAGTCAACCCAAAATGGATAAAAGCAGCTTAAATATAAGACCAAAACCATAAAGCTCCTGGAAGAGTATGTAGGGGAACTACTTCTGGACATTGACCTTTGTAATGATTGTTTTGGACAGCACCAAAAGCTCAGGCCACAAAAAACAAAAATAAAATAAATGAGACTACATCAAACTAAAAAAACTCCTGTATAGCAAAGAAAATAGCAAAGCAAAATGACAGCCTATGGATTGGAAAAAGATACTTGCAAACTATATATCTGATAAGCGTTTAATGTTTAAAATTTAGATAAAACTGATATCACTCAGTAGTGGAATAACTAATAACCCAATTAAATCATGGTCAGAAGACATGAATAGACACTTCTCCAAAGAAGACATAAATGGCCAACAGGTATGAAAAGTGCTCAACATAATTAACCATTAGGAAAATGAAAATTGACACCACTATGAGATACCATCTCACACCTGTTAGGATGGCTATTATAAAAAAAACAAAAGATAACAAATATTGACAAGGGTGTGGAGAAGAGGGATCTCTTGTACACTGTGGGACTGTCGATTAGTATGGCCATTATAAAAAAAAAGTATGAGGTTTCTAAAAAAATTTAAAATAGAAGTACAGTATCATCAAGTAATTCCTCTTCTGGCCGTATATACAAAGGGAATGAAATCACCACCTCAAAAAGACATCTGCACTCCCATGTTCACTCCAGCATTATTTACAGCAGCCAAGATATGGAAATAATCTAGAGTGTCCATAGCTGGATGAATGGATAAATAAATAGTAGTGTGTAAATACAATGGGATATTATTTAGCCCTAAAAAGCAAGATCTTGCCCTTTGTTATAACATGGATTAGCCTGGAGACATTATGCCAAGTGAATTAAGTGAGACATAGAAAGACAAATATTGCATGATCTAACTTACATGTGAACTCAATTCACAGAGATAAAAAAACAGAGTAGTGGTTATCAGAGGTGGAAGCAAATGTGGGAACTGGGAGATGTAAGTTAGGGGATACAAAGTGGTAGATATGTATGATGAATAAGTAGATATCTAATGTGCAGCATAATGACTATAGGCAGTAAAATTGTATTGTATACAGGATTCATGCTAAATGTGTAGCTGTTCTTGCCTCAAAAACAAAATAATTGAGTAACTATATGAAATGGTGGATATGTTAATTTGCTTCACTATAGTAACCTTTTTAGCCTCATAATATCATATTATATCCCTTAAATATACAAAGCAAAATCTATTTAAAATAAAAATAAAACAAAAAACTTATGAATATTACATGAAGACATGGAAAAGTTTTTTTTTTACTTTATTTTTTATTTTTTCATCATATGGAAGGTCTGTCATTAGTATTGTTTTTTCTGCTTTAAGTTATGCCTATTGTCATTTTACTTTGTTGGTTATATAATATGAAATATTAAAATAAGATACAAAAATACATACACCTGTTACCATCAACATTAATAAAAGGAAGAAGATTGCAGGGGCATATTTAGGGCCAGTACATTAAAAGGAAATGTGAATCCATGCAACATACAATAACAGCAAAGAGAAGATGAATATGCAATAACAAAAGACTGAATTTTAAACATGCATTTCATATGAGGCAATTACAAGGACACAAATAATGCCTCTGAGACTGTATATGTCCTTATTAATTAAGCTTACATTCTGTGCCAAGAATTAGGAAGATAAAGGAAGAAGAAAAAATCCTGGATCCCAGGTGATTTTAAGGATAATTTCTAAGGACATTCAAGATATTTTCTAGTAAAGGGTTTGTTATCTTCCCCATGTCTTTAAATATATAGAGGTTACATAGAGATGTCTATGGATGTTCCTTTTATTTTGTTTTATATATATTTAAAGCAACATCTAATAGAAGCAGGAGGGAGTAACAGTATATCAAAAATTACATTGATCTACGAAAATCCATAAACTGGATGAAAATAAAAAGGGGCATTGTGTGAAGATGAATGAAGAACCAAACAGGGCAAAAAGGAGAGGGAAATACAAATTACATCATTAAAACATTTGATTTAAATTTTTTTAAAAACCTGAATTCAACCCATATTTACTATTTGTTATCCATATAAATTTGCATTTCAGTAGTCTTATCTTTAGCATTACCATCTGTGAAAAGGGAATGAGAATTATTGATGTATTTACCTTGCAGGATTGTAACACAGATAAAACAAGATAATGGATGTAAGAGAACTCTCCCATCTATAACATAGTCTCACACACACATAAGTAGTTTTGTGGTATATTACTTACTTAACATGTAGCATATTTTACATAATGTGATATTGAGAGGTGACAGCGTGCTGGCAGCCCTCACAGCCCTGGCTGGCTCTCGGCACCTCCTCGGCCTTGATGCCCACTCTGGCCCCACTTGAGGAGTCCTTCAGCCTGCAGCTGCACTGTAGGAGCCCCTTTCTGGGCTGGCCAAGGCCAGAGCCGGCTCCCTCAGCCTGCGAGGAGGTGTGGAGGGAGAGGCATGGGTGGGAACTGGGGCTGCCCGGTGCTTGGAGGCCAGCGCGAGTTCTGGGTGGGTGTGGGCTTGGCGGGTCCTGCACTCGGAGTGGCTGGCCAGCCCCGCCAGCCCCAGGCAGTGAGAGGTTAGCACCTGGGCCAGCAGCTGCTGTGCTCGACTTCTTGCCGGGCCTTAGCTGCCTCCCATGCGGCAGGGCTCGGGACCCGCAGCCCACCATGCCTGAGCACCGCCCCCCCTACCCTGGCTGTGGGCTCCCACGCAGCCTGAGCCTCCCCGACGTGCACAGCCCCCTGCTCCACGGTGCCCAGTCCCATCAACCACCCAAAGGCTGAGGAGTGCAGGCACACGGCACAGGACTGGCAGGCAGCTCCACCTGCGGCCCCGGTAGGGGATACACTGGGTGAAGCCAACTGGGCTCCTGAGTCTGGTGGGGACTTGGAGAACCTTTATGTCTAGCTAAGGGATTGTAAATACACCAATCAGCACTCTGTATCTAGCTCAAGGTTTGTAAACACACCAAGCAGCACCCTGTGTCTAGCTCAGGGTTTGTGAATGCACCAATTGACACTCTGTATCTAGCTACTCTAGCTACTCTAGCTACTCTGGTGGGGAGTTGGAGAACCTTTGTGTCCACACTCTGTATCTAGCTAATCTAGTGGGGATGTGGAGAACTTTTTTGTCTAGCTTAGGGATTGTAAACACACCAATCAGCACCCTGTCACAACGGACCAATCAGCTCTCTCTAAAACAGACCAATCGGCTCTTTGTAAAATGGACCAATCAGCAGGATGTGGGTGGAGCCAGATAAGAGAATAAAAGCAGGCTGCCAGAGCCAGCAGTGGCAACCTGGTAGGGTCCCTTTCCGTACCGTGGAAGCTTCGTTCTTTCGCTCTTTGCGGTAAGTCTTGCTACTGCTCACTCTTTGGGTCCGCACTACCTTTATGAGCTGTAACACTCACCGTGAAGGTCTGCGGCTTCACTCTTGAAGCTAGTGAGACCACGAACCCACCGCGAGGAACAACAACTCCAGACGCGCCGCCTTAAGAGCTGTGACACTCACTGTGAAGGTCTGCAGCTTCACTCCTGAGCCAGCGAGACCACGAACCCACCAGAAAAAAGAAACTCCAAACACATCCGAACATCAGAAGGAACAAACTCCAGACATGCTGCCTTTGAGAACTGTAACACTGCAAGGGTCCGCAGCTTCATTCTTGAAGTCAGTGAGACCAACAACCCACCAATTCCGGACACAGTGTTTTCCTAAGAGACCTCGAAAGTAGCACAAAGGCAAGATTTAGTAGAGAAGATTGCTCTAGAAAGCTTCATTTTGATTTTTAAAATATTAGGTTGGGGACGGATAAACTGCATTAAATACTTGTCTGTCTTTGTGGACAACTTTAATCTCATGGAATGTTAAAAAAAAAAAAAAAAAAAAGAAAGTAAACCAGGCTTAATTTAAGCCAATGAGCAACAACAATTGTGATATGAAAGCACTGGAAACATGAAGAGAAAATGTCCACCTGATCTGAGAAGGAAGACATGTGCCATGTTTATAAATATATGCTAAACACTTTTGGAGGGAAACTGGGAGAAAGTGTAAGCATATAATTACATAGTTTGAGACTCTTAAAGGAACATTACCTTAAGATATTTTCATAGTCTTTAAAAAATATGACTAATGAAATATTTGATGAAGTGGGAAGCATGCCAACTAGATCATTGTAACTGGACAGGGAGCAGTAACTGAACTCAAAATTTTGAATATACAACAAATAATTATTTTAGTATAATTATATCCCAAATTTTTTATCTGGCAACCCTGTTTCTAGAGGGCAACATAACTTTGTTTTCTAATGCTTTTCTGGCTTACATTGTATCTTTTTCTGGGAGGATAAGGAATAAAGAATGAAGAAATTACGCGCAAAGCCTCAAACTACTGAGATCTGATTTCAGGCACTTTGCCAAAGGTTGTTAAATGCTACAACCCATAGAATCACAAAACTGAAAAGAACCTTTATACAACTCCTGGGCAATTCCCTGATTTTAAGAGGAAAATGGAAGACTTAACTTCTCTGAGACAGAACATAATGAAATATAAAAATATTTATCACAGATACTGGTTGCTAAGGAGGTTTATGGAATCTACTTCCTTATAGTCATTCAGGATCCCCTAATGGTAATTCTTACCGTGTATTTGGGAGTGGAACGTAGGACTTCTTCAGGTACCTATTAGCTCAGGAAGCCTATTTTTAAGCATTACTGGAATCCCCCTTTAGTACAATCTCTTCACAGTTTTATAGCACTATGTTTTTCACCTCATGAATCCCTAAAGTTCCAGTAACTTCATTACAGATAGTTGTGGGGATAATTTAAGCAAGTTCCACATTCCTCTAATTTCCTTTTGCACAACTTCTCTTACAAAATAACCAATGCATGAGACACTTTGCCAATGTGACAGCTGAGTTTTAAAGCCTCAGCTGTAGTTAGAAATTCCTGTGACTAACCTTTGGAGAGCTGATTCAAACTAGGTACCCCTCAAGTAGATTGCAGTACTGTCATTGATTCTTTGTTGCTTGAATAACATATGAAATGAGAGCAATGTTTCTGGAAGGTGATTTTCTGACTTATAATTAGAGCTTTATGCCCCAAAAGCAGCATATTTTAAAAAAACAACTGGAAAATTCTCTATGATCAACATATCTCCAACGTTAGCATTTCTATAAAATCAACATTGATTGGACATTTCATGAAGGAAGTCATAGAAACTAGCTAAATAAGCAAGTTCTTGCCATATCAAAAGAGACCTTCCAGGATGTTTAACATGATTCCCTTGTTTAGTTCCGTATATTTCCTTTAAACGATTAGCCTTTCCAGTGAAACATGCAGACAAAACCACAATATAGGTCCTACAATCTTCTGGGCTTCTACCTACCTAAAAGGGCCAGGTCTTAGGTAGGAAGCAAAGTCTCTTTTTTGCTTCTTGCCTAAGCACTGGTCCCTTAGACACTACTTTTTGAATTATTTTGATCACATGAATGGAAATCACTTCAAACTGAAATCCCATTGCAGAGATTTCACCTCAAACTGAAATCTCATTGCCTTCTAAGCTGGTTGTCATTTACCAAGGGAAGGGTTATCTCTACTCTGTTGACATATAGTCTACTCTGTCTAGAGGCTATTGTGTCTAGGCCTCACTTTCCTGAGAGTGAGTTTATCTGTTCTAAAATCTGAAGAGCTATACAAATAAGGGATACATTCAGAACTTCTTTTTTCCCCCCACTATTACCATTTTAATTCAGTATTTTCTTGGAGATTTAGAGATTCAAAGAAATGTAATAATGTAAGAAAATGAAATGATTAGGACAAATATTAAAAAGAAGTGATAAAGTATTGGAATATTTCTTTTTGCTCCTGTTTCTGTCTTCATTTATTTCCCCTTCCAACTTTTATTTTAGGTTCAGGGGATACATGTGCAAGTTTGTTACATGGGTAAATTGTATGTTGCTGGGATCTGGTTTAAAAATTATTTTTTCACCCAGGTAGTGGGCATAACACCCTATAGGTAATTTTTCAATCCTCACCCTACTCTCACTCTCTCCCTTCAAGTAGGTCCTGGTGTCTGTCGTTCCCTTCTTTGTGTCCATGAGTGTTCTCACTTATAAGTAGGAACATGCGATATTTGTTTTTCTGTTCCTGTGTTAATTGCTAGGATAATGGCCTTTAGCTACATCTGTGTTGCTGCAAAGGACATGATGTTGTTCTTTTTCTTAGCTGCAATGTATTTGTGTATATGTACCACATTTTCTTTATGTAGTCCACCGTTGATGGGCATCTATGTCGATTCCCTGTCTTTGCTATTGTAAGTAGGGCCGTGATAAACATATGTGTGCATATGTCTTTATGGCAGAACAATTTATATTCCTTTTAATATATACCCAGTATTAGGATCACTGGGTTAAATGGTAGTTCTAAGTTCTTTGGGAAATCTTGAAACTGCTTTCCATAGTGGCTGAACTAATTTACATTCCCACCAGGAATATATAAACATTTTCTTTTCTCCCTAGGTTTGCCAGAGTCTGTTATTTTTTGACTTTTTAATAATAGTCATTCTGACTAGTGTGAGATGGTATCTTATTGGAGTTTTGATTTTATTTCTTTGATGATTAGTTGAGAATTTTTCATATGCCTGTTGGCTGCATGTGTGTCTTCTCTTCATGCCTTTGCCCATTTTTTAAATGGGGTTGGTTTTTGCTTGTTGAGTTGTTTAAGTCCCTCACAGATTCTGGGCTTAGACCTTTGTTGAATGCATAGTTTGCAAATGTTTTTGCCCATTCTGTGAGTTGTCTGTTTATTCTGTTGATTTATTCTGTTTATTCTGTTTCTTTTGCTGTGCAAAACTCTTTAATTAAGTCCCACTTGTCCATTTTAATTTTTGTTGCAATTGCTTTTTAAGTCTTCATCATGAAATCTTTACCAGGTCCTATATTCAGAATGATATTTCTCAGGTTTTCTTCAAGGGATTTTATAGTTTTAGGTTTTACTTTTAAGTTTTTAATTCATCTTGAATTGATTTTTCTGTATGGTGTAAACAAGGAGTCCAGTTTCAATCTTCTGCATATGGCTAGCCAGTAATCCCAGCACCATGTATCGAATAGGGTGCCCTTTCTGCATTGTTTTTTATTGATGATTTGTTGATGATCAGATGGTGTGTTCTTTTTGTGTGGTCGTCTAATCTTTCCCATTGGTCTGTGTGTCTGTTTTTGTGCCAGTACCATACTGTTTTGGTGACTGTAGCCTTGTAGTATAAAGTTTAGTACTGTGATGCCTCCAGCTTTGTTCTTTTTGCTTAGGATTGCTTTGGCTGTTCTGACTCATTTTTGGTTCCATATGAGTTTTAGAGTAGTTTTTTTCTAATTCTGTGAACAATGTCCTTGGTAGTTTGATATGAATAGCATCGAATCTGTAAATTGCTTTGAGCAGTATGGTCACTTTAATGATATTGATTCTATTTATGAGCATGTAAACACCATCTGTTTGTGTTATCCCTGATTTTTTTCCACAGTATTTTATAATTTTCACTGTAGAGATTTTTCAGCTCCCTGGTTAGCTATATTCCTAAACTCTTAAGAGACTAATAACGAGTTCTGAAATTTAATCAGTAATAAAAAACTTACCAGCCAAAAAAAGCCCTGAACCTGACAGATTCACAGCCAAATTCCACCAGATGTATAAAGAAGAGCTACTACAAATCCTCCTGAAATTATTCCAAAAATTGAGGATAAGGGACTCCTCCCTAACTTATTTTATGAAGCATTATTTTGATACCAAAGCCTGGCCAGAGACACAATGAAAAAATAAAACTTCAGGACAATTTTTCTGATGAACATAAACAAAAAGATCCTCAACAAAATACTGGCAAATTTAATCCAGCAGCATATCAAAAAGCTGATCAACCAAAATCAAGTAGGCTTTATTCCTGTGATGCAAGGTTCAACTGCATAAGTGAATAAATATGATTCATTACATAAACAGAACTAAAAACAAAAACCATCTAATTATCTCCATAGACACAGAAGAGGCTTTTGATAAAGTACAACATTCCTTTATATTATAAACTCTCAACAAACTAGTTATTGAAGAAACTTACCTTGAAATAATAAGAGCTATCTGTGACAAACTCACAGCCAGCATCATACAGGTAAAAGCTGTAATCATTCCTGTTGAGAATTGGAATAAGACAAGGATGCCCACCCTCGCTGCTTGAATTCAATATAGTTTTGGAAGTCATAGCCAGAGAAATAAGGGGAGAGAAAGAGATAAAAGGCATCCAAATAGGAAGAGAAAAGTCAAACTATCTCTCTTCACAGATGATATGATTTTATCATTAGAAAACCTCATCGTTTCTGCCCAAAGCCTCCTAGATCGGATAAACAACTTTAGTAAAGTTTCAGGATAAAAAACCAATGTACAAAAGTCAGTAGTGTTTCTATACACCAATAACGTTCAAGCTGACAGCCAAATGAAGAATGCAATCTCATTCACAATAGCCACACACAAGAAAGAGAAAACCTTCAGAATACAGCTAACCAGAGCTTCTGAAGGTGAAGTTTGTATGACTTCCTTGATCTTTCTAGCAAAGGCCCCAATACTTCTGTGTTAATAAATGGGGAGCCAGATATATCAAGAGTAGAAGACATTTAATTGGGGGTCTCTTAGAGCTGAAAGAGCTTGTGAGTGCAAGTTATCTGACGATGTAATTTCCTCCGTCATGAGGCCACTGGTGTAGACTAAGAGAGAAAAGGCATTGCAGCAGGCGTGGGCATTTGGCTACTACTTTATGTAACTTACTTATGCCTTCAGAGCCTACTCAGGACCCATCATGTATATATCACTTCTGTTGGATGATAGAGTGTTGCTATACATGCCAACTTTATGGCTTGGTATGTCAGAAAACACCCAGTTTATGAAGGGCAACTCAGGTCGCATGGGAACTTGGTGACCCATGGTTAAACATTCAGACTCTACTAAAGCCCAGTAGCAGGCCAAGAGCTATTTTTCAAAAGGATAGTAGCTTTCTGCAGATCATGGCAGGGCCTTGTTCCAAAATATGAAAGGCCTGCACTGCGATTCACCCACATGGGTTTGCCAAAGACTCCAAATGGCATTTCTATCTCTGAGTGACACTTTAAGTACCACAGGGTATGCTGGGTTATATGGCCGAAGTGAAATAGCAGCTTGCACAGCCACCTGAACCTGTTGTAGAGCCTTCCTTTGATGGCCTCACTCAATGCTACAAGCTTTTTGGGTCACTAGGTAAATGAGATAGAACAATATCTCCAAACAAAGAAAATATTGCCTCCCAAATCCAGAGAGGCCTACCAGGCATTGTGCTTCTTCATTGGTTCTAGGAGAGGCCAGTTGCAATGACTTTTCCTTCACCTTTGAAGAGATATTTCAACATGCCCCATACCACTAGACTCCTAGAAATTTCACTGAGGTAGAAGGCCTGTGCATTTTTTTGTATTTATTTCTCAACGTGTGATATGTAAATCTTTTACTAATGATAGAATAGTTGCTATTTCTTGCTCACTAGTTCCAATTAACATAATGTCATCAATGTAATAGACAAGCATGAAAGCTTGTGAAAGGGATAGGTGATCAGGATCCCTTTGAATTTAAGACCTGGGGCTGGCCAGTTTATATAATCCTGTGGTAGAACAGTGAAGTTATATTGTTGCCTTGCCAGCTGAAAACAGACCACTGCTGGTGTCTTTACTAATGGATATTGAGAAAAATGCATTTATCAGATCAACGGCTTCATACCAGCTACCAGAGGATGTGTTATTTGCCCAAGCAATGCAACCTCATCTGGCACAGCAGCTGCAATTAGAGTCACCACCTTATTAAGCTTATGATAATCCACAGTCATTCTTCAAGATCCATCTGTCTTCTTTACAGGCCATATAGCCAAGTTGAATGGAGATGTGGTGGGAATCATTGCCCCTGTATCCTTCAAGTCCTTGAAGGTGACACTAATCTCTGCAGCCCTTCCGGGAAAGTGGTGTCGCTTTTGGTTTACTATTTTCCTAGGCAGAGGGAATTCTAGTGGCTTCCGCTTGGCTTCTCCCACTATAATAGCACTCACTGTATAGTCAGGGAACCAATAAAGGAATTCGGCCTGCTGCTGAGCATATCCGTTCCAATTGTACATTCCAGAACTTGAGAAATAACTATAGGATGGATTAAGGACTTACTGAGCCCACAGTGGGACAGACCTAAGCTAAAATTTCATTAATCACATGGCCTTCATAAATCCCTCCTTTGACTGGTAGAACACCGTGATGTTTGGGTTTCCTAGAATTTGCGTCAGTTCAGAGCCAGGGTCCAGTAGTTCCCAAAAGGTCTTACTTTTACCTTTTCCCCAGTGTACAGTTATTCTGGCAAAGGGCTATAGATCCCTTTGGGAAAGACTGGGAGAAAGATGAACAAAATAAGTTTTTGGTAGTGTACCAGAATCCTTCCTTGAGATAACCCTGACTCTCCTTTTTTTTTTTTTTTTTTTTTTTTTTTTTTTTATTATACTCTAAGTTTTAGGGTACATGTGCACATTGTGCAGGTTAGTTACATATGTATACATGTGCCATGCTTGTGCGCTGCACCCACTAATGTGTCATCTAGCATTAGGTATATCTCCCAATGCTATCCCTCCCCGCTCCCCCGACCCCACCACAGTCCCCAGAGTGTGATATTCCCCTTCCTGTGTCCATGTGATCTCATTGTTCAATTCCCACCTATGAGTGAGAATATGCGGTGTTTGGTTTTTTGTTCTTGCGATAGTTTACTGAGAATGATGGTTTCCAATTTCATCCATGTCCCTACAAAGGATATGAACTCATCATTTTTTATGGCTGCATAGTATTCCATGGTGTATATGTGCCACATTTTCTTAATCCAGTCTATCATTGTTGGACATTTGGGTTGGTTCCAAGTCTTTGCTATTGTGAATAGTGCCGCAATAAACATACGTGTGCATGTGTCTTTATAGCAGCATGATTTATACTCATTTGGGTATATACCCAGTAATGGGATGGCTGGGTCAAATGGTATTTCTAGTTCTAGATCCCTGAGGAATCGCCACACTGACTTCCACAATGGTTGAACTAGTTTACAGTCCCACCAACAGTGTAAAAGTGTTCCTATTTCTCCGCATCCTCTCCAGCACCTGTTGTTTCCTGACTTTTTAATGATTGCCATTCTAACCGGTGTGAGATGATATCTCATAGTGGTTTTGATTTGCATTTCTCTGATGGCCAGTGATGATGAGCATTTCTTCATGTGTTTTTTGGCTGCATAAATGGGCAAAAACTGGAAGCATTCCCTTTGAAAACCGGCACAAGACAGGGATGCCCTCTCTCACCGCTCCTATTCAACATAGTGTTGGAAGTTCTGGCCAGGGCAATCAGGCAGGAGAAGGAAATAAAGGGTATTCAATTAGGAAAAGAGGAAGTCAAATTGTCCCTGTTTGCAGACGACATGATTGTTTATCTAGAAAACCCCATCGTCTCAGCCCAAAATCTCCTTAAGCTGATAAGCAACTTCAGCAAAGTCTCAGGATACAAAATCAATGTACAAAAATCACAAGCATTCTTATACACCAACAACAGACAAACAGAGAGCCAAATCATGGGTGAACTCCCATTCACAATTGCTTCAAAGAGAATAAAATACCTAGGAATCCAACTTACAAGGGATGTGAAGGACCTCTTCAAGGAGAACTACAAACCACTGCTCAAGGAAATAAAAGAGGAGACAAATAAATGGAAGAACATTCCATGCTCATGGGTAGGAAGAATCAATATCGTGAAAATGGCCATACTGCCCAAGGTAATTTACAGATTCAATGCCATCCCCATCAAGCTACCAATGACTTTCTTCACAGAATTGGAAAAAACTACTTTAAAGTTCATATGGAACCAAAAAAGAGCCCGCATCGCCAAGTCAATCCTAAGCCAAAAGAACAAAGCTGGAGGCATCACACTACCTGACTTCAAACTATACTACAAGGCTACAGTAACCAAAACAGCATGGTACTGGTACAAAAACAGAGATATAGATCAATGGAACAGAACAGAGCCCTCAGAAATAATGCCAAATATCTACAACTATCTGATCTTTGACAAACCTGAGAAAAACAAGCAATGGGGAAAGGATTCCCTATTTAATAAATGGTGCTGGGAAAACTGGCTAGCCATATGTAGAAAGCTGAAACTGGATCCCTTCCTTACACCTTATACAAAAATCAATTCAAGATGGATTAAAGATTTAAACGTTAAACCTAAAACCATAAAAACCCTAGAAGAAAACCTAGGCATTACCATTCAGGACATAGGCGTGGGCAAGGACTTCATGTCCAAAACACCAAAAGCAATGGCAACAAAAGACAAAATTGACAAATGGGATCTAATTAAACTAAAGAGCTTCTGCACAGCAAAAGAAACTACCATCAGAGTGAACAGGCAACCTACAACATGGGAGAAAATTTTTGCAACCTACTCATCTGACAAAGGGCTAATATCCAGAATCTACAATGAACTCAAACAAATTTACAAGAAAAAAACAAACAACCCCATCAAAAAGTGGGCGAAGGACATGAACAGACACTTCTCAAAAGAAGACTCTCCTTTATTCTAGGGGTTCTGAATCTGTAAATTGGCTGTAATCTGGGAATTCACTGAGGGGCTGTTACTTTCTGTTTTTATGCTTCAGGTTAAAGTTTTGTTCACTTGACCTTGAACTTTTCTGCTTCTGCAGATCAAGAAAGAATTTAGTAGGCTCCTACTATTTTCTATTCTATGTTTTTTACTTCTAGGAGCACCGTAGTCATTTAGCCAACACCATAAGTCTGTGTGAGTCAGATTATTATTATTGCTGTTTTGACTCTGCTCTCCATCATAGTAATCATGCCCACCTTGTCTTTGGCAGTTGAGTGCTACCACTTGGCCCCTGTCACCCTAGGATCTAATTATCTCCTTTACATTTAGATTTCCTAGTTCAGTTTCTGTAGTTCCCACTACAGACGAGAGAAGAGCAATTACAGAGCTCTTTAAGGATGCTGGGGCTCCCCTCAAAAATTTATTTCTCATAGTATTGGTGAAAGTCATGTCTCTTGGGCCCTCTCAGTATGGGTGAGTAGGTCTTAAATGACTGTACTCTAACAGTTCCGTCTTCCTAAGCCTTTGAATACCTTCCTATATATTAAACCAAAGCATTTCTAGAATATCTAATTTACTCACTGTGTACCATCTTTTGGTCCGTGTTTTAGCCAACCAACCAACCAATTATAATCCTTCCTAACTCCCTGAACTGCAACATTAAATGCAGAATCTCTGTTTTGTGAGTCCATGTCAATATATTCATCCTAATCCAACTTGTTTCTTCCACCGTTATCCCACAGCCACAGCTTTAGCATCCATTTAAACACGTTTTCCCATTTTCTCTGTGTATAAATTAGAAAACTCAAGTAGTTGTTTCAGAGTGTAACATACTTTATGTGTTATACTTTGTACCTCACCTTTGGAGGCTTGCTGATACTTGAGCCTTGTCATAGATGTAGAAACAAAGAGAGGCTGTGGGATGGGTACTGAAGAGAATTGGTATTGTCTTTCATGGCAGTTGCTTCAGGGGAGGCCATTATACTTTCCTTAGGAGGTGGAAAAACCAATACCACTATGAATGTAGATGCCACAGCCAAAGGGGGGAGACCAATTTCACTAGAAAAGAAAACTAATCAGAATTTAGGGGTTCAATGTAACCAGCTTCATCAGGGTCTTCCCACACATCTCAATCCCAATTTATAGGATCCCATTATTTTCCAATCAATACCTTCACTTCAGCAGCATCTGGCCTATGAGGCTGGGGGTTCAACTTGCATTGTAATCAGTCAGTCACAGGATGAGATTCTCTGTTTGATCTTCAGCAGTCTCAGCCCTGTGGCTATAGGAGCTAAGGGTCTCCTTCAATGTACACATAGATACCTCTGGTCATTTATGTGGTGTTTGAGCTGCACATCTGAATCCGTGAGCTCATCCTTTTCTTCCAACACTTTGGCAGCATTAGGAGCAACCAGCCAAACTTACTATATTTGTTAGTTTTACAAAAGTCACCCAGTTCCTTGTGACAGAGCAGGAGCATCGCCATCTTGGACAAGCCTCTCATTCTAAAGTTCACCTTAATAAAAAACCGCCTAAATCCAAAGGGCATCAGCCTAATGGCTAAGGTCAGCATGACCATAAATCATAAATAACATCTCCAGCCAGAAACATTCCAAACTCCTCCCCAACCAGAGACATGCTAGCCCCGAGATAACCCCCATCCAGCCGGGAAGATACCAGTCTGGAGATAACCCCCCTCTGGCTGGAAAGATGCCTGCCCCAAGGTGAACTCCCTTCCACCCAGAGACATTCCAACCCCACCATAAAACTTCTCCCGTAAACAGGAACATTCCAAACTTCTGATAAGCCCCCTCACCCTTAAACAAATATATACTCTTAGTCTACAAGAGAAATCTCTCCTGACCACAGTCGGCCAGGAGCGCCTCTTAGGTTTTAACTAAAGAAAACCTGTCTTTGACTGCCAAGCCGTGTTTTGTGTTTCTTTCTTCTTTAATTCTTACATCTTGCTTGTGGTTGGAACTGTTGGTTGATTTGTGGTTGATTAGGTGTATCCAATGCAGATATTTTGTGTATCTCTATTGCCAGATTATGCCATGGACTGTCAGTGCTCTATTACTGGAAATAGAGCCATTAGCATCTTAAAGCTAATCAAATTAAAGACACAATTCTAGAAACCCCAGAGTCAATTTAGAAAACTTGTCCTTAAAATTCTTTTACTCTACAGTCACTCTAGGTATCAAAATCTGTCCTAGAGTTCTCCAGAGAATCAGAAGAATTAGGATGGATGTGTTATAAGGAATTGTCTCACATGACTTTGGAGGCTGAGAAGTCCCACAGTCTGCTCTGAGAAGTCCCACAAACTGGAGACCTAGGAAAGCTTGTGGTGTAAAGTCCAGGCTGATTCTGAATGTCTGAGAACTAGGAGCACCGATAGTGTAAGCCTCAGTCCCGGGGCAGGAGAAGACTGATATCTCAGTCTGAGTGTCAGGGGGAGAGAGAGAAAGAGAGAATTCAAACTTATTTTACCTTTTTCTTCTGTTTGAGGCCTCAGTGGGTGGGTTGGTCGATGGTCACCCTCATTGGGGAGGACAACGTGCTTTACTCAATCCACCCATTCTAGTGTAATCCCTTCCAGAAATGCCCTCATAAACAAACCCAGAAGTAAAATTTAGCCAGATATCTGGGCATCCCATTGCCGAGTCACACTGATACATGAAATTAGCTATAACATTGCCTGTGAGAATGCCTTACAAGAATTCCAGGTTCAATATATGTAGAAGTACTTTCAATAACATCTCTTAGTCAGTATAGAATTGCTTGATTAATCATCTGAAGGTGAAGGTCTTAGGCAATCCAATAGGTTTTGCCACCATAAATGATCCCTGATCTGTCAAGGGCACAATAGGGATTCTTACCACAAATGCTGACACCTACTTCTGGGAGTTAATCAGCTATGTTTCATAGGATCTTGTGATAGCTGAAATATTTAGAGGCTTTAAGATCCTCTTTGGCTCTGCACTGATTTTACCTATGTTATCTCATTTTACTGGTATAAACCCCAGAATCAAAAATAAAAAAGAAGCCATCTTTCTTGTAGTGTATAGTGCAGACTTGGGTGAACACCAGTAAGCATCATTGGGTGCAAACTGGAACTCACAGGCAAGAGAATCAACAGATACAGGGATCCTGTTTTTTCAGTGTCCTATGGAAAGGACTGCTTGGATTTGAGTGCTGCTATATGCTGCATGGGAATGGGTTCCAGGAGAGGAACTTCAAAACTTGTTGTTCTTTTTACACTGGGCTAGTGTTTAGAGTGCAGACTTTGTTGCATGGAAGGAAATGGACAATTTGGATTTAGGTGCCAGCCGTTTAGTTGAGTGTTAGAAAAATAGCTGCCCAACACTTTAGAATTTTGGAGGTTCCTGGTCACTTTTGAGTTTAGAAGGATGGGAGCATTTAGTTCTAGCTAGCTAACTATAAGCAGCCCAGAAGAAGCTCTCAACGTTATTTACCAGTTTGTCCAGTGTGAAGTTAAAGAGACAAGGAAAAATACCAAGGCGAGTTAAGATTCACCTATAAACTTAAAACCAATCACTTTTGTTCAAAATAATATTTGTTTACATTAGAATTATAAAATGTCATGTTTATTCCCTCATGTTATTTCTACTTAAAAATGTGGGTTACTGTTGCTGGGCACGGTGGCTCACGCCTGTAATCCCAGCACTTTGGGAGGCCAAGGCGGGAGGATCACGAGGTCAGGAGATGGAGACCATCCTGGCTAACACGGTAAAACTCCCTCTCTACTAAAAAAAAAAAAAAAATACAAAAAATTAGCCAGATGTGGTGGCGGGCGCCTGTAGTCCCAGCTACTCAGGAGGCTGAGGCACCAGAATGCGTGAACCCCAGAGGCGGAGCTTGCAGTGAGCCGAGATCGCGCCACTGCACTCCAGCCTGGGTGGCAGAGCAAGATTGTGTCTCAAACAGACAGACAAACAAAAATCTGGGTTACTGTTACATAATATTAGGACTTCAGGCATTAGCTGAGGCTAAAACAAACTTCTCTCATGAAATGGACCGAAGTTTACAGTAAAATTTCACTCTCACTGGAATTTCAGCCTCAGTAAAGTGGTAATAAACCTAGGGTTTGATTCTTAAGCAGCAAGTATCAGGTATTATCAAAATTAGGAGGTTAATAGTTCCAAAATGATGGTTGGCCATGTGAATCGGGTTTATCCAGTAGTATTTTACCTCATCAGACTCCAGTGAGACTGTTAGTATACTGCCTTCTTTGACCAGATTTGCCGCAGGAATACTAAAGTCCAGGTGGATATGGGGACCCAGAACAGATACAGGCTAAAAATAATTAGAATTAATTGGAAGGTGAAATACTAAAAGTAAAAAATACAGTTTGGGATGACTCTAATTGTCTTTATCTTAGGTGAAAGAGTACTAAATTGGGATAGTGGCAGTGACAATGGAAAAGGAGCAACAATAAGATAAGCCCAGCAATAATAAGTAATAAATTACCTGTATAAATATATTTGAGTTTTGAAAATGAAGTGACCAGACTTATTGCTCAAAAACATATAATTCAAAATGAAGCACTGATGTATGTATGAGTGAATAAAAGATTCAGGAGTCTGGGTCTTCAGGAGCTATTTACCTGCCTCTTTCTTCTCAAATGAAATGAAACCAAATACATTTAGCATACAAACTGTTAATCATCTGCAGAACCAACCTTAGGTTAGAATTTAATAAATATTTGTGGAGTAAGTTAACAGAATCACAAGGAATACACCTAAGACAGATAAATTGCTCGTTCTGTTCCTGCTTCAGATTTTTCTGTTTCTTGAGTCTAAGCAGACATCATGGTATAAAGATATGCTTAGATAGCAGATAGAAAATTATAGAGTAGTACCTTTTCACATAAAGTATATTTGATTTCAAGATGTGTGGATGTCTAAAACCAAGTTTTTGCTGTTTTTTTTTTTAACAAACCTACACAATTTTTTGACAGAAAAAAATTATTTCCTTCAGTTACTAAGTCACAATTCCAGAGAGAGTCTCACTTTTATTATGTTTTTAAAATCCTAAGAAGTGTCACCTACATTGGAAATATTTGCTAAACCTGAACTTTCAAAATGCTAGTAGGATACACTTTAATTGAATCTATAAAAGTAATTCCCCAAAGAGTATACCTTTGACTAGTTTACAGAAACCAATTCAGGATTTACAGAGGAAAATAAATAAATAAACTGAAAAAACGACTAGTCTTCCTTTGTTCAGCTTAATGTTTAAAATTTGAAAGACTTAGGAATTAAGTTTTAGTGATTCATGTGGATGGCAATTCGCTTTTTTTGTTTTTCACTTGGAACAGTTGAAGTGTATATCTCTATTCCATTTTATATGGTTCACTCCAATGGTCCAGTACATTGTTAATGTCATGAACAGTAATATGCCAACTAGAAGTTCTTGGATTTCCACGGTAATCGTGAGCAGTGGTAGATCAATGAAATTAACAGACAACTCAAAAATATATTTTTATTAAATAAACAGTGTTAATATTCCTAGACAAGATTTAAAAATTTTTTTGAGATTATTTTTGTGATGGTTGTTTTTGACCAGAACTAACATAACAAGTTGGAGAAGCATAATATTGGTCTTCTATATTCTATGATTCCATAGACTTGTTTTACTTGTTTTGAACTTTCCTATACTTGAGTCTTATCTGATAACAATTCAGGTAGACAATTAAATAGTCAAAGGAGAAGCAACTGGAGAACACGAGTAAAATAGCCTTGATAATCTATACACTAGCTAATCAACTTCCTAATCTTTGAATGTTGATTGGATTCATAGACTGTGAAATGGAGTTCTGTAAAGTTTTCGTAACTAAACCTCAACTTAATTTTGCTCTTCTGTAAAAAAATTGCCCATGTTTGTGAAGTTCAGAAACAAAATACTAAGTTTAAATACACCAGGGTTGACTTAGGTCCCAAAGCAGAAAATGGAACAAGCAGATATTTTAGGAAACAGGCCGAGTGAGCATGGTGCTTATTAGAACTGGTTATCCGCACACCTAAATCTCTCTACCACCCTGAGGATAAATAATTTTGTTCTATGAATCATTTCATTCACTGACTTAGATCAATATAAGTTTATGGGTTCCATCAAAAGATAGATGAAATCATGTTTTCCAAGCACTTCTCTGTTTGTTTTTTTCCTATAGCATTTCATTAATCTGGAACAATGTGAGTTTACTATTAGTTTTGCTTTGATCATTATCCTCATTTTGTGTCTTCTAAAAATAAGTTATATATACAAATACATAAATTGATTTCTATATGTGGAGATATACATCTGTAAATATGTATGTAGATAAAAATATTTTATCAATTGTAGTGAAACCAAGGATTCTAAACATTACCATTTGGGTCAAAGCATGTTGGCTAGGAATTCTTTTTACATTTATAACTTCTTATTTTAAATTTCTGACTCCTTACAAACAGCCATTTTACTTGAAATAGATTTTTTTAACTGAGAAATGACCCCTAGCTGTTAAAAAATATCATATGTTTAACAAGATAAGGCTTTTCAAGAACACATTGTCATCAAAACTCACTAAAACTTTTCCTTGGATAATCTTAGTTATGTATGATTTTTTATTGTCTATCAGAGAAATAACATTGTTTTTTTCAGTTCAGATTTTAAGGTGTTTTGCCATATTGAGTATTGTTTGGTTCTATTTATCTTTGATTTAAATATAATGGGACTGAATATAAATGACCAATCATATTAAATGTGATATACCATGCAATATGGAGCTTCTTTCTTATCTCATACTTTGTTTTACTCTACTACTACTCTACTACGTTTTCCTTTACTTTTTTTCTCTTGTTTTGCTTTTGTTATTTTCTCAATCTGTAAACAAGTCTGTGTGCCCAGCTGAGTTTGTTGAAAGCCTTCGTCCCTGAAGTCCTAAACTACATACAAGAAAGCTATAGAGGAAGGAGTTGGGGATCAGAGGCCATACATGTTAAGACTGCAAGCTATCCTAGATAAATTGAGTAAGTGAGAAGACATAATTCATATGGTGAGATGACATGGGTGGTCAACAATTAGATAAATAAAAGCCTCTAAAACTCGGGTTGACTAAAATCCCAGGAAAGGAAAAAGGCAGAACACACAAAGTAAGTAGAGCCAAGGCAAGCTGTGAACCATTACAGAATTCATCTCCAGCCTCCCTAGGCAGCTCAATAAGTCTTGCTGAGCAGGTGCCTAGGTCTTTGTGTATCAAGGCTCTGCTAGACACTGTTTCCTTAGCCCTTGCATCTCAAATGTTATCTCTTCAATAGAGTCTCTTCAGTATCCCCAAAGCTACAGTTAATATGTTCCTCAATACTTTATCAGTTCCCATTTTATTTTTTCTTTCTAATGTTATTTAGTCAACATTGAGCACCTACAGTGTGCCAGCCGTTCTGGTGAAAGTACCAAATGAGGTATGAAAGAGCTGTCACATGTATCTTTTTTTTTTATTTTTTTTTATTTGAGACAGAGTCTCACTCTTGTTGTCCAGGCTGGAGTGCAATGGCACGATCTCGGCTCATTGCAACTTCTGCCTCCCGGGTTCAAGCGTTTCTCCTGCCTCAGCCTCCCAAGTAGCTGGGATTACAGGTATGCACCACCACGCCTGGCTAACTTTGTATTTTTAGTAGAGACGGGGTTTCTCCATATTGGTCGGGCTGGTCTCAAACTCCCGACCTTAGGTGATCTGCCCGCCTCGACTTCCCAAAGTGCTGGGATTACAGGCGTGAGCCACCGCACCTGCCTATCATATTCTTTAAATCCACTCAATTAGGCTTTAAACCGCTATTCCAAAAGGATGCTAGGAAATTCCTTATCAGTTCTTCTTACTCTTCCATTCCTTCCTAAGATCACACAAGGAGAATTTGCAGTGCTCAGAAGATGGAAGAAAGCTACTGACTGTTCTCTCTGTCATGGTTGTCAGTATCATCATCTTTTCCAAGTTCACAGCAGACCCTGGAAGTCCAGGAACTCTCTCTTTTATGCCACGTGTGGAGGGTGGGTTCTTTGCCCAGATTCAAACTTCTTAGATATACTATCCTCCTATCATACTCTCTTAGGTCTGGCTACCTCTTTAGGGACCAACTATGGTCTGTACTACTGAAGAAACCTACAGGCATCTTTTTCTCTAGCCGGGCATCCCTACCTTGCTACTTTCCTCCCTAAGATATCTGACATAATCTCGTCAGTGATTTTAGGCTTTTTATAAAAGGCAGGCTTCTTCAGGCTACTTTCACATCCTACCAGGCTGTAAACCCTAAGGTGAAGAATTGCAAAGCTAGATTATCTCAGTAAAATGAGAAAAGAAAAAATATATGTGAACCTCTCAAAAATGTATTTGTCAGTCTAAAATGGAAGATAGATATTGTACAAGTGACTATTATACATGAGAAAAATAATTGTAATGCACCCAGAGAATTTATTCCTAGAAGCAAAATAAGTAAGCATGCCAATATTTAGCTACATTTGTGCCCATCATGGCATTACTTACTTACTAAAGCCAAAAACAAAAACAACAACAACAGCAAAAACCAGGAATCAACATTAGTGTTCAACAATGGAAGAGTGGTCAGATAAAGTATGTTTCACATGTACAAGTCTGTACTACATAGGTACATGAGTATCATCAGAATTTTGATATTAACATGAGAAGATGTTCATAATATATTTTAGGTGCAAAAGTAAATTATAAAGAGCAGGAATGGCAAGATACTTTCCAATATTTTACCAGTGGTTATGACTAAGTAGCTTGGTTGGTGGGAATTCAGGAGTTTTCAGTTTTACTGTTTTTGTTCACTTGCATGTTTTCATTTTTTTTTTAATCAAAGAATGTGTATTTTCTTTTAACCATGAAAATAAAAGCAAAAAGAACTATTTTGAATTTCAAAAAAAGAACTAGCAGCTTCTATCTATTGCATTTAACTGTATCAGTCACTTTGAATAAGCATTTTTCATGCATTATTTATATTCTTCTTACCAATCCTGAGAATAGGTATAGAAAGATGGATTTTTTTTCTGTTTATTTCCCCTTTTTTTCCCCATAAGAGAGAGTATTGGATTGGTGGATGGAGAGGCCATGTTTCCTCCTAGGCAGGGTTGCTGTATAGTAACAGATTGCTCACCCATGGGTTGCTCCCCTTCTCTATTCATGTGGTTAGGTGAAGATCTCCTGTCCCCTGTCCACCCAGGCTTTCTTTTATCCTTGTCCTTTTATTAATATCTTAACATGCTTGTCATTGCTTTTAATTTGGGTAGAATAAGGCAATGAAGTGAGCATAAAAAGGCTTTACACGTATGAATGATATGAAGAAATCTAATCTTTTAAAAGATGTATGTTGAGTGATTTCCACACAAACATCAAATTGCTGTATCATAGCCGGGTGTGGTGGCGGGTGCCTGTAGTCCCAGCTACTCGGGAGGCTGAGGCAGGAGAATGGCGTAACCCAGGAGGTGGAGCTTGCAGTGAGCTGAGATTGTGCCACTGCACTCCAGTCTGGGTGACAGAGCAAGACTCCGTCTCAAAAAAAAAAAAAAAATTGCTCTATCAGATTTTGTGGAATTCTTTCACATCCATTTTTTCAACAACAATAGAGTTTTTTTTAATGAAAGCAGTATTGTATTAGTTTTAAATATTTGGTAGTTGTTTCTACATCATTGATGGCATACCTTTCTTCAACAGGTTCTCATCTGCTCAATATTCATGTGAGAGTAGTTCTACTGATTTGTCAGTACACGAGACAATAGCTGCACAAGCAATGAGACATAAAGTGCTAACATCTGTGCCTTATCTGAGAATTTTTAATGCTATTTAAATATATTTTTAAAACTCTTTGGAGTAATGAAATAGATTCTAAAAATTTGTTTTCATATCTTTATATATTTTCTTTGTAATTTCATGCCAGATTTGTGCATGTGCCTTAAACTTATTATGATTTAATTATTTCCCTTAGTAAACACTTTTAGCTAAAAGAAATTTTGAAAAGAAAAATAATTTGTTGTGAAGTGAAATATGATAACCTATCAGGATCAAGGAGCTAATATGTGATGATATTTAGTATTTTACAAATACAAAACTGTGTAAGCAGTACTTCTGGATGGCATTAAATATAAAGCTAAGCAATCAACACTTATTCATAAGACAACAATTAAGTCATGAGTATTAGGACATGTCTTTGCAAAAGTGATCCTTCTGTGGATCTTGGGGTTGAGAATTTTACTTCAGGTGGTTATCAGTAATATAGAAATAGATCATTTACTTGATTAAAGCTTCTTTTCTAAGTCTTTTTTTTGAGACAGTCTTGCCCTGTCGCCCAGACTAGAGTGCAATGGTGCTATCTTGGCTCACTGCAACCTCCGCCTCCCGGGTTCAAACAATTCTCCTGCCTCAGCCTCCTGAGTAGCTGGAATTACAGGCATGCGCCACCATGTCTAGCTAATTTTTGTATTTTTAATAGAGACGGAATTTCACCATGTTGGCCAGGCTGGTCTCGAACTCCTGACCTCATGATCTGTCTGCCTCGGCCTCTCAAAGTGCTGGGATTACAGGCATAAGCCACCGCACCCGGCCCTTTTCTAAGTCTTTTTAATCTTTAATGTCTAAGGCTAAATTATATATTAAATTAGTATTACTTTTTATTAAATTTGTATATTATTTTACAAAATAGTATTTTTTGTAATGCACAGCCTGATTTTGTCTACTCATTGTATGTTTTTCTGATACAAATACCCTCTCCTTTTTAATTTTGCCCCTCTCTTATTCCATGAGGTTCTGATGAGACTGCTATTCACAAAAGGAACTGGGTTATATAGCAGAGTTGTGACGTAACTGATGTCTGGCTATGATTTGGAAGTACATGTAACCTAAAACAAGTGAGTTAGAGCTTTTGATGAGATATACACAGACAATGGGAAACAGAAAATAAGTTCATGATACTGTCCCAATCATGTCATCTGCCAAAAGACAGGACTCGCCTTAGTAGAAGAGGAGGAAACCATAAAGAGAAGTAAAACTGCCAAATTCAGAGTGCTGATAATCTGATTGTTTGATGTGTGATGCAGGTACCACCCCCAACTTTCCCAGTTGTGTGAGTCAGTTACTTTCTCTCTTTTCTTCTTCTTTCTTTTCTTCCTTGTTTCTTCTTTCTTCCCTTTCCTTTCCTGCCCTGCCCTTCCCTTTTTGTTTAAGCTAGTTTGACTTTTGTTCATATCATTTGCAAACAAAATGTTATTTGGCCTCAGGGAATGGGCCTAGCATGTGTGAGTTTTCCTTAGGAACAGCTGGCTTGAAAGAAAGCTTTAAGTAAACAGAAAAATAGGATGATCCCCTCTGTAGATGTAGTCATTCCCCTTCCTTAGTAAAGCCAGGGTTTATTCAGTGAGCTTATTTTCAAAATGTCAGAATAGGGCAAGTATGGAAGTGTAATACATGTATTAATAATGTGGATTTCTCACTTACCACCAGTGACCTAGCTACTAGTAATGTGACTGTCTAGTTTTCTGAAATCACTGATAGGCAAAGGACCCCTGTTATGAAATGATAGTTCTAAGAGATCAGCCAGCTACCTGGTTACAGGTCAATTACACTGGCCTTTTTCCATTTTACAAAAGTGAGCAATCTGTAGTCTCTAAAGTACTTCTTTTGGATTTGGTTGTGTTTTCCAGCCTGTAAGGTTTCTGTCAAAGCCTTTACTCATGGGTTTACTGAATGTTCTAAACAGTGTTGCAATATTCCACTCAAATCACTCTCATCTTCTAATTTACTTTACAGTGGAAAAAAAGCTGTACAAGGGACTAATACTTGTTTGTTCTTTTCATGTACCCCATTTTTAGTGGAGTTTCATTTAGAATATGTGGTTATCATTTAGCATTATCAGGTTATCACTTAGAATTATTTTATTGGTGAATAAAGAATTAAGCCAAATATAGTATTATGTCCGGAATTGGTGGGTTCTTGGTTTTGCTGACTTCAAGAATGAAGCCGCGGACCCTCACGGTGAGTGTTACAGTTCTTAAAGATGGTGTGTCCAGAGTTGGTTCCCTCAGATGTTCAGATGTGTCCGGAGTTTCTTCCTTCTGGTGGGTTCGTGGTCTCGCTGACTTCAGTAGTGAAGCTGCAGACCTTCGCGGTGAGCCTTACAGCTCTTAAAGGCAGCGCATCTTGAGTTGTTTGTTCATTCTGGTGGGTTCTTGGTCTTGCTGGCTTCAGGAGTGAAGCTGAAGACCTTCATGGTGAGTGTTACAGCTCTTAAAAGTGGCGCAGACCCAAAGAGTGAGCAGCAGCAAGATTTATTGTGAAGAGCAAAAGAACAAAGCTTCCACAGCCTGGAAGGAGACCCAAGTGGGTTGCTGCTGCTCGCTTGGGCAGCCTGCTTTTATTCTCTTATGGGACCCCCGCCCCCAACATCCTGCTGATTGGCCCATTTTACAGAGAGCTGATTGGTGCATTTACAAACCTTGAGCTAGACACAGAGTGCTGATTGGTGCATTTACAATCCTTTAGCTAGGCACAAAAGTTCTCCAAGTCCCCACTAGATTAGCTAGACACAAGCACTGATTGGTGCATTTACAAACCTTGAGCTAGACACAGAGTGCTGATTGGTGCGTTTACAATCCTTTAGCATTTACAATCCTCTGGCTAGACATAAAAGTTCTCCAAGTCCCCACCAGATTAGCTACATACAGAGTGCTGATTGGTGCATCCACAAACCCTGACCTAGACACAGAGTGCTGATTGATGCATATACAATCCTCCAGCTAGACATAAAAGTTCTCTAAGTCCCCACTCAATTCAGGAGCCCAGCTGGCTTTGCCTAGTGGATCCTGCGCAGGGGCCATGGGCAGAGCTGCCCACCAGTCCGCGCCACGTGCCCGTACTCCTCAGCCCTTGGGAGGTCAGTGCGACCAGGTGCCACAAGCAGGGGGCGGCGCCCATCAGGGAGGCTCGGGCTGCACAGGAGCCCTCCGGGCGGGATGGGGGGTGCTTGAGCATGGAGGGCTGCAGGTCCTGAGCCCTGCCACACGGGGAGGCGGCTGAGGCCCGCGTGGGCAGGTAATGCTGAGGGACCCCGCACATCCTCTGCAGCTGCTGGCTTGGGTGCTAAGCCTCTCACTGCTTGGGGCCGGCAGCACCAGCTGGTCACTCCAAGGGTGGGGCCTGCTGAGCCTGCGCCCACCCGGAACTCATGCTGGCTGGTGAGCGCCAGGCGCAGCCCAGGTTCCCACCATTCCCTCTCCTTCCACACCTCCTGGCAAGCAGAGGGAGCCAGCTCCGGCCTCAGCCAGCCCAGAGAGGGGCTCCCACAGTGCAGGGCTCCACACTGAAGGGCTCCTCAAGCGTGGCCAGAGTGGACACTGAGGCCAAGGAGGCGCTGAGAGCAAGCGAGGGCTGCTAGCACATTGTCACCTCTCAGTATGTGTAGGAAAGGATTGAAAAGAAGATTTGAAAACCAAATCTTGAGAAGGGCAGAAACCAGGGAGGCTTTGCTTATGTCTGAGGAAGGTGTATCAGATGACTCAATTCTAACTAATCTTGGTTTCTGAATGTGTGTGTTTGTGTTAACCATGACTGGAATTTATGGAGGAGAGAATCTGTTTGACTTAGTTTGGGTAGTGTGCTCACGTTTGTGATCAGAGTGGGAAGGGGTCTATTATCCGAATAGCAGTATATAAGTATATTAAATGGTATAAAGTCCAGAGCAGAACTGTAGTAGCTACATTTTTGCTTTCTCAGTGTGTTGCTTTTGTGCCCCCTCTCTCCTCTACTGCCCACCTTCTAATAGTAAGTCTACTAGCTATATGTTGGTACATATGATCAAAGCTGTTGGTAATCATATCTGCCTGCTTTTAGGGTTACTTTTCTAATGTAAAAATAACAGATACCCTATATCTGCCATATTGAAATCCATTACCAGCTGTAGACACCTCTGCAGAGATAATTATAATGAAACATATTTTCATATTTTTGATAAATGTTAATGATTTGTGAAGTGCAGTAAAGTAAGACATTGACTTATGAAAATGACTTCGTTTTGTGAAGTAATGCAGTGTTGTAATATTCATTAATTTTATGGAGATGATGAGTATGGAGCAAGGCCAAATGTTACTGATGGTATAATCTATAAACAAAGGTTTAACAGTTGTTCAAATAGATTAAAAATAGGAGCCAAAGTTAGTCTTTTTATGGAGCACAGAAGGAGGCATGCTGAAGACAAGTAAAAAAGCCATAGCAATTAGTGTTGTATTTATGTTTCAAGTATATGTAATCACATATCCAATCATTTAAGTCCTTAGGGAACCAAATGTCTGCAAGGCAGCAATCTTATACCTTTATCATTCTATCTGTCCTCTAGTTAGGGATCTGATAGCAGTGGTTTAGACTTTTTTGTTTTTTCTTTTTGAGACGTAGTCTCTCTCTGTCACCCAGGCTGGAGTGCAGTGGCACGATCTTGGCTCACTGCAAGCTCTGCCTCCTGGGTTCATGCCATTCTCCTGCCTCAGCCTCCCAAGTAGCTGGGACAATAGGCACCCATCATCACGCCCTGCTAATTTTTTGTATTTTTAGTAGAGACGGGTTTTTACCATGTTAGCCAGGATGGTCTCGATCTCCTGACCTTCTGATCCACCTGCTTCGGCCTCCCAAAGTGCTGGGGATTACAGGTGTGAGCCACCGTGCCCGGCCAGCAGGGGTTTAGACTTTGAGCAAGAGCTTTACCTTTAGTCATAGCTGAGTTTGATTACTGGATCTACCATATTCCAACCATGTAACCCTGGATTAGTCATTGAATCTAATCAAGCTTATTAAATTCTTTTTAAAAAAATACTTGTAATACACTTTATTTTTATTATATGTTTAAGTTATACAACAAAGTTTGATATGCATATCCATAGTGAGATTATTACCACAGTCACACAAATTAACATGTTGATGGTCTCACATAGTTATCTAAAATCTACTCTTAACACATTTTTACTATACCATATAATATTATTCACTATAGTGAATTATTTATTAGAATAATGTATTTCACATAATTATTAATACAACTTTGTACCATTTGACCTCCATTTTCCCATTTGCTTCCCCCCACTCCATCCCTGGCAACCACCACTCTACTTACTGCTTCCTTGTATTCAAGTTTTTTTTTTTTAATTTTTTTATTTGGTTTAGTTTGATTTTTTAGATTTCACTGTTAGAATGACAGCTATCAAAAAGACAAGAGATAGCGAGTGTTGGTGAGGGTGTGGAGAAAAGGAAGTCCTTGTGCACTGTTGGTGGGAATGTAGATTGGTGCAGCCATTGTAGAAAACAATATGGAGGTTCTGAACGAATTCAAAAATAGAACTACCATATAACCCAGCAATCTCTCTTCTGGGTCTATACCCAAAGGAAATGAAACCACCATTTTGAAAAGATATTAAATATCTGCACCTCCATGTTCATCACAGCATTATTCACAGTAGCCAAGGTATGGAAACAATCTGTTTCCATCAATGGATGACTGGATAAAATGTAGACATATATATATACACAACGGAATATTATTCAACCTTAGAAAAAGGAAATCCTCCTATTTGTGACAATATGAATGAACCTAAAGAACAGTTTGCTAAGTGAAATAAGCCAGACACAGAAAGAAAAATACTGTGTGATCTCACTTATATGTGAAAGCCTATTAGATTCTCAATGTGTGATTTGGAAATAGCATTGCCTCTTTGGGTTGCCTGAGAATTAAATGTAATAATATAAGTAAATTTTGAATCACAGTCTTCAGCATGTAATATTTAAATGAATTGTAGCTATAACATTGGTTATTCATTAAACACTTGTTGGATTGTCAGGTCAATGACTTCTGAGGACTTCTTAGTTAAAGCCACACTCTTTGTCAAAAGAATTGTATCAATGAATGTAAAAATTTTCAGTATCTAAATTGCAAGAATAACAACTAACATTTGTTTTATATTGTATTTTTAGATGCATACACTTATGAAAACTCAGTGTATTATTGAATCGGAGCACATATTTGCCACATAAAATATTATTGTTTTAAAGGAGTCCAACAATTTAATAAACTAGGCAGATGAACTATTGAATTACTACAGTGAAAATTTAGTTTCACTGATTATTCTACTCACTGAAGTAACAGATGCTAAAAATACTAGCAAATACTTTAATACTGATGGAACTAATTGATATATCAAATTATTCAGTGGATCATCAGCTGATGTGATTATACATGCAAGACATAAGCTATATTTAAAAATGTCTACTGATTCTATATGCTTCATCTCACACATTAGCATCAAATGCACATTTTTTAATTTGAATGTAACAGTGGGAAGCTGTTTAAGTAGGTCACTCATAATTGAATTTGATATACGGTGTTTATTTTTCTTGTTCTACTAGTCAGTGAACATCTTGGTTGACTGGTCATAAAAAATAATGAAACTGAAACCCTGCATGCATTTACCTAGAAATGCAGTGTTACCATAAGAAAATACCAATAACAGAGAGAGTTCAGATGATAACCTGGTTTGCTGACTACATGTTATTGTCATTGTTACTGTATATTGAAAAAGGAAAATTAATGAGTATAGGAGACACTTGTGTAATATGAACTAGGTTAACTACCTTTGGGAGAATTATCAACAGAAATTATAGTGATAGGAAAAGTTTTAGCCTTGTTCATGGATACTTCTGAGAAAGAATCTTGAAATTTTCAAAGTTCTTATCACAGAATTTGATTTTCAAATCACACATTCCACACTCTTCCCTCCCCACCTTCAGACTCATGCCAGTTAAGAAAAATGCTCTTTGTCTTTGTGAAGGTAAGGATCACTTCATTTTGAACCAATGATGGTGTCAAAATGAGCTGGTAGTGATAATAATAGATCACATTTATTAAATATTTACTATATGCCAGACACCATGTCAGTACAATTAAAAGAGAGAGAAAAAAAGATGGAAATCCATGCCTTCATGGAGCTTATATTTTCCTGGGAGAAGATAGATATATCATGTTATTTGGTCCATCTGTTTAACTTTATGAAGTAAGCACCAGTGTTATCTCCATCTATTTTTGAGGAAATTGAAGCATGAAGAAGTTTAGTATTTGCCTTATGTCACATGGCTAGTTAAGGACTGAACCAGCTGCAATGTCCAGCTATTCCATGATAACTCTGTTTTTCCTAGTCTTTTGGTTCTTATTTTGACAATCCTATGCATTTCTTAAACTGAAGCTATCTACTTGCTGCCAGCCTTCATAACTACATACCTTCCCTTCTTTCTTATAATACAGATGAACTGAGTACCTTTCTGAGGCAAGTTCCCCCATTTATACCCAAGATTCCCTTGTCCTTGTTTAGTCAAAGGACTTATCCTAACAGTTCCTCCTTTTCTTTTTCTACATTGGTGTTTCCTCTCTCTCCACTGGATAATTCTACATCAGAGGGCATACATGCTATTATTTTTCCATTATTTAACACTCACTCTCTCCTCACCACCACCGCCTTCATCTCCCTGTCTCTCTCTCTCTCTCTGGCACTCCACTTTCCCCTATAGCTACTGGCTCACTTATCTGCTCTTTGATAAAAGCAAAATTCTTCATGAGTTATCCATATTAACTGTATTCAATCACTCTTCCATTTATTTTTTAAAAGCATTTCATTCAGGCCTTTACTCCCCTTTTATCTCATGGAATTTTTTTGGTCTGGTTTCAAGGTCCAGATTCTGTTTTCAGTATTAGAAAATACATTTTAAAGACCATTGAGTATCCTTACTTTCATATATGGTAAGCCTTAATGACCATGGCATGAGCTTACTAACACACATATATATTACATTTACTCTGGATGATGCAGCAGTTTAATCTGCATCTTTAGCATATTTATATTCAGTATGCATCCAATGGAAGGGCATAAATGGTAAGAAGAAATTGAGATGTTGACAGAACCATCTTACTGCCAGCTGCGGCAAATTAGATGTTTTGCCACATAGGTAAAAAGGAGGAGGACAGCCTGTACCATTTAACTTTAAACTAGCTGGTGTATGGTGATCAAGAAAAGCCCTGAATCTCTGGGATAGAACTGTTGGAGATCCTATGTTGCTTTTGTAAGTTGTAAGTAAGGGGTGAGGTTCATGATCTTTACTAATCTCTTCCTGGGTATGTGGAGAAGCCCAAGGGTTTATCTTATTGTTCCATCTGTAGCTGCTGAAATAAAATGGCTGAAGAAAGGAGACAGAAAGCCAAGAGGGATTATTAATTACTCTTTTGTCTTTCTCCTTTGCAACCAACCAGTCACCAAACCCAGGAGAGACTGATATTTTTTGATCTTCTCCCCTTCTCTGAATTCCCATTGCCAGTACTTTACACGCTTAATCATATCCCACTGAGTTTATTACAACAGTGCGTATCTTGCTTCCCAGTCTGACACTCTTCACATGGCTCAGAGTTTTCTTTCTAATGCACACACACAGACACACAGACACACAGACACACACACACACACACACACACACACACTCTGAAACTACTCTGCAGCTTAAAAGTTTGTAGTGACCTCTTATGGCCATTAGGATATAGTCCAGATATTTTAACAGGAAATGGTTAAAAACAAAGTTCAAAAAGTTATATTTTTGCCATCATTATTATTTTGCTGTTTGGGAATACTGTATGCATATTCCTTTAAAAGGAATTTTTTTAGGGCAGACCCCCACTTTCCCCATATCTCAGGCATGGACTTTGTCTGTCTACTAGATAATCCTCCACTGCCCCATACTCATAGGAGCAATGGTATATGCATTTCAACCTGCCTGTAATTGTCTGTTGTCAGGAAGTATGTCTTATTTACTGGTTTATCTTCAGGGCACAGGAGCATTCCTAATACACAATAAATATATCTTTAGATAAATATTCTTCAGTTTAAATAAACATTCCATCTTTTCTCAAATTGCCAAGTATTGGCATCTCACATTTTTATAGAAACTTGGGAATAACGTTGGGGACTGTCTTACCAGTATTTGCATTTCTCTTCTGACATCAGGCCTCTTTGAACACCTCAGATAACAGCGATCTCACTACCTCATAAGAAAGTCTCTTTCTTTATACGATACGATAAGCTTTATTATTTATAATCCTCTTTTTGTGTTTAACCAAAATTTACTTATAAATTCCTATTCTAATTTGTAATACTTTAGCCCCATTGAACCCCATCTACTCTTCTTGTAGACATCATACGTAATGGAAGATTTTGACTCTCCGTGTATCTTGCTGCTGTAATAGGTTTTATATTGTGGAGAAAAAGACATTATTCAGACGCTTCTTTTTATAATATCCATACATAATGGAGGGGGATATTCATTGCGGTATGACCCAATTAGACAAAAGCATTTAAACAGCTTATTCATCACTAAATAGTAAAAGATTTTGCTAATGGAAGTAGTGCACAGTAATGTGTCATATACTTCAGGAAAATGTAAAAGTCTAAAAACTGAGCATTCTGTTTTCCATGATGAAAGATTTAGTCATCCTAAAATACAGTGACTTTTTGCAATTTTGTTACAACACCAAACTGAATAGAGATTATTCTTTTAACAACATATGACCGTAACACTAAAATTTGGCTCCAGAAAACCTGATACTCTGGTTTGCAAAATACTGCCTTATAATATATGCTTTTCATAACATACTGGAAGTCATATTTCTTATGTTTCATAAAGAATATAAATAACTTCTGTTTTCTTAGTCATTATCTTAAAGAATCTGACTGGCAAATGATATATACTTGTAATTTATGTTTAAGTATCAAGCAGTATCACTTACAATGTCTAGAATTGAGGTAATTATGTAGTTAAGGTCTCATATATGTGACCACAGAAAATCCACAGAAACCTAATTTTATTTCATAGATATGGAAACATCAACTATTTGAAAATTAAATAACATATCTTTGTTTATATATTAAAGTAAGTATAAGCTGTGTTCTTATTCAGTGCCTTATTTTTTGAGTGAATAACTTGCTTTAAAATTGTATAGTGAAAATGTAAATCACATTTAGTCAAATCTCTGATACATTTACATTGTTTGCCTTTTGGATTCCAGATCAGCCCTAGGATCAGTTATTCCTTCATTCCAAGAGTGCTTATTATCAGCTACCATATTGACCCATCAGTGATAAGACTTGAGGATATAAGAGGTCCAGATAAAAATGGATAGGGATATGAGAGAAGAGTAAAGTAGGTATCAGAGAAAGAGAAAAAAATAAATAATTTTATTTATTATTAAAACTCTGTATTAGTAAATTCTGTATAGCCATCAGTACCAACAAATGGCACTTTAGACATGGAAAATAGGGGGAATACACAACAGTCCACCAATGATATATAGATAAGATAGATATCACTTTCCCTTTAAAGTCACGTCCCCTACATTGATGCCAATATAATAGGACTATCCACAAAATATTTAGAATGGAAATCTTCTGACATGCATGAAAAAATTAATAAAACTAAAGCACTGTAGCAAAATGTAATCAGACAGAGAGTATAATTTCTCTGAACTTGAAGACAAGGTCAGGTAAATTTTAAATTCAACACAATGATTGAAAGTAGCCGTTGATAGACGAACCAGACCCTAAGGTAACGGGTTATAAATGTGTTGCTAACCAAGCCAAGAAGGGAATTTAGTTTTTTGTTTGTTTGTTTGTTTGTTTTAAGATAAACACTTGCAAACTTGGGGGCACTTTCCAGAAAGGGAATAACAGAATAACAGCTATTTGAGTTATTGAAAATATCAAAAGCGTGAACATCTTGACTGAAACAGAATCACGGAAAGCATAACTTAACTAATTCTGTTGGATCTGACTGTCTAGCAGGAGATTGTTAATGAGCTGTCCATGGATTCTGGAAAATCAGAGTCAGAGAGGAAATATTCAGGTCAGCCTAAAGAGAATGATGGAACAAGGGAATTAGGAGGGCACATATTTCCAGTTATTGTGGAAGTACAGCTTTCTCTGAATCATGAAATTCAGTTTAGTCATTGTTTGGCTAAAACATACCTCTAGATAAAAGCCTCAAAGTGGCAGTCTATAGACTAAAGATAGCCCCCAGGTCTTGTTTGCCCTACACTGTATTTTAGAAATTAAGTCTATTAAAAATGAACATATTTTAAATTAGAAATCTAGATGCTCAGCTTCTTTCTAAAAAATTAGATCCAGAAGCCCAGCTCAAATTCCAGCAAGGCAACAGTCAAGTTGAACATGATTTTGCTACTTCACCATGGTTTTTAATATAGCTTATTTTTCCCCAACATTGAAGCTTTAGTGTCAGTTCTTATTTTTTATCATGCTTATACTATGCATTTTCCTTATGTATTAGTCCATTCTCCCACTGCTATAAAGAACTGCCTGAGACTGGGTAATTTACAAAGGAAAGATGTTTAATTGACTCACAGTTCAGCATGACTGGGGGGGCCTCAGAAAGTTTACAGTCATGCAGAAGGGGAAGCAAACACGTCTTCTTCACATGACAGCAGAAAGCAGAAGTGCTGTGCAAAGGGGGAAAAGCCCCTTATAGAACCATCAGATCTTGTGAGAACTCACTCACTAACAGCAGCATGGGGGTAACTGCCCCCATGATTCAGTTACCTCCCATCAGGTCCTTCCCATGACATGTGGGGATTATGGGAACTACAATTCAAGATGAGATTTAGGTGGGGACACAGTCAAACGATACTACCTTATAACAGTAGAAAACTATTTTTCTATTTTCTTGTTTCTATCTGGAGTAGAACATAAAATCAGTTAAAAAATAGACATCGTATTTCATGTGTTGCAAAAGAACAGAGAATATGTATATTTTCATTGAAGTGTAAAAATTTTCTACCTAATTTTATGAAAATCCTCAGCCAATTTACTACTTTTCCATTATTTTTCTGGTTTCCATGGACATTTAATTATGTGTCTTATGTTCTAGAGTCAACAATCAAAAAAATATTTTTAAGTCTTATTTAAAGCCCACCAAACTAACGCCATTGGCAATTTGGTGTCCTACTGTCTACTTAACGGAAATAGGTAGCTTTACTACTGGAGTAAGTAAGCACTAGCAGTAAATCATCCTGTTGTTTAAAACTGTAAGTTTGCACATTATGATTTGATCATCTGAAACCAAAACAATCCTGCATAAGTTGAAAGAAAATAAATTTCTGTGAAGATGAGAATCAGGTACTAGATTGCAACCACTCTACTTAAACTCTACAGTAGCTAACTTTTCTGTTCCTTGGCATTTCTTTCTCTCCCTTTCTTTCTTTTTTCCTCCTTCCCAGCTTTAATGAGGTATACATAAGAAATAAAAATTATATATATTTAAGATATACAATGTCATGTTTTGATTTATGTGTACATTGTGAAATAATTACTACCATCAAACTAATTAACATATTCATGACCTCAGATACTTACCATTTTCTTTGTGTGGTGAGAACATTTAAGATCTACTCTCAGCAAATTTCGAGCATACTATACAGTATCATTAACTATATTGCCCATGCTGCACATTTGATTTCTAGAACTTATTCAATCTACTGATACTTTGTGCCCTTTGACTTGCAACTCCCCATTTCCCCCACACCCCAGTGCGTGACAACACCATTATTCTCTGTTTCTACGAGTTTGATTTTTTTAGGTTCCATATATAAGTGAGATTAACCAGTATTGTATTTGTCTTTCTGTGCCTGGTTTATTGCACTTAGCATAATGTACTCCAGGTTCATCCATATTGCCATGAATGGAAGGATCTCCCTTTTTTGGCTCAATAATATTCCACTGTATGCGTGTGTCTAATCACATTTTTTAATATATTTATCTGATGATCTACACTTAGGTTGATCCCACATCTTGCATGTTGTGAATAGTGCCACAGTGAAAGAGATACAGGTTGTGCATGCCAAGTCCAAAAGTCCAAAGTTAAAAATACTCCAAAATTTGAAACTTTTTGAGCACCAACATGATACTCAAAGGAAATGCTCATTGGAGAATTTTGGATTTCAGATTTTCAGATTTGGAATGTTCAACCCGTAAGTATGTACGGCTTTAGTATTCCTTATCTGAAATACTTGGGATCAGAGGTTTGTCAAATAGAAATTTGATTTGTTGTTGTTATTGTTGTGGGGGGGTTGGATTTTGAAATATTTGCATTATATTTACCAGTTGAGTATCTCTAATCTGAGAATCTGAAATGCTCCAGTGAGTATTTCCTTTGAGTATGATGTTGGCACTCAAAAAGTTTTGGATTTTGGAGAATTTTGAGTTTCAGATTTTCAGATTAGGGATACTCAAAACTGTAAAGCAACTATTCCAAATAAAAAAAAAAATCTGAAATCTGTAACACCTCTGGTCCCAAGCATTTCAAATCTGATATAGTCAACCTGTACCGATTTCATTTGCTTTAAATGTGTACCCAGAAGTGAGATTGTTGGATCATGTGGTGGTTATATTTTTATTTTTATGTAGAGTCTCCATAGTGTTTTCCATAATGGCTATACCAACTTACATGTCCACCAACCATGCCCAAGGGGACCCCTTCTCTCCACACTCTCACCAACAAATATTATCTCTTGTCCTTTTGATAATAGCCATCCTAATGGGTCTGAGGTAATGTCTCATTATAGTTTTGATGTGCATTTCTCTGATAGTTAGTGATGTTGAGAATTTTTCCATACACGCGTTAGCAGTTTGCATGTCTTCTATGGATAAATGTCTTTTCAGATCCTTTTCTTGTTTTTAAATTGGGTTACTTATTTATTGCTGTTGTATTATTTGAGTTCCTTATATATTTTGGATATTAGCACCTTATCATGTATGGTTTGGAAATATTTTCTCTCATTTCTTAAATTGTCTGTTTATACAGTTGATTTGCTTTGCAAAGCTTTTTAGTTTGATGCAATCCCATTTGTATGTTTCTGCTTTTATTGCCTGTGCTTTTGGGGTCATATAAAAAAATTACTGTCTCAACCAGTGTCAAGAAGCTTTGTCTTTATGTTTCCTTTAGTAGTTTTACAGTTTCCGGTCTTATTTTTAAGTCTTTAATCCCTTTTGAGTTGATTCTGCATATAGGGTAAGATAAAGAGCCAATTTTATATTCTTGGATATGGAAAACAATTTTCCCAACACCAGTAAATGAAGATACAGTCATTTCATCATTTTATGTGATTGATACTTTTGTTGGAGATCAATTGACCATAAACGTGTGTTTTTTTTTCTGGTCTCTCTATTCTGTTCCAGTGGGTGGTCTATATATCTGTTTTTATACCAGGGCCATACTATTTTGATTAGTAGACCTTTATGGTATATTAGAAATCAGGTAGTGTGATGCGTCCAGTCAAAATTGATTTAGGAATTCTTTTATCTTATGGTTCCATATGAATTTTAGGATTTATTTTTATTTTTATGAAAAATGCCATTGGAATTTTGGTAGAGATTGCATTGAATCTAAGATTTATTTGGGTAGTATGGACATTTTAACAATTTTAGTTTCAACTCATGAACATAAGGTATTATTATTTTCATTTATTTGTGTCTTCAGTAGTTTTATCAATATTTCATAGTTTACAATGTACAGATTTTTAACATCCTTGGTTAAATTTATTTCTAAGTATTTATTTATTTTTGATGCTATTGTTATTGGGGTTGTAGTTCTGGATTCTTTTTCAAGCAGTTCCTTGTTAGTGTATAGAAACACAACTGATTTTTGCAGGTTGATTTTTTTATCCTGAAACTGAATTTATTTATTATTTCTAGCAGTATTTTGGTAGAATCTTCAAGGACTTCTTTGTGTAAGATCATGTCATCTGCAAACAGAAAATTTTAATTTTTTCCTTCTGATTTGGATGCATTTTATCACTTCCTCTTGCTCAGTTGCTCTGGCAAGGCCTTCCTGTACTGTGTAGGATAGAAATGGCAAGAGTGGGCATCCTGATCTTGTTCCTCATCTTAAAGGAAAGGCTTCAGCTTCTCATCACTGCATCACTGAGTATGATATTAGCTGTGGGCTTATTGTATATGGTCTTTATTTTTTCGAGGAACATTCTTTCTATACCTAATTTGTTTTTTTTATCATGACAAGATGGTGAAATTTGTCAAAATTTTTTTCTGCATTTAAGATCATTGTATACTTTCAAAATCATCAGTTTTTGTTTTTCTTTTCTTAAGACAGAGTCTCACTCTGTCACCCATGATGGAGTGTAGTGTGTGATCTTGACTCACTGCAATCGCTGCCTCCCAGGCTCAGGTGATTCTCCTGCCAGTCTTCTGAGTAGCTGGCATTACATGCACATGCCAACACACCTGGCTAATTTTTTTTGTACTTTTAGTAGAGACGGGGTTTCACCATATTGGCCAGGCTGGTCCCAAACTCCTGACCTCAAGTGATCCACCTGCCTGTGATCACAGGCGTGAGCCACCGTGCCCGGCCAAAATCACCACTCTTAATGTGATATATCATATTATTGCTTTGCAGACATTGAACCATTGTTGCATTTCAGGGATAAGTCCTTATTAACCTTTTATTGTTCTTTTTAACTTGTTTTGCTAGTATTCTGATGAAGATATTTGCATCTATGTTCATCAAGAATATTGTCCTGTAATTATTTTTCTTGTAGTGTCCTTGTCTGGCTTTGGTATCAGGGTAATATTACATCATAAAATGAGTTTGGAAGTGTTCCTTCCTCTTTGGCTTTTGGGAAGAGTTTGAGAAGGATTGACATACATTCTTTTTTAAAAAAATTTTATTATTATTATACTTTAAGTTATTCTTATTTAAATGTTTGTTAGAATTTACCAGTAAAGTGATCAGATCCTAGGATTTTCTTTATTGGGAGGGTTATTGGGAGGGTCCATTCAGATTTTCTGTTTCTTCATAATTCAGTATTGATATCATGTATATTTCTAGGAATTTTTTTCATTTTTTCTATGTTATCCAAATTGTTGTGTAGTTATTTATAGTTGTCTCTTATGATCCTTTGTATTTTTGTGGTATTAGTTGCAATGTCTCTTCTCTCATTTATAATTTTGAGTCTCTTTTTAGTGGGTATAGCTAAAAGTTTGACCATTTAGTTTATCTTTGCAGAAAACTAATTTTAGTTTCATTGATCTTTACTATTGTCTAGTGTATTTTTTTGATTCTTTCATCTTTATTATTTCATTCATTCTGTTAACTAGCAGCTTAGTTTATTCTTGTTCTGGTTCCTTGATCATTAAAGTTAGATTGTTTATTTGAGATGTTTCTTTTTCTTAATGTAGGCACTTATTGATACAGACAGGAAGCAGAGAAACACTAGATAGAAAAGAGTGGGGTCCCTGGCAAGGGTTCCACCCTCAAGCATAGACCTATGGCCCTAAATTAGAACTTCACATCTCCATTTTCCCACCAGAATTTTGCCTTTTGGCCTGCCATGCCCCTGTCCTGTTCCCATAAAAACCCCAAACTCCAGTGGCAGAGGAGCAGAGTAGCACGGCAGAGGAGGGAAGAGAGAAGCATCTAAATGTCGAGAGGAGAAGAAGCAGCTAGATATTGGAGACTATGGTTGGAGTGGAATTTGCGTGGGGACGGCTGAACTCCAGGGGAAGACTGCTTTCCCATTCCATTTCCTTTCCAGCTCCCCATCCTGCTGAGAGCCACTTCCATCGCTCAGTAAAATCTCTGCATTCACCATCCTTCAAGTCCATGTGACCTCATTCCTCTTGGGTACCAGACAAGGACCCAGGTATGGGTGCATGAGGCTGTCACACTGACTCTCCAGTGAGCTGTTTAACACTTACGCAATCCGTGGACAGCAATGTTAAAGAGCATGCTGTAGCACACGCCATTTGGGGTTCCAGAGGTTGCGGGCAACCGCTGACGCTGCTGGGGCCTGTACAGGGTTCGTTCCTGCCAGTGCCCAAAGGCACTCGCCCCAGCCCTTGCACATGCTCACCTGCATGCTCCCCCTCCCATAAGGGATTTGAGCACTGCAGACTAAGGGAGCCACACCTTCAAGGGTCAAGGGAACTATCCCACCTCATTATCACTATAAACTCTTAGTTTAGAACTGATTTTATTGAATATCAGAAGTTTTGGTATGTTGTTTTTTTTAGTCTCCATTGTTAAAAGATATTTTGTGATTTCCTTTTTGATTATTCTTTGAGGAGTATGTTTTATTTTCACATACTTGTGAAATTTCCAGTTTTTCTCCTGTTAGTGATTTCTAATTTTATACCATTGTGATAGGAAAATATATTTTATATGATTTTAGTCTTCTTAAATTTGTTGAGACTTTTTTTGTAGCCTAATAATATCTAACCTGGAGAATGTTTTGTGTGCTTTGGAAAGAATGTATATTCTGCTCTTGGATAGAATGTTCTGTATATGTCTGTTAAGTTTATATGGTCTATAATATTGTTCAAATACCATATTTCTTTATTGATGTTTTATGTTTGGATGATCCATTGTTGAAAGTGGGGTACTAAAGTTCCTTACTGTTATTGTATTGTCTATTTCCCTTCAGTTGTGTAAATTTTTGCTTTATATACTTAGGTAATCTGACTTAGAGTGCATAAATATTTACAATTGTTAATTCTCCTGATGAATTGACCACTTTTTCATTATATAGTAACATTGTTTGTCTTTCTATGACAATTTTTGACTCAAATTGTCTATTGTCTGATACAGCTGTATATATCCTACTTTCTTTTGTTTGCCACTTGCGTGGAATATCTTTTTGCATCTCTCCACTTTCAGCCTTCATGTGCCTTGAAAGCTAAACTCAGTCTCTGTAGGCAGCACAGAGTTGGATCTGTTTTTTAAATCCATTCAGTTACTCCATACCTTTTGATTGGAGTATTTAATCTATTTACAGTTAAAGCAGTTATTAATGGGTAAGGACATTTGTTGTCATTTTGTTAATTTTTTTCTGATGGTTTTGTGGTTCCTTTGTGTTTTTCTTCCTCTCTTGCTTTATTCCCGTATGATGTGATAATTTTTTCGTGGTAGTAGGCTTTGATTCTTTTCTCTTTATGTTTGGTGTATCTATTACAGAGATTGACTTTGTGGTTACTATGGAGCTTACATAAAATATTTTATAATTGTAATGGTCAGTTTAATGCAGATAACATTTAATTTCAACCATATGCAAAAATTCTACACTTCCCTTCCCCTGACTCTTTTTTTTTTTTTTTTTCTTTTCGAGACGGAGTCTCTCTTTGTCACCCATGCTGGAGTGCAGTGGCATAATCTCAACTCACTACAACCTCTGCCTCCTGGGTCAAGAGATTCTCCTGCCTCAGCCTCCCAAGTAGCCGGGATTACAGGCATGTGCCACCACGTCTGGCTAATTTTTTTTTATTTTTAGTAGAGATGGAATTTCACCATGTTAGCCAGGCTGGTCTCAAACTCCTGAGCTCAAGTGATCCACCCGCCTTGGCTTCCCAAAGTGCTGGGACTACAGGCATGAGCCACCATGCCCGGCTGCTTCCCCTGACATTTGATGATGAAGTGTGACAAAAAAGGTGTCACACTGTACACCTTTTGATATTGTGGATTTGTTAACAAATTATTGTAGGTATAGATATTTTTAGTACTTTTGTTTTTTAACTTTTATATAGATTTAAATGTTTTACACACCACCATTACAATAAAAGAATATTCTGAATTTTACTATATTCCTACACCTTATGGGGTGTTTTATGTTTCTTTGTATGTTTTCATACTATTAATTAACATCCTTTTGTTTCCATTTTAAGCACTTCCTTTAGCATTTCTAGTAAAGCAGGTCTAATGTTGATGAACTCTGTCATCCTTTGTGTTGGAAACAGGGTCTGGCTGAGTGCTTGTGTCTTTAGGTTTATGCCTGGAGCCTGTGTCCACTGAGTGGACCTGGACTGGAGTTTGCATCCACATGGGCAGGCTTGGCACCTGGATCCACGGAGACCATCCTAGTGCTGGAGTAGGCCTGAAGACTAGATCCCTGGAGGCTAGCCTGGAACCTATGGCTGTGAGAGTCAGCCTGGAACTGGGATAGGCCTGGAGCCTTGATCTGCAGGGACACACCTGGGGCCATATGGGCTGGCCTGATGCTAATATGGGCCTGGATCCTGGGTTCATGATCCTGGAGCCTGGGGACTCAGTTGTGGTCCTTGAGCTTAGTGCCCCAGGGTCCAGCCTGGAGCCTTGGTGTGCAGTGATGTGCCTGGGGCCACATCGGCTGGGCTGATGTTGGTGTGGGCCTGGAGTTATGGGGCCTAGCCTGGAGCCTGAGACCACAGGAGCCAGTCTGGAACCTGGGGTCATGGGGGATTGTCTGCTGTTGGGCCAGGCCTGGAGCTTCAGTTTGCAGTGACTTGCCTAGAGCTGGAGAAAGCCTGGAACTTGAGTCTGGAGGACAGGCCCACGTCATCAGTCTGTGGAGACTGGCTTGGATCTTCGGGCTACAGAGGCTAGCCTAGAGTCAGAGTTCACCAGTGTTGACCTGGTGCCTGCGGCTGGTCTAGTACTAGGATTCACTGGCGTACACATGCTGCTAGCGTCCATGGCAAAACTGAGTACTCACTTCACTCTCCTTACGCCTGCAATGGCTATCTCTCTCCATGCTGTACAGGCTTGAGGGAGGGTTGACACAAGTTTTGTGAAACTGTTTTTCCTACTCTCTTCAGTGCGTCTTTTCTTATTCTGTGTGTCACCCAGGTGCTCTGATATCTCACTTGAATTTCTTAGCTCTTGAGAATGTTTTTTTTCATGCATGGATGATTGTTCAAATTGATTTCTGTGAGTGGACAAGTGCTGGCAGCTTCCATTCTGCCATCTTGTTGACATCACTTCTGCACTTCTGCTTGGCATTTCTTTAAATGAAAAAAATGCATTTTATTTGTTTTGAATTTTGTGCATGTTAACACTTCAGAATAAGTTCAGAATAAGGATTTATCTTTTTTTCTTGTCCTGTTGTCATTTTGTTAATTCTTTTCTGACTGTTTTGTAGTTCATTTGTGTTTTTTTTCCTCTCTTGCTATATTCCTGTATGATGTGATAATTTTTTTGTGGTAGTGTGCTTTGATTCTTTTCTCTTTATGTTTGGTGTATCTATTACAGAGATTTACTTTGTGGTTACTATGGAGCTTACATAAAATATTTTATAATTGTAACGGTCAGTTTAATGTAGATAACACTTAACTTCAACCACATGCAAATATTCTACTTTTTTTTTTTTTTTTTGAGGCGGAGTCTCACTTTGTTGCCCAGGCTGGAGTTCAGTGAGCCACTGTGCCTGGCCAATGATTTATCTTTCAATAAATGTGTACATTTCAATGTGGCAGTATTTTCTTTTCTTTTCTTTTCTTTTTTTCATTTTTGAGACTGAGTCTCACTCTGTTGCCCAGACTGGAGTGCAGTGGCCTGATCTCGGCTCACTGCAACCTCCGCCTCCCAGGCTAAAGCAGTTCTCCTGCCTCAGCCCCGAGTAGCTGGGATTACAGGCACCCACCACCACACCCAGCTAATTTTTGTATTTTTAGTGGAGACGAGGTTTCGCCATGTTGGTCAGGCTGGTCTTGAACTCCTGACCTCAGGTGATCCACCCGCCTCAGCCTCCCAAAGTGCTGAGATTACAGGCGTGAGCCACTGTGCCTGGCTCCAGTATTTTCTTCTTATATCTCTAAATAAATGTTATTAAATGGATAGCATCTTCAAAAAGAGGAACTTAAGTAGTGCTCACTGCCTTAATATGTACACTCAAAGTTTGTACATAATAAGCAACTATGCTAAAGAATCTTCTAGTAGCAGTTCTAGAAGAGAAATCATTTTGGAAAGGTAATCTTTCAGATCAATTTCAACCAGCCATGTAGGTGGTAATCTGCTCCCTTACCTGAGTATATTGTTCATAGCCATATTTTTAATTCCAAACTCTTCCTGACTGCCCTAACATTCTGCAAGAGTTTTAATTGTTTTCTTCATGTAGCTAAATTATATTCAGGCTACATGAACAAGTTCAAGTATTAGCTTAAGTAAAATCTGGACTGGGGAATCAATTTTTTCTAAAGTCATTAATCATTTGTCCGTTTCAAAGTATGTGTGTATGTGCATGCACATGTATATTTATATATACATCTGTGTTTATGCAGCTTCAAGTGTGATTCTCAAATTCTCTGTTGTTTAGTCTTTAGTCCATTAATCAAAACCTTGTTTTTTCCATTTAAGAAATCATATATAATATATAATCTATCCTTGCCTCTTGCTGGATCTCTTCATTTGTAAGTTCATAAAGTGTATAATCCATTTGGCAAGAGTAGGGAGATAGTTATAAATAAGCGTGATGAAAAAAGGGCTAAATTTGGCTGAATTATAAACATGTGCATGAACTTAATAGAAATGGTCAGAAGCAGAATGGGAGGCCATGTTTTGTGCATGAAAATTTAAATGTAGTCCTCTGGAAAATGTTTCAAAGAAATGTTTAAAGACAACTCAAACAGCTGGATCACCACTGGTAGGAACAGGATTCAACACTTGGGCCTGCTGTAAGACCATGTAACATAAAGAACACACATACACAAACATGAGAAAAGAAGCAATAGCTATCCCTCTAAGAACATGAAATTATATGCTTTATAGAAGGGGAAATTGAAACAAACAATTGTGTGTGTGTGTATATATATGTATATATATAATATATATGAATATATATTATAAATATAATATCATATATTATATATTTACAGTATATAAATATATATTGTAAATATATATTATAATATATAATTATACAATTATAATTATAATGTAATATATTATATAATTTATTATATATTATAATATGTAATATATATTATATAATATATATTACATATTATAATATATAATATATATTATATTATATTATATATTATAATTATGTATATTTAATATACATATTACATATATGTGGTATATATATTTAACATATATATGACATATATATGTGGTATATATATGTGGTATAGACTATCACAAATAACCATATGAACAGTGTGATTGTGCATACAGGATCCCAAAAATGCTAGTGTCAGCTTTGCAACTTTATTAATTATGTGACCTTGAGCAGGGTGCAAACTTTCCTTGTTCCCTTTTTTTCATATGTATATGAAGATAATAACATCTATTGTAGTCTAAACAGAAATGGCTCATAATAGATTTAACAAGAGTAGTACCAGGTGACAATGGAATACGCCAAGCAGAGAGAAGAAAATAATAATATACATTGGTCATGGACAATACGCTCAAATATCCACTTCTGCAGATTTTCTATGCTCTCTACCTCACAGTTTAGAACATTAGAAAGCAGCATATCTAAAATTTTCATTGCATATACTAAACTATATTAATAATGGCTGCCCTCAGTTTTTCTACTTAATCATAATATACTATATATTTACAATATATAGTATATATAGTACATATACTATATATAGTATATATATACAGTATATATAGTAAATATATATATTATATAATATTATATATTGTAAATATATATTATATATTGTATTGTGTATATATACATGTATAGTATATATAAATATATATTAATATATAGTAAATATATATTATATTATATAACACTATATATATTTTATATATGTTACATATATATTAAATATATTATATATTAAATATATAATATATTTAATATATAAATAATATACATATTAAATGTATATTATAATTATACACAATATATGTTTTGTTTTCTGTTTAGACTACAATAGGTGTTATTATCTTCATATACATATGAAACATTTCTGTTTAGACTACAATAGGTGTTATTATCTTCATATACATATGAAAAAAAGGGAACAAGGAAAGTTTGCACCCTGCTCAAGGTCACATAATTAATAAAGTTGCAGAGCTGACACTAGCATTTATGAGATCCTGTACACACAATCACACTGTTCATATGTTTATTTGCAGTCTCACTCAATGGTTTTAAAAAAAAAAAGACAGTAGGTGAGTAGGCAGCAGTTGTGATTAAGGAGTTCAGTAAGATGCCTTAATGGACGGTGGAATTTTGGGGTCTTTTATAATTCACTCATCTCGGCACCTTCTGACCTATAGTTAGAATTTCTGATTTCTCCTGGTCTCTCTTGATTTTTAATCCCTAGTACTTTCAAAGGTCTGAGAAGGGCAGAATAAAAACCAATTCATCATGTGGGCAAGCAGAGATCTATATTTCCCTGGAGCAAAGCAATGAACCTTTGAGTTTCAACCAGCTTAGGATATTGAGTCCAAACATTCGGATTTCAGACATAAAATAGTAAAAGAATTTGTAACCTCTGGAAAATGCATTCTCAGCCTGAAATCTTATCTTATACTTCCTCAGAAAGAAAGAATGTTACCGTAACAGAAACAGGAACAGTTCAGCTCTTTCACCTGCCCTCGGACCAGGAGAAAACAGTGGGAATGACTGACAAATTAAAGCGATATAATCTATATGTGGAAGGAAAAGGAGACTGTGTGTTTAGTGAAGGCCATTTGTAATGTGCCTCTCTAAGCTGTGCCAGCTCTTTAATGGATACCTTGGCTGCATGAAAAAAGCAGGAAACCACATTGCACTCCAGATGCTACCATTTAGGTGGCCCCCTGCTACTGGTTCTGCTGACAAGTAGGTTGTACAGATAGAACAGGGGCTATTTTTCAAGAAGCTCTGGTTTCTGATGTCATAGCATCCTTTTAAAAGCTTGTTCTACCCACTTAAAAATGCTCTAATTGAGATAGAGCTCAGGTCCTACCAAGAGAATGCTTAAACTTGCTATGTAAGTAGCTCATCTGCCTTATAAGAAGTTGTCCTGTGTTTGATTTGCAGCCAGCTCAGGTGACAAAGTAATGAAAGGCCAGAAGGACTTTAAAGGCTCAAAAAAGGAGGAAATCCCCAGGAAGTCCAGTAGGAAGGCATAGTTTTCTATAATTTGTTGCCATATACAATCACCAATGTAATAATGAGTTCACTTCAAACACATCAAAAACTTTTTTCATATTCTTTCTTCATTTCTTTGTTGAATTTTGAACACTTAACTAAGATTTATCTTCTTGTTCATTAATTGTTTCTTTAGCTATGACTAATTTGCCATTAAATGTATTCACTGAATTTTTAATGTTAATTATTTATATTTCAGAAATTTTATTTGGTTTTGCTTTTAGTCTTTTTAGGCATTCCTTTTTTAACTATAAGTTCTGGGGTACATGTGCAGAACGTGCAGGTTTGTTACGTAGGTATACACATGCCATGGTGGATTGCTGCACCCATCAACCCATCATCTACTTTAGGTATTTCTCCTAATGCTATCCCTCCCCCAGACCCCCATTTCATGACCAGCCCCAGTGTGTGATACCCTGCCCCTCCGTGTCCATGTGTTCTCATTGTTCAACTCCCACTTATGAGTGAGAACATGCAATATTTGGTTTTCTGTTCTTGTGTTAGTTTGCTGAGAATGATGGTTTCCAGCTTCATCCATCTCCCTCCAAAGGACATGAACTCATCCTTTTTTATGACTGCATAGTATTCCATGGTGTATATGTGCCACATTTTCTTTATCCAGTCTATCATTGATGGGCATTTGGGTTGGTTCCAAGTCTTTGCTATTGTGAAAAGGGCTGCAATAAACATATGTATTCATGTGTCTTTATAGTAGAATGATTTATAATCCTTTGGGTATATATCCACTAATGGAATTGCTGGGTCAAAGGGTATTTCTAGTTCTAGTTCCTTGAGGAATCGCCACACTGTCTTCCACAATGGTTGAACTAATCTCCTTTTCCTTCCACATATAGATTATATTGCTTTTATTTGTCAGTCATTCCCACTGTGTTCTCCTGGTCCCAGGGCTGGTGAAAGAGCTGAACTGTTCTTGTTTCTGTTACGGTAATATTCTTTCTTTCTGAGGAAGTGTAAGATAAGGCGTATATAACTTATATAAGACTTATATAACATATAAGATAAGACTTATATAACTTATATAAGATAAGACTTATATAACTTATATAAGATATGACTTATATAACTTATATAAGATATGACTTATATAACTTATATAAGATATGACTTATATAACTTATATAAGATATGACTTATATAACTTATATAAGATAAGACATATAACTTATATAACACTTTTCCTAACAAGCGTTCCTGAGAGTATTCCTATTTCCCCACATCCTCTCCAGCATATGTTGTTTCCTGACTTTTTAATGATCAACATTCTAACTGGCATGAGATGGTATCTCATTGTGGTTTTGATTTGCATTTCTCTGATGACCAGCGATGATGAGCTTTTTTTCATATGTTTGTTGGCCGCATAAATGTCTTCTTTTGAGAAGCGTCTGTTCATATCCTTTGCCCACTTTTTGATGGGGTTGTTTTTTTCTTGTAAATTTATTTAAGTTCTTTGTAGATTCTTGATATTAGCCCTTTGTCTGATGGATAGATTGCAAAAATTTTCTTCCATTCTGTAGGTTGCCTATTCACTCTGATGATAGTTTCTTTTAGGCATTCTTCATAGTTTCTTGTTCATATAAATATTTTAAGATTAGAAAAAAATCTCTGAGTATATTGAATATATTTTCCTCATAGTTGATCTCTAACAATTACATTATCTGAAGGACTTCTTAGTTTATTTCTTCCGGTTTTTGCTTCTGGTGCCTCGTTTCTCTATGTATTTAGTACTTTTGTCCATGAGCTCCTCATTTTCCGTAGATTTTAATTTTGGAATTTCTCTGAGATCTGGGATAGAAGTATATCTTTCCAGAGAGGATTTACATTTAATTCTATGGGTCTAGAATCTCTGCAAACTATATTCTCAGTTTAAAGGCTATCAGACTAAGACAGTGTGAGATTGTGCATAAACCTGCAGGAGGGCCAGTTTGTGGTTCCACAATCTTATTCACTATTTTTCACCAGTGCCCCTTTAGGCAGTTTTGAGATTTGAGAGAGTTAATTTTTCTTGTGGTTTTCTGCAAAGTGGGTTATTTATGGTCTACCCTTTGCCTGAAGATATAGCTGTTTGCTATCACAGTTTTAAGAAGATAAATTTTCTATCTTAGGCCTAGGCTTTGATTTTTATTTTCCATGTATTGTGAGTCCATGAAAACTGAAATTCACATTCACATTTTTGGGCAAATACTCTTTGAGTAAATGCTGGCTACGCTCCTATGCTTATTTCTTTGGGTTCACTAAATTTCTACTTTGAGAATATATATCCTGCCACATTGTTGCAAATAGAAATCTTAATCAAAAACATTCTGGCTAAAAAGAGTTGGACTTATTCACAGCTATTCATATACAGCTTTCTTATAAGTTATTTTCTTGCTGAGATAGTGGATACCTCTTTGTTATTTTTCCCTTGTAATATCAGCTTCGTCACCTGAACTTTTGGTGATGGAAATATATGAAATTTTCATCAATAAAAAGCACACAGAGACTGTCTGTACTTTAGGTACTTGCCAGCATGCAGAAACATGAATTGACTATCATCTAACTCCTGCCAGATATATGGCTGAAATAATGGTTAGTTGAGATAACTGACTCTCTTTTGAAGAGCCATGTCAACCACCCACTTTGATACATTTTCTATGCTCTATACCTCTCAGTTTAGCTCTATACCTCATTAGAAAGTAGCATATCTAAAATTATATTAATTGCTATACACAAAGTTTCACAGAATTCTGATTGAATAAATGTTGCCTCAGTGTTTATAGAACAATGTTATAATTCTTATACTAGTTATGAAATTACCATAAAGTATTGTAGAATACTTATAGAATGAAATTACCATAAAGTATTGTAGAATACTTATAGAATGAAATTACCATAAAGTATTGTAGAATACTTATAGAATGAAATTACCATAAAGTATTGTAGCTGCAAATAAAATCCAAAATTGCTTGGAGGCCTGCAAGCTTCTGCATTATGCTCTCCTGCTGACCTGATGCCAGCTTCCCTCCACCACATGATGCCCCAGTCACATTGGGCTTTTTTCACTTTCTGCCTCAGGGCCTTGTGTGTTAAGCCTTCTGGTTATAATTGCCTTTCTTCTTTGCTACAGAACATTTCTCTTTTTATTTTTATTTTTTCAGTCTACAAATATTTATTGCACACCTGAGCTATGCCTGTCTCTGAACAGCAGTGGATAAGACAGACTTACACAACAGTGAACAAGATAACATAAACTCCGTAAGAATAGGAGTTTATATTCTAGGGGCAGAGTGACAAACAAACGAACAACTCCCAAAATGCACAGGCTGTATGGGGAACAGTTTGGCTCGAGAGAATATGTGTAAGGACTGGGGAAGATAAGATTTTGTAGAAGTAAGACAAATTGGTAAAGATCTTTGGCTTGCAAAAGGGCAGTGTTTTGGGCGTTAGCAGAGCAGAGAAGTGACAAGTGAGTTTTTAAAAAAATAACTTATTGTAGTAAATTTAAGGGGTACAAGTGCAGGTTTCTTACATGCATATGTTGCATAATGATAGTCTGGGCTTTTAGTGCATCCATCACCAGAATAGTGAACATTGTAACCAGTAGGTAGTTTTTCAGCCATAACCCCCCTCCCACCCTCCCACCTTTCATAGTCTCTGGTGTCTACTATTCCACTCTGTATATGCATGTGTACATATTGTTGAGCTCCCACTTATAAGTGAGAACATATAATATTTGATTTTCTGTTTCTAAGTTATTTCACTGAGGATAATGGTCTCCAGTTCCATCCATGTTGCTGCAAAAGACATTCTTTCATTCTTTTTTATGACTAAGTATTATTCATAGATAGATAGATTGATATCACACATGATATAGATAGCACTTTTTAATCCAGTCCTCTATTGATGGACACTTAGGTTGATTCCATCCATATTTTTGCTATTGTGAATAATGCTGTGATAAATGTACAGATGTAGGTATCTTTTTAATATAATGATTTCTTTTCCTTTGGGTATATACCCAGTAGTTGGATTGCTGGATTGAATGGTAGTTCTATTTTTAGTTCATTGAGAAATACCTAGTTTGTTTTACATTAAGTTTGTACTAATTTACACTCCCACCAACAGTGTGTAGGTGTTCCCCTTTCTCCACATTCTTGCAAACATCTGCTATTTTTAGACTTTCCCATTCTGACTGCTATACGATAGTATCTCATTATGGTTTTTCTTTGCATTTCTCTGATGACTAGTGATGTTGAATATTTTTTCATATGTTTGTTGACTGCTTGTATGTCTTTTAGAAATGTATGCCCTTTGCCAACTTTGTAATAGGGCTATTTCTTTTTCCTTGTTGTTGTTGAGTTGCTTGAGTTCTTTGTAGATTCTAGATATTAGTCGTTTGTCAGGTGCATAGTTTGCAAATATTTTTCCCATTCTGTAGGATGTCTGTTTACTCTGTTATTTGTTTCTTTTGCTGTACAGAAGCTTTTTAGTTTAATTAAATTCAATTTGTCTATTTTTGTTTTGGTTGCATTTGCTTTTGAGGACTTGGTCATAAATTCTTTGCCTAGCCCAATGTCCAGAAGAGGATTTTCCTAGGATTTTTATACTTTTAGGTCTTATGTTTAGGTCTTCAACCCATCTTGAGTTAATTTTTATGTATGGTGAGAAATATGGTTACAGTTTCATTCTTCTGCATATGGCTATCTGATCTCCCAGCAACATTATTGAATAGGATGTCCTTTATCCACTGCATATTTTTGTTGATTTTGTTGAAGATCAGTTGGTTGTAGACAAGTGGCTTTATTTCTGGGTCCTCTTCTCTGTTCCATTGACTGATGTGTCTATTTTTATACCAGTACCATGGTGTTTTGGTTACCATAGCTTTGTAGTATAATTTGAAGTCAGAGAATGTGATGCCTCCAGCTTTGTTCTTTTTGGTTAGGATTTCTTTGGCTATTTGGGCCATTTTTTGGTTCCATATAAAATTTAAGATTATTTTAAATAATTTTGTGAAAACTGATACTGGTCATTTGATAAGGATTGCATTGACTCTTTATATTATTTTGGGCTGTGTGATAATTTTAACAATTTTGATTCTTCCAGTCCATGAGCATGGGATGCTTTCCATTTGTTTGTGTCATCTACAGTTTATTTCATCAATGTTTTGTAGTTCTCCTTATAGAGATCTTTCACCTCCTTGGTTAAATACATTCCTAGGTATTTTATTTTTGTATCATGTTAAATGGGATTGCCTTCTTGATTTGGTCCTTAGCTAGATTATTATTCGTGTATAGAAATACTACCAATTTCTGTAACTTTATTTTTTATCTTGAAATTTTATTGAATTCATTTGTCAAATCTGAGAATTTTTTGGTGGAGTCATTAGGATTTTCTAGATATATTATCATGTGATCAATAAACAGGGATACGTTGACTTCCTATTTTCTAATTTGAATGCCTATTATTTTTTTCTCTTGCCCGATTACTCTGTTGAGGGTTTCTAGTGCCATGTTGAATAACAATGGTGAAAGTGGGCATCATTTTCTTGTTCTAGAACTTAGATTAGAGGGAATTAGAAATCATCAGAGGGAATGATTTCAACTTTTCCCCATTAAGCATGATGTTGGCTGTGAGTTTGTCATATATGGCCTTTATTATGTTGAGATATATTGCTTTTATGCCTAGTTTGTTGAGGAGGATTTTTATCATGAAGCGATGCTGAATTTCATCAAAGACTTTTTATTCATCTACTGAGATGATCATGTGGTTTTTGTCCTTAATTCTGTTTATGTGATGTACAGCATTTATTGATATGAGTATATTGAACCATCCTTTACTCCCTGGGGTAAAGCTCACCTTAATATTGTGTATCATTTTTTGATGTGCTGTTGGATTTGATTTGCTAGTATTGTGTTGAGGATTTTTGCATCTGTGTTCATCACTGCATGTTTTCTTTTGTTGTTGTTGTTGTGCCCTTGTATGATTTTGCTGTCAGGGTGATACTGGCCTCATAGAATGAGTTAGGGAGAATTCACTCCTGCACAATTAAAAAAAATAGCTTCAGTAGGATTGGTATTAGTTCTTTGTATGTTTGATAGTATTTGGCTGTGAATCTAGCTGGTCCTGGCTTTCTTGTTGGTGAGAAATTTTTTATTAATTATTTAATCTTGTCACCCATTACTGGCCTATTCTGGATTTCTTTCATATATATATATATATATATACACACACACACACACACACACACACACACACGTATTTTATTGTACTTTAAGTTCTAGGGTACATGTGCACAAATTGTAGGTTTGTTACATATGCATACATGCCCCGTGATGATGTGCTGCACACATTAACTGGTCATTTGCATTAGGTATATCTCCTAATGCTATCCCTCCCCCCTCCCCCCACCCCCCACCCCTTCCTGTGTCCAAGTGTTCTCATTGTTCAGTTCCCAACTATGAGTGAGAACATGCAGTGTTTGGTTTTTTGTCCTTGCGATAGTTTGCTGACAATGATGGTTTCCAGCTTCATCCAAGTCCCTACAAAGGACATGAACTCATCATTTTTTATGGCTGCATAGTATTCCATGGTGTATATGTGCCACATTTTCTTAATCCAGTCTATCATTGTTGGACATTTGGGTTGGTTCCAAGTCTTTGCTATTGTGAATAGTGCTGCAATAAACATACGTGTGCATGTGTCTTTATAGCAGCATGATTTATAATCCTTTGGGTATATACCTAGTAATGGGATGGCTGGGTCAAATGGTATTTCTAGTTCTAGATCCCTGAAAAATCGCCACACTGACTTCCACAATGGTTGAACTAGTTTACAGTCCCACCAATAGTGTAAAAGTGTTCCTATTTCTCCACATCCTCTCCAGCACCTGTTGTTTCCTGACTTTGTAATGATTGCCATTCTAACTGGTGTGAAATGGTGTCTGATTGTGGTTTTGATTTGCCTTTCTCTGATGGCCAGTGATCATGAGCATTTTTTCATGTGTCTGTTGGCTGCATAAATGTCTTCTTTTGAGAAGTGTCTGTTCATATCCTCTGCCTACTTGTTGATGGGGTTGTTTGTTTATTTCTTGTAAATTTGTTGAGTTCATTGTAGATTCTGGATATTAGCCCTTTGTCAGATGGGTAGATTGCAAAAATTTTCTCCCATTCTGTAGGTTGCCTGTTCACTCTGATGGTAGTTTCTTTTGCTCTGCAGAAGCTCTTTAGTTTAATTAGATCCCATTTGTCAATTTTGGTTTTTGTTGCCATTGCTTTTGGTGTTTTAGACATGAAGTCCTTGCCCATGCCCATGTCCTGAATGGTATTGCCTAGGTTTTCTTCTAGGGTTTTTATGGTTTTAGGTCTAACATTTAAGTCTTTAATCCATCTTGAATTAATTTTTGTATAAGGTGTAAGGAAGGGATCCAGTTTCAGCTTTCTACATATGGCTAGCCAGTTTTCCCAGCACCATTTATTAAACAGGGAATCCTTTCCCCATTTCTTGTTTTTGTCAGGTTTGTCAAAGATCAGATGGTTGTAGATGTGTGGTATTATTTCTGAGGGCTCTGTTCTGTTCCATTGGGTGCTGGTTTTTTGAAAAGATCAACAAAATTGATAGACCACTAGCAAGACTAATAAAGAAGAAAAGAAAGAAAAATCAAATAGATGCAATAAAAAATGATAAAGGGGATATCACCACCGATCCCACAGAAATACAAACTACCATCAGAGAATACTATAAACACCTCTACACAAATAAACTAGAAAATCTAGAAGAAATGGATAAATTCCTCGACACATACATCCTCCCCAGACTAAACCAGGAAGAAGTTGAATCTCTGAATAGACCGATAACAGGCTCTGAAATTGAGGCAATAATTAATAGCTTACCAACCAAAAAAAGTCCAGGACCAGATGGATTCACAGCTGAATTCTACCAGAGGTACAAGGAGGAGCTGGTACCATTCCTTCTGAAACTATCCCAATCAATAGAAAAAGAGGGACTCCTCCCTGACTCATTTTATGAGGGCAGCATCATCCTGATACCAAAGCCTGGCAGAGACAACACAAAAAGAGAATTTTAGACCAATATCGCTGATGAACATCGATGCAAAAATCCTCAATAAAATACTGACAAACCAAATCCAGCAGCACATCAAAAAGCTTATTGACCACGATCAAGTGGGCTTCATCCATGGGATGCAAGGCTGGTTCAACATATGCAAATCAATAATTGTAATCCAGCATATAAACAGAACCAACGACAAAAACCACATGATTATCTCAATAGATGGAGAAAAGGCTTTTGACAAAATTCAACAGCCCTTTATGCTAAAAACTCTCAATAAATTAGGTATTGATAGGATGTATCTCAAAATAATAAGAGCTATTTATGATAAACCCAAAGCCAATTACATACTGAATTGGCAAAAACTGGAAGCACTCTGCTTGAAAATTGGCACAAGACAGGGATGCCCTCTCTCACCACTCGTATTCAACATAGTGTTGGAAGTTCTGGCCAGGGTAATCAGGCAGGAGAAAGAAATAAAGAGTATTCAATTAGGAAAAGAGGAAGTCAAATTGTCCCTGTTTGCAGATGACATGATTGTATATCTAGAAAACCCCATCCTCTCAGCCCAAAATCTCCTTAAGCTGATAAGCAACTTCAGCAAAGTCTCAGGATACAAAATCAATGTGCAAAAATCACAAGCATTCTTATACACCAATAACAGACAAACAAAGTGTGAAATCATGAGTGAACTCCCATTCACAATTGCTTCAAAGAGAATAAAATACCTAGGAATCCAACTTACAAGGGATATGAAGGACCTCTTCAAGGAGAACTACAAACCACTGCACAAGGAAATAAAAGAGGACACAAAAAAATGGAAGAATATTCCATGCTCATGGATAGGAAGAATCAATATCATGAAAATAGCCATACTGCCCAAGGTAACTTATAGATTCAATGCCATCCCCATCAAGCTACGAATTACTTTTTTCACAGAGTTGGAAAAAACTACTTTAAAGTTCATATGGAAGCAAAAAAGAGCCCGTATTGCCAAGTCAATCCTAAGCCAAAAGAACAAAGCTGGAGGCATCACGCTACCTGGCTTCAAACTATACTACTACAAGGCTACAGTAACAACAACAGCATGGTATTGGCTCCTGATTTCTTTTTCTTTCTGCTAGAGAAAATTTCTAATCTTTGCCTGGTCTCACCGTAATTGTCTTTTCCTCAATGAAGTATTTTCTGCCCACCTAATATAAAATCACTTTCCTAGTATTCTCATTTTTATATCACTGTATATTTTATACAGTTTATCTCATACTACAAGTATATAGGCTTGTGGTTGCTAAATAGCTTGCTCTCACACTAAACTGATTTCCACAAGGGCAAAAAATGCATCTGTTTTATTTATCTCCACTATTTCAATATGTACTTGAGTTGACAGTAGCATAATGTAAAAATATTGTTTCATTTGCTCTAAACTGAACATGATAACTAATATGTACATGTTTTGCTAGAAGTGAAAGGAGAATTAAATGTTAATGTGAGAAGTGGATATAAAAGTAGACATATAAACATTCAACAAATAACATGTATACACTCTACCACCAAGAATCAACAAGTTCATATGTATGCTTTTGCAAAATTTTAAATGATGTATGACATATACCTAGTTTGTCACTTTGAAGTAATTGAAACAGTAGATGAGAGAGTGTAAATATCTCCCCACGAACAATTTGAGCTGATGACAGGAGGATGAGTTGGAATTGACTATGTGAAGTGAGAAGCAACAAAACTAAAAAAAAAATCTTTGGGAAGAAGGAATGTCTATTCCAGAAAACTGAAAGAAGGTCACTGGGATGTAGAAAGTGAATAGGAGATTTGTGTGAAATGTTGCTGATTAAGTTGTCAAGGACCATGAAAGCTTTATAGTTCATTGTTATGGACTGTTTGTGTCCTCCCCAAAATTCATAATTTGAAGCCCTAACCCTCAGTGTGTCTGTATTTGGAGATAGGGTCTGTGAAGAGGTGATAAAGATTAAATGAGGTTATAAGGGTGCATCCCTAATCTGAAAGGGCTGGTGACTTTATAAGGAAAGAGACATCAAAATGAGCTTTCTTTCCACTATTTGAGGACATGACGAGAAGCTGGCCATCTGGAAGTCTGCAAAAGAGCCCTCACTAGAAACAACCCTGCTGGACCTTGATATTGGAATTTCTAGCCTTCAGGACTTTGAGAAAATGTATTTTTGTTGTTTAAGCCATGCAGGCTCTAGTATTTTGTTTGGGCAGCCTAGGCAGACTGAAGAAGTGGTATCAAAGAAGTTAGCCTTTACCTTAAAAGAAGTTAGAAACCATTGAGTGGTATTCTGTCCTGACTTAAAACAATTGACCTTTCCACCATTTTCAAGTTATTTTGGTAAATATCTGGACTCTTTAATAGTTATATTTAGGAACATAAAGAGTCTTGATACTAGATGTCATTATAATCATATATACATGTCCTTATAATAAAAGAAATTCTCATTTATTTGTTTTTGTTTTTGTTTTGAGACAAAGTCTCTTTTGCCCAGGCTGATGGAGTGCAGTGGCATGATCATAGCTCGCTGTAGCCTCCAATTTCTGGGCTCAAGCAATCCTTCCACCTCAGCCTCCTGAGTAGCTAGGACTACAGGCATGTGCCACCACACCTGGATAATGTGTGTGTGTGTGTGTGTGTGTGTGTGTGTGTGTGTGTGTGTGTGTGTAGAGATGGGATCTCATTGTGTTGTCCAGGCTGGTCTTTAACTCCTGGCCTCAAGCGATCCTTCCACTTTGGCCTTCTGAAATGCTGGATTATAGGTGTAAGCCACTGCACCTGGCCAATAAAAGAAATTCTTAAACTTATTCTGTGGAATTGGATAGAACATAAGAATAGGAATGTACACCCAGTGAAGTCCTTACTCTGTGTCCTTTGGCATACTCCTTACATTAAAATAAAGCCAATGGTATTCCTTTAATGGTAGGAGCATCCGGTTTGGTAGTTGAATCAGATAATAGAATTCTCTGTGCAGAGGAGAAACTTGTGACCAATAGAACTCTAGATCTGAATTATTATTCCCAGTGTGTTAGAGTGCTATACTTGGCAGATTCTCATACTTTGTCCCTATGAAAGCATTAGGCCTGACACAACCTTTCTAATCAACCACATATCTTGAATATCATTCATCTCATCAGTGAAAAAGTATTTCTAACATCCATTAGATGAATTAACACACCCTCTGGTTTATACTTCTATAATTATGTGACAGGTACATCTTGTAGCCATTCCTAGAGTATGGATTTCTGATTAGTGTACTTCAGATGCAAACTAACAATCCTTACACTGTAAATTGAAGTTAATTTATGTACATGTACATAACACTATTTATACTACAATATTTTTAATGTAAATTATCACATAGTGAGTATAACAAAGAGTTTTCATTGTGGATGTGATATAGTCATGTTTCTTCTCTTAGGCTACCTTGTTAGCAGTTGGGAAAATAGATGGAGGATGGGGAATGGCAGAGGTATTGTGGAAAGACCATTTAAAGAAAGCATATGAAATGAAGTTAAGTTAGGATGGAGACATTTTGGATAGAGAAAAGTTAGCAGATTTGAGATATTTTAAAATATTTTAAAATTTAATTTAAATGTCAAAATTAAAGAATTAAATATTATATATTGCGAGGGAGCTGAAGGCATCAAGAATTATTTCTACATTTAACTTGCTCAGCTAAATGATGGAGATGCTGTTCACTGGGATGAGCATCAGTCCCAGGCAGTGTAACACACTTACTTGAAACTTTAGATATAGAAACAAAATCATAAAGGATGAAACATTGATAAGGATCAAACTTGGGAGTAGAAGAGCATGATTGTACACTTATTCTATTGATTTTGCAGACACTTTGAGCTATTTTAGGAGAAATGTTGGGAAGGAAGTTTGATGTACTGTATTTCTCTGGAAGTAACAAGAGAGTTCATATATGCAGATATAACGTGGGAGTCATCTAATTGCCCATGACAATTAAGTTTATTAGTGTGGTTGAACTACCTAGTGAGAGAGAGAACATAAAAAGCAAAAATAGATGAGAACCTATGAGTGAACCCTGAAGAACTCCTACTTCTAAGAATTTGTTAGAAGATGAGTTTGTAAAGAAGAAATAGCCATATAGACATGAAGAGTAATAAGGGAATATCATGGAAGCTAATAGAAGAAGAGTTTCCAGGAAAGAAATAATTGGTATTATTGCAGTGAAAAGTCAAGAAAAGTGATCTAAAATGTTCATTTTGCGGGATAGAGAGTCCATTGACCTTTGGACTACCTATTGATATAGAATTAGGGAATGAAAACTGCATGGAGTGAAAGAAGAGTGACTGGAAGTTCAGGAAATGGCCAAGGTTTTTTGAATAGTTGTCTGAACCTGGATTCCTTTTCCTGTGGGCAGCCCCCTCTGCTCTTGCCCACCACAATTATATAATATTCTCATGCTGTGTACAGTTCACACAGTATAAATTGCTGTTTTAGCCTAAAGTATTTTTTTGTTTTGAGACTATTTTCTTCAGTTAAATAAAATAATGTTTTATGTAGGGTACTTTCATGGTGGGTATATGCTTTATCAATATTTTTGGTCATTGCCAGTATTTGAGCAGTAATAATTTGTAGGCTTTTAAGATAATTTGTGACAATTGTTGTAAGACATACTTAAGGGAATACCTTCATAAATCTACCTTAAGTCTGGTCCTGGATGAAGCATGTGCTTATGAAGCATGGCTACTATTGAATTGGCCAGTATTGGTTCCAAGATTTTTAAATTTATTCTTTCTGGTTCTTTAATGTAAATCAGAAAGTTATAGGTGTTGATGCAACATCATGAACTTTGAAGTAAATATAAATGGCTCCACTTTAGATACTGTTAATTCTAAGCACAATTAGATTTTAACTATCTTGGTTCTGGTTATTTTGTATATATTCAGTATTATAAATTACGTTTGTTCTTAAAGATGTCTGTGAGGCATATCGGCTATTATTTCATAGTAACGTTAAAGACAAATTTTATGGTGATTACAACATGATGTTCAATCAAGATTAAAATGTGTTACATCATTGGCAAAAAGCCAGAAGGAGCTTTATTCCAATGTGATGCTTAAGTATAATATCAATATTATATATGCTGTCATTAGGAATTTGACATTAAAGGAGATTCTCTTGATTATATATGGTTGCACTTGAAGGTCACCTTTAAAGGAGAAGTGTTTGAAAACTATATTTTATCCTTGATAGGTGAAGAAAAGTCCACTTATAAGTGGGAGCTAAGGCCAGCCACAGTGGCTCATGCTTGTAATCCCAGCACTTTGGGACACTGAGGCGGGTGGATCACGAGGTCAAGAGTTCAAGACCAGCCTGACCAAAATGGTGAAACCCCGTCTCTATTAAAAATACAAAAATTAGCCAGGCGTGGTGGCACACACCTGTAATCCCAGCTACTCAGGAGGCTGAGACAGGAGAATCGCTTGAACGTGAGAGGCAGAGGTTGCAGTGAGCCGAGATTGCACCATTGCCCTCCAGCCTGGGCGACAGAGCGAGACTCTGACTCAGAAAATAATAAAATAAAATAAAATAAAATAAAATAAAATAGGAGCTTAATGATGAGAATATATGGACACATAGAGGGGAATAACACACACTAGGGTCTTTTGGAGGGTGGAGGGCGGGAGAAAGGAGAGGATTAGGAAAAATAACTAATGGATACTAGGCTTGATACCTGGGTGATGAAATAATCTGTACAACAAACCCCCATGACACGAGTTTACTTGTATAACAAATGTTATATAGGTAAACTTACTCCAGAAGGCTTTTCCTGGTCTGTTTGTTTGGGAAAGATGTCTCATATTTTTGGTGACATAGCAGCCTGATCATATTTTTTATTACTTTTTGCACATTGAAACCTTATCATTATCTGCCTCTTCTGCTGAGCATTCCTGAAAAGATAAATCATTCTTATCCATTATTTTTATGGTAATTCCTGTGTTTAGTAGGCTGTAGTCACATAATAGGAGCTCAGTTTAATCAAGTTTAAGTAAACAAAATAAGTTTAAGTAACAAAGTAGTGCTATTTAGGGTTTTCTAAGGGATCTTGTCATGCACTAAAAACCTTGGAAAGGGCAACTTTTATTTGTGGAAACAAGTTGCTTAAAAAGACTGCATGTTCCCATCCTCACACATTGTAGATTTGCCCCAGCCTTAGACTCCTCTGGGGCAGTGTATCACACTTATATGAAACTTTAGATATAGAAACAAAATCATAGAGGAGGAAGAAACTTTAGAAAATCTAGTCCACTGGTCTCTCTCAATGAATAAACCTCTGTTTCCACTGTACTTTCAATGTATACTGGACATCTTTTGTTTCCGCCCCATTCAATATCCATTCTGCCTACCTCTGGTGACAGCGTACTCCATGCTCCACTTTTGGTCAATGCCCTGATTCTAGAGGAGGGCAAAAGATTTAGGTCCCTTACCTGTTCTACACTTAGATCTTTGTGCCACTTTTATAATTTCTTTTCATTAGAAAACACATATATGAGTTTGGCTCTCTGCCTCTTCCTCAAATAGAGTATAAAGCCAGGAAAGGAGTATTGGGTTCTGTGTATTTACTATTTGCCATTCACACTCTAATTTCTACCCACATTGTTCTTCAACATGCATCAAGTCATGAATGGCCAGTGACCAAAAGATTATTAAAATATTAAAGGGCAATATAAAGTGATCTCTAGGTCTTTCAGATCTGATGGTTTTTTATTTGATGAATATGATAAAATATATTATCTGTATAAGAAAACCTACCATTCCATTATCAACAGTGGCTCTAAACTATATAAACTGTATCTAGTGTTTGAAAATTCTGGCCTATTTGCATAGAAATTTTACTTTTCTAATTAACAAATATTCAGATGATTATGTTAATTTAGTTTAGGGGTGCCCTTTTAGACTTAAGAAATTTTAGACTCCGTTAGATTAATGAAATAGAGGTTGAAACCTTGTAACCTCTCTGAAACAAGAATGTAATTGGAAATTGTAGGATTTCAAAACAAAAATCTGTATTCTGATTTTTTGTTGCATGTTTTTAGATGGGTAACCTCTTTCAGGCTTGCTTTCTTCCTTAAGATCCTTCCCTCAGGAACTTAAAAGAAAAACTAAAATGAAATATCAGTTCACTAAAATAAGCACCCTGCCCCAAAGTTTAGCAAAGTGCATCCTGTCTCACTGTTTCTGCTGAGGCATCTACAAGAAGGAAAAAAAAATCAGTGTACCAAAGTTTGCCCCTCTGGCCAGTTTTTCTCACTTACAAATAATGAATCCAAGGGGGAAAAAAGGATAGGTAAAATATCTTGTTAAAAGTTATTTTTACCAATATCTTGTTAAAAGTTTTTTTAAAGTCTCCAAAATGTTATGAAAGTGAAAAAAAGAAAATTATACTGAAAGCACTGGCCTAGTAAAACAGCTTTCAATGATTAGAGTTACTACTTCAATGCTGTTATGTGTTCTTCTCATCAGATGAAATTTCTCTGCGAATGCACCATAAGTTATCTAGGTGATAGCAATAACAAGAGCCTTATTCATAAAAAGATTAATTAACAGGTATATTTTGAGCAGAATTTAGGAGCACAGAGATAGTCCAAGTTGGAAATAAATAATCTGGAGTTTGCAGAAGCAAGGTGGAAAAGATTACTTTGCAGTGCTAAATATTCCAATCTAAATGGGTAGTTTTATCAAAATTAACTTCTGGACTGGACCCTTACTGGCTTGAGTTCTGGTTGGCAACTGCAAACAATTTTAATGCAAAATGGAAACAATTGGTAAATGTGTCTTTAAAAATTAAAATATCTGGCTGGGCACAGTGGCTCACACCTGTAATCCTAGCACTTTGGGAGGCTGAGGCAGGCAGATTGCCTGAGCTCAGGAATTCAAAACCAGCCTGGACAACACAGTGAAACCCCGTCTCTACTAAAAACACAACAAAATTAGCCGGGCGTGCCAGCGTGCGCCTGTAGTCCAGCTGAGGCGGGAGAATTGCTTGAACCTGGGAGGTGGAGGGTGCAGTGAGCCGAGATTACGCCACTGCACTACAGCCTAGGTGACAGAGAGAGACTCCGTCTCCCAAAAAAAAAAAAAAAAAAAATTAAAATATCTTTGATATCTAAAAGTTAAACAGGCCAATGTTTCCTGTATACTTTTACCTAAATATATCAGTGATAGATTGAAGGCAGAAATGACTTTGACAAGCCCATTTCAAAGTTTTAATGAAAGTTTCAAATTATGCAATGAGGGGTCATTGATTCACCTTTAATGGCCACGTAGAATCATGAAATATTTTTATTCAGAGTCTATATAATTAATAAAGATGGATGTGTTACCGTAACACCGCGGGTTTGGTCTAGGTTCTGCTGCTCACCACAGAGAAAGCCAATGACTGAGACAACGATTATAGCAGAGGTTGGCTGCTATAGCCAAGGAGATGGGAGGGAGATCAATCTCAAATTCGTCTCTCCGACCGACTGAAATTAAGGGTTTATAGCAGGGAAGAAATGTAGCAATGCATAGGAAAATAGGAGCTCAGGAGGCCTAAGGAGGTAATCATGATGAATGAGGGGACTGGTGTCCCATTGTCTGGATGCGGGGATCTGGTACTTTGATGCTTTTTGAGACGCCTGGGGATCCTTCTCGGAGGAAGGAACTCAGATGAAACAAATGTAACTTTCAAGCTTTAAAACAAGAAGGGTCAATTTTCTATGTTTATACAAAAAAAAAACTATGGGACCATTGGGTCAATTTCAGATGTTGAAACCAGAGAAACATCTGCACAAATATTAAAACTGCCAAAGTTAGAATCATATAATGAAGGCTAGAGTTCATTGCTCTTATGAGTGTTGTTAAGACAAACTGGGATTACCACACACCCTGTACTCCTTGAATCTTATGTTAAAAGTTCCCACAAGGAAATGATTTAGTTTTTGAGATGCCTCCTGGATCCATTAAGCCTTTGGAAATGAGTACAGTGATGTAACAATATTGAGAACACAGAGGCATCCTTTGGTTTTCCCCTAATTGTGTTCTGCAAAACACTAATCTGGAGATAATGCTTCAGGGGGAAAAAAAGCATGGCATGTTTAGCTACATTTGGAATACACCACATGCCATCCCTCTCAAAGAATCACTGTTTAGCACAATAGAGGTTGGAAAAATACTTCAATAAAGAAAATTTGACTTTGTTAGCTGCATACTTCTCAAAACTTAGATAACATCGAAACCCCGTTTTCAAGTAACTTCTATTAATATAACATCAAAGAGAACTAGTGAAATAGGCATATTTTGGGAAATACTGACATAAGATCCCTTTTCAATTGGAATCACTGTCAAACTATTAAAGCTAAGAGACTATGTATTTCAGCCACTGGGATGGAATATACTTTTTTTAAGTTAATGAAATACATTCCTACATTCCAGTTTATACATCAGTTTCTGAGAGTTCCATTAGCATGAGACAGATTCTCAGAGGTTTGTCCTTTTTAGATACCTGTGCAAAGTAATTGTGATCTTGCCCTGCAAAGCTGAAGATTTGAATGCAGAAATGTGATTACACTAAGGGACTAGCACATTTTGGGACCTTAGCTGGTGAACTGTACATATTTGAAAGGTACTGTAATGTCAAAATAACATAGACATCCACTTTGAGGAAATGTGTTGGGCCTACTTGAAGTTTAATAATGAACAAAATAAGAATTGTTGCACAGTTGGGACACTGACTCACAGTGTGACACACAGAAAAGCCTTCAACCTGTATGCCACTGTTTTGTTATCTCTTACTCATAGCTATCAGAAAGGAAAAAGAGTGAGTATAGTTGGAAGGACCTTATGATTAAAGAAAATATTATGGGTACTTAATGAGTGAACCACCTTAATGTGATCTGCTCCATAAAAGAAACTGCCTAAATGAACACTGTGATTATTCTCAGACTGGGCATTACTGAATACTTTCAACACTCCATATGGGATAGAAATGATCTGTTCATTTAGACTGTGACTGGGAAGAATCTGAGCGAGAGTGCCTACCTCAATATCCCTTTACTCTTCAGGCAACATATGGCATTTGAGGACACCAGCTCACAGGTTCTTTGTCCACTCTCTTATTTTTCCTCCAGGCATAACAATTCACTGCTATAATCTGCCTTTCTGTTTGTTTAGGTAGCATCCATTTCTGTAACTTTTTAGGCTTAATGAAGTGACATAAAACACAGCCTTAAGCAAATGGTTGTACTATCCATCAATTCAGTGACTTAGGAGATGATGCCATTACATATAAAATAGAACCATTGTTCAGCATTTTTACCAGCGGCATTGCTTCTTTCAGAGTTCCCATATTTCCTGTTATGAAATGGCTGAAAACTTGAATATATTGTGAAAGGGGACACTTTGCACCGTGTACACTTAATCCCTACTTGAGCATCATCATCTGCTGACAAATACATAAATGAATTGAAGACACTGCAGGTTATGTGCATTTCCATTTCAAGAAGATTGCTTTTTTTTATTGTTTCTTATTTTGCATTGATATCATGAAGCTGTAAAAAGAAGAGTGGAAATAAAAGCAAGTGGAAATCAAGGTATTTCAGTTGAGTAATGTCCAGGAGTCCTAGCTCCAAAAGTGTATCATTCATTTATACAGCAGAACACCTGTATTACTAATGCTTTTAATGTTTTTAAATGCTACCAAATGTTTCTTTTGACTAACTTATTCCCAGGGGGTCCCTATAACTCTTTCAGGTCACTCAGGTACTGCTTTCTAAATTACCATGGTAGTAGATTCAATTACTATTGTACTCTTTCAGTGGCCTAAAAGAATAAATGGTCTTCCTAAAATGCTTCTTTTTATTTTTCCGCCAAGGAAAAGCCCAGAGTGTTAGAGCTGGATAGTACCTTGGAGATTATCTGACTCAATGTTCCATAAATATTTCTGATGATAAAACTCTCCTGAGAATTTGTTTTAAAAAATACAGATTCTCAGGCTACTCCCCTTGGAGACTCTGTTACAGTACATTTGAAATTGAGCCCAGGAATCTACATTTTGTCATAAAGATTCCAGATGACTTTTAGGATCAGATAGGTTTGGAAAAACTAAATTAGTTCAACTTTTTTATTTTATAGGGGGTAAGCAGCTGTCCAGGTAGATTAAGTGATTCATCTGAGTTGTATCATAAACCATTTAAAATATTGGGATTAGTTCAGGAAAAATGTTGATGGGCAACATTTTTGCATCCCATGGTAGGGACCAGGATAATTTATTTTCTTAGATTTTAAGTTGCCTTCTCTATTGTATAGAATGGTGTCATTCATGGCGGAGAAGTGATAGGGGAGGATACACCTTTCTGTATATACAGCAGTGGTTCTGAACTGGGAATGATTTTGCACCCTAGGTAACATTTAGCAAGGTCTGGAGACATTTATGGTGTCAAAACTGGGGGATACTACTGCTGTTATTTAGTGGGTAGAGGTAGGGATGCTACTAAACATCTTACAATGCACAGGATTACTTTTCCCCTCTCCAACAAAGAATTATTCATACCAAAATATCAGTTGTATCCAGATTGGGAAACCCTGATATACCCCTTAATGCCTTCTTGAGCTTCATCTTCCTCTGAACTATTTAAGAGTAATATCTGGGCAATGTGAGAAATAGGACTCTGTTTTGTTTTCTTCTTGAAATTACATAAAAAGCCTATATCGAAGCTAAGTGGGTCATTTGTTGGTCCATGTTGGGCTATACTTACTTAGACTGGATACAGTTATTATTTTGTTTTTGGATCATACAGCAAATCCTTTTGAAGATGCCTCCCCCTTCTACTCAGGCATCTAAACCTGCCTTTCTGTGGCACACCTTAATTATGTATGCTTTGACCTTTCAGTATTCGGTGCCTAGATCACCCAAACTCTGATTCCCAAGGTCAGCAACAAGCTACAGTGTCAATATCTGCTGATTTTGAACAGAAATCAGCACAGAGGTTTTGGGTGAAATCAACCCAGAGGTTAAGTGAATGGAATACTCAATTTAGTTAGAGTAACTTACTTACTAAATTGATCTGATTTTTATTTTATTTATATTTCTCGATTCTATCTTCTTTCTATTTCTGGTATGAGTACTTAATTTAGATCATTATTTTCTTTTTCATTAAGCATTGCCATCAATAGTTAACTAACATCTTAAATTTTTGGCATTTTTGTCATCTCTCCATCCATTTTACACCTAACAATTACGTTTGTAAAATGTGTTTTCTGATTACACCAATCAATAGTTTCTCCTCACCTACAGGAATGTTTCTCAAACTTGAGTTACGTTTGGAATCTTCTTAAAGTTATTTCATCACTTGTACCATCTTAAATTATTTTATTACAAAATAACTTACATATGGGTAAACTTGAAACTGAATTGATCTTCATTATATTGGGAGCTTAATACAACGATAAAACCAAAACATGTTTTCAAATAAAAAATGAAACAAACTATACAACAAATAAAGATCAAATTTGTCATGTTAACAGTATGACAGTTAACATTGTCCTGAAACTCTAACACTGTTTGTAGTGATCATAGTTCTTTTATTTTCACATGTCTGTGGTTAGTAAGCTTTGGTATGACTCAATTCTTCTAATTCTTTATTTTGTCCCTTGCAAACGAACACTTTAACATAAAAGCTGCATCCATTCTTTTTGCATTAACCCAGGGCAAATAATTGCTATATACCTTTGCAGCTAAAATGCAGAACAAAGATAAACAGAGACACTAGAAATTGATAAGCTGCATCATCCAGGTCTCATATTATTTTTATATTATCATGAAAATAAAAAATTAAAAATGAATTTTGATTTAATTTATTAATAAATTAAAAATTCTCATTGTTAACTCAACAGCAAAGTTTGTGAGTATTAAAACAGCAAAGGTTTTAAATAATGGGAAACACTGACCTGTAGAATTGAGTCAAATGCCATAGCAAAGCATTTAAAGTCCCCAGTGTGCCATTCTTTTCTCATGTCTCCAGGCTCATCTGTTGGGCATTTGTTGCTTCAATGCTTATTACGTAGTGTTACCGAGCTCACCAGATTGCCTTGTCTCTGTATTAATTCCAGCCTGTGTGCTTACGTTTTGCTTCTCCATCTCTGTATTCCTCCCCACCAACAATTTTTGTTTCTGTCTATTTCAAAATAATATTTCAAGATCTAGCTTAGGTATCATCTCTTCTAAAACCATTCCTAGGATCTCAGGATAAAACGCCCCCTCCTCTGTGAACTAAATACACCCTGTGCTAGTTTCTAGCCTACTTCCTTATGTAGAGCAATAATTATTTATTTCTCCACTATACCATAAGCTTCTTTAGAGTAGACATTGTGCTGATGACATCTATCCCAGGCTGTAACGTACAGTAGTTAATAGGTAAATAAATAGCAAAGTACTGTGAACCATTTCCAATTAAAGAGCCATCTCTGGTAACCAGCTTGGTTTTGTTTTGTTTTGTTTTGTTTTGGTTTGGTTTGGTTTGTTTGATCATTTTCCAATACTCAGAGTTGAATACACTTTAAGAAAACATGGTATGGTTGAAGAATTAGTTGGATTTAGAATCAGAGGACTTACATTCACATCCTTTCCTGTCATTTGTTCTTAGGTGTAAAACAAGGTTAAACAGTCATCCTTCCACACCATTTTTTCAGATGTGCAAAATCTTGGCACAATGTCTTAACACACAGGTATATACTCAATAAATGTTAGTTTCCTTACTACACTGTTGTTTTACTTCTTTTGATAGCCTTCAGCGATTTGAAATTATTATCGTTACCAGTGAAGCTTCAGATTTATATACTTCCTTATTGTAGTTAGACTGAGATCAAGTATTAGTTATTTTTTGCAGAAAGAACTTTAAGATGACTACATATAATAGATGACACAATCAGTCTTTCAACTTCAATGAATACTTCACTCCCTTTAACCATTTATATTTATTCAGAACATATTTCTTTTACTGCCATGGGCATGAGGGAACTTTTACTTTGTTTTTACTACCTAGAGAAATCTGTCTTCCTCTATCTTTTTGTAGTCTATTTTTGTCAGAAAGATCTACTTTCAGAAACATTTCCTTTACCTACTATATTATTGAATTTCTTTTTTATGCTTTCATATGGATATTAGAACCTGTAGCTTTAGTTCTTTAGATAATAGGAGTAGGACTTACTGATAACACAAAATTTATTGTAGAGGTATGTAATATGGGTTTAAACAATATGGAAAATTCCTTGAATTTTCTTAGCTTTTACATGTATTTTATAAAGATAAAGATAAGATAGATCTGAAGGCAGTTGAGACGGATGTAGCTGATGCCGACAAGGAAAAGAAAAAGAGCAAAGAGACTGCAGTTTGTTTATTATAGGATGAAATGCCAACTGCAAACTATGGAAGGATTTCCTAAAGGAGAATTCTTAGTAATAGACTTACTGGTTCAAGAAAATTCAGGCTAGATGGAAAAGAAAAGCTTTATAGATATGGGAATAGCCAAAGGATGAACTAAGCTTCTAAGAAATGTGATCAATGTCACTAGAGACAAAGGATCTGAATTTAAATGTAACATCATGAGTATAAGAAAAATGAAATCAATTTGTCATAAAGCAGCAAGCATGAGCCGACCCACTAGAAATCCCTGTTATCACAAATCATTCTTTGGTTATGTGTCTTCCTAAAGAATGAAAGCAATGTGTGGCACAGGTCCTTTTGTACTGGATTAAGGCTGCACCTGTCATACCCTGACCGATGTCACCTTCTGCCTACTCTCTGAATTCAATTCAAATGAAAACCTTGGTGTCTTTGGGTGGGAAGATTCATGACTAACAGGAAACATTTTTTAATATCTTGAACCTCGGAAGAAATTAATTTGGCTCTGGTTGCCCTGTTTGTCACAATCATGATGAGTACCACTTACCATATGGTAGGAAATAAAAGAGAACCTTGGGGTCTTGTTTTCAAAGTTGGAATAAAGTCTTCTGAGCTGGAAAATCTCAGTGAATAGTTATGTTTACAAGTATTGACCTCAGGGCCTTTTATATCTGTGTTGCCTATGTTTGGGCCACAGTTAAGATATGTCATTGCTGAAGACAGAGTGTTGTTTGACAACTTGCACACAGGAAGATAAATTTAAAGAATTATTTTATGTTTCTACTTCCAGATTTCTTGTAACTATCTAAGAAATAAAATAATTTTGGCTATTATGAAATGCACATCTAATTTCATTGTATTTTGGCTTGTTCTTAGCATTCATTTTAGCTTCTTATGAGGATACCAATATTCACTTATATTTCAGATTGGTTTTAAAAAGATCTTTTTATGCTTTTGTGTCAGCTACTTTATATGCAGTTACCTCCCTTGCTCTTGGAGAACTTGCAGTTTATCAGAAGAGAATAAAAAGATAATTCCTTAGGAGAATGACAAGGCAAACCACAGGCTTGAAGAAAGTATTTACAAAATCCATATCGAATTGAGGACTGTTATCCAGAATATACAAAGAACTCTTAAAATTCAACAATAAGAAAATGAACAACCTGAATTTTTAAAATAAGCGAAAGGCCTGAAATAGATACTTCCCAAAGGGGAGATGAAGATGGCAAACAAGCATATAAAAAGATGCTGGACATTATATGTCATCAGGGAACTGCAAATGAAACACCTATTTACCGATTAGAATGGCCCAAATCCAGAACACTAACAACATCAAATGCTGGCCAGGATGTGGAACAAAAGAAACTCTCATTCAGTGCTGGTGGGAACTCAAAATGGTACAGCCACTTTGGAAGGCAGTTAGGCAGTTTCTTATAAAACTAAACAAATTATGTGATTCAGCAATCACGCTCCTTGATTTACCTAAATTAGTTAAAAATATATTCAGACAAAACCCTACCCACAGATGTTTATAGCAACAGCAGTTGTATTCGTACTAATTGAATCTTAGAAGCAATCAAGATGTCCTTCAGTAAAATAATAGATAAATTGTGGTGCATCCAGACAGTGGAATATTAATTAGCACTAAAAAGAAATGCACTCTCGAGCCACAAAAAGATATGAATGAACTTTAAAAGTATATTTTGAAGTGAAAGAAGCCAGTCTGAACAGGTATACTGTATGATTACAACTATATGACATTCTGAAAAAGGCAAAACTGTGGAGACAGTAAAAAGATCAGTGGTTGCCAGGAGTAAGTCAAAACAGAAAGATGAATAGGTGAAACCGAACCATTGCCCTGTAGACTGTTCTTTTTGATAAACATAGAAATTGACCCTTCTAGTGTTAAGAAGCTTGAAACTTTTATTTGTTTTATCTGAGTTCCTTCCTCAGGAAATGACCTTTAGGCCTCTCACAAAAAGTAAAAAAAAAAATGAAACCAGATCACCACACCAGATGCTGGACCCATCATTCACCATGATTGCTTCCTTTCTCTTCCCAAATGCCTGTTTTCTTACACATTTTTACATTTCTTGCCTGCTATATAAAGCCCTGGTTTAAGTCAGGGAGATGGATTTGAAACTGAGCTCCCATCTCCTCTGCTGCAGTACCTGATTAAACCCTTCTTCCTTGGCAATACTTGGTGTCTCAGTGATTGGCTTTCTGTGTGGTGAGCAGCAGGACAGAGACCAAACCTTTGGTGTTTCGGTAACATAAGCAGAGCACAGAGGGCTTTTTAGGGCACTGAAACTATTCTGTATGATACTAAAATGATGGATACATGTCATTATACATTTGTTAAAACCTATAGAATGTACAATATCAGGAGTGAACCTTCATGTAAACTATGGACTTTGGGTAATCATGAAATGTCAATGTAGGTTTATTGATTCCAACAAATGTACAACCCTGGTGGAAGATGTTGATAGCTAGGGAGGCTGTGGGTGTATAGGGTCAGGGTACATGGGAACTCTCAATGTCTTCTGCTCAATTTCGCTGTGAACCAAAACTGCTTCCCCAAAATATTTCTATTTAAAAAGATAATTCCTCAATGTTAAGTGTTATGAAAAAAAGTTTGTAAATTGTGTGATAACCCAGAGACAAAGGGGTGTATTCAACTTAGTGAGATATGGAAAAGACTTCACAGAAGTGGTAACTCTTAGAGCGGAATTTCAAAGGCAAGCAGAATTTTGCCTGTAGGAGGGGGAAGGTAAGTATTACAGTTAAAGAAGGAGAAGGAAAGGGGTTAAGCAGGAGGGAGAAAACGAGGAGGAGGAGAGTGAGGAGGCATGGCGTGTTCTGTGACTTTCTGTCTATTGTAGCCATGTTAATAAGTTTGTAGTCTGTAGAGTCAATGCATTGGATATTTGTGATGAGTAGAAAAGCTAACATTTATTACATGCTTACCTTGTTGTTGTTTTCTTTTGGATTATCACATGTAATAATGTTGAGGCAAAAAGAAGTTAAATAATTGCCCCAAGTTCATATAGCTAATCGGTGGCAAAGCTGGGATTCAAATTCAGATATTGTTATATCAAAACTCACATTCCTGAACACCACTCCAAGGGGTGATGTAGCCAGACATTCAAAGCGGAAGGAATTGAATAAAGATTGGACATCAATGCATATCTTTTCTCTCTTTCCAGCCTCTTTGCAACAAAATAGACCAGTAGCTGAAGGCAACTGCAATCCTTCATGATGTTTCCCTTGGCCAGAAATGCACTAAGCAGTCTCAAGATTCAAAGCATTCTGCAAAGCATGGCAAGACATAGCCATGTAAAACACTCACCAGATTTTCATGATAAATATGGTAATGCTGTGCTAGCCAGTGGAACTGCTTTCTGTGTTGCTACATGGGTGTTTACAGCCACTCAGATTGGAATAGAATGGAACCTATCCCCTGTTGGCAGAGTTACCCCAAAAGAGTGGAAACATCAGTAACCATCACAGTTGCTGTAATGACAGAATTGTTTAAAAAACCAACTTGTCATGTAAGCACTCTACTGCTTATTAAAATATAGCACAATTGAAAAAATAAAATGTGTTTTAAATCTTTAAAAAGTCATTGCAAATGGTCATTATATTGCCTGGGAGCCATACAATAGCAGTGGGTATAGATTACAGGGGATTATGAATAGGAAATATTTGAATGTAGGATTAGTAAAACGTGTATTCCTCTGGTTTAATGACTTACACCAGGTATCTTTCAGTGAATAAATACACATATGTAATTTACAAATTAATTTATTTGGCTGGAAAATCCTGTTGAATCTTCCTTGAAACTCTATAGATGTTTCTTGACTTGGGATTACATCCCAGTAAACCCATTGCAAATTGAAAATGTTGTAAATTGAAAATACAATTAATACCCTACATACGCATTGTAAAGTCAAAAAGTTGAACCATTGTGTGTTCAGATGCTCCTCATTTTATGATGGGGTTACATCTAGATAAACCCCTCAAAGTCAAAAAATCATAGGTTGAGCTATCCTAAGTAGGGGACTATCTGTGTTCAGAAACTGACCATTTTTCACGACCTTCATCATTCCCACCCTGGTCTGAACCATTATATTCATGGAGACTATTATAAAAAACTTTCTAACCAGCCTTCTTGTCTCCACAGTTTCTGTCCTCCAAACCTGCCTCCCACCACCGCACACAATCTTTTTTCAGCTCATCAGCCAGAGTTCATTTTAAAACATAGTCTAGTTCTGTGACTCTTCATTCAAAACCTAATTCTCATTTCATTCCAGAGTTAATGCTAAAGTCCTTAGAAAGGTACACAGGTCCCCTAAATGCTGCACTGGCCAGTTTACCTCCTGCATCAACAGGTTTCTACTGGCTCCTCCCTCTGGGTGGCATGCACTTCTGGGTTCTGTATGACTCCCTCACACCTTTTTGGGTTTTGTTCATGTCATCTTTTCAGAAGAGGGCTTTATCCTTTCTAAAACTGCAGACTTTATTTTGGCCTGGCTTTCTCTCTCTTGCTTCTTTACTTTTTTCTATATCACTTATCATAATCTCACTTAATATATATATTTATTTATTTGAGATGCAGTCTCACTCTGTCGCCCAGGCTGGAGTGCAGTGGCACAATCTCAGCTCACTGCAACCTCTGCCTCCTGGGTTCAGGTGATTCTCCTGCCTCAGGCTCCCGAGTAGCTGGAATTACAGGCACCCACCACCACGCCCAGATAATTTTTGTATTTTTAGTAGAGATGGGTTTTCACCATGTTGGCCAGGCTGGTCTCGAGCTCCTGGCCTCAAGTGATCCACCCGCCTCTGCCTCCCAAAGTGCTGGGATTACAGGCGTGAGCCACCACATGCAGCCCACTCTTAAGATATATTTAACTTATTTATTTGTTTATTGCCTGCATACAAAACTCCATAAAAACATAGGCTTTGCAAATTTTTTTATAAGTTTATCACAGGACTTGGTGGCTTTGAACTAGTTTGAATTAATGCATTAATGAGTGGCTTTAGGTAATTCAGAGTCCCCATCAGTCTGAAATTAAGAATTTGCTTATCATTGTGGGTTGCAATGATTATTGGAAGGCATATTAGTTCTATATTGCTGTTTTGCAAATTATTCCAAAACTCGGTGGCTTAAAACAACACTTATTATCTCATAGTTTCTGCGGGTCAGATCTGAGCATGACTTAGTTGGGTGCTCCTGGCTCAAGATCTGACATTTCTACAACCAAACTGCCAGACAGGGCTGCGATCCTCTCAAGGCACAACTTGGGGAAGAAGCACATCTAAACTCACTCATAAGAATGTTGGCTGGCCTAATGATCTTGCTGAATGTTGACTGGAACATCATTCCTTTCTCATGTGAGTCTCTCCATAGAGCAGCTGATGATATAGTAGCTGGCATCACTTAAGAGTGCGAGAGGGTGCCCCAGACAGGAGCTTTTTGTAACCCAATCTTACACATGACATATCACCTCTACCACATTCTATTCACAAGAAACGAGCCATCAAATCAAGCTGACACACAAGGGGAGGAGATCATACAAGGGCATGATTATCTGATGGCAGGAACCACTTGGCACTATTCTAGGGGATATCTACCACAGTTGGCAGTACAGACCTTCTCCTGCTACTGGATAACCAACTTCAATCAGTCTGTTTCTCAAGCTCTGTTATATATTAGTATCGTTATTCTCTAGATAGAGATGACTAAATGTGCCCAACCCCATTTTTACTATTTGAAAGTTTCTCTATGGTCCCTCCTTGATGTGAAATTGGTAGGTCTTAGGGAGTGCCCATTTACAGTATTTCTAAATCATTCTACAAACTCGTTAAATGGTTTACAGTTTCACCAGCAACGTAAACAACTTCCTCTTGTTCCACCTCCAGACTTACTCTTAGAGTTGTCAAACATTTTAATATTTTTGTTCCTTTGATGAGTGTGAAATAGTAGCTCATGGCTGGGAGCACTGGCTCACACCTGTAATCCCAGCACTTTGGGAGGCTGAGTTGGGCGGATCACGAGGTCAGGAGTTTGAGACTGGCCTGGCCAATATGGTGAAACCCCATCTCTACTAACAATACAAAAAATTAGCTGGGCGTGGTGGTGGGTGACTGTAGTCCCAGCTACTCGGGAGGCTGAGGCAGGAGAATGGCGTGAACCAGGGAGGTGGAGGTTGGAGTGAGTTGAGATCGCGCCACTGCACTCCAGCATGGGCAACAGAGCGAGACTCAGTCTCAAAAAAAAAAAAAAAAAAAAAATACAAAAATGACCCGGGCATGGTGGCGTGTGCCTGTAGTCTAGTCCCAGCTACTTGGGAGGCTGAGGGAGGAGAGTCGTTTGAACCCAGGAGGCGGAGGTTGCAGTGAGCCAAGATTGCACTACTGCACTTCAGCCTGGGCGACAAAGCGAGACTCAGTCTCAGAAAAAAAAAAAAAAAAAAAAAAGAGTAGCTCATGTTTTAATTTGTATTTCTCTGATTACTAATGAGGCTGGATATCCTGTATTAGCTCTTTGCTTTCTTCTATTTTGTGATTTTTGTTTGTTCATGTTGCTGCTTTTCTATTTGGTTATTTGTCTTATTCATAGATTTTTTTGGTATATTTTGCATACTAATTGTATCAGGATTTAATGAGTGAGGCAGAACCAGTATGAGTAGTATGCAATACAGGATTAATTATGGGCATTAAAATGAATGCAAATATGGGAGCTGGGGGAGAACTCTTTAAAATGTTATTGCCTCCATGTCTGGTGTTGAATGGTTCTCAGTAAAGGAAGAAAGCTGCATGTGAAGTAGAGAAGAGCTAGGACCAACTGGAATTGGGAACACTGAAATCAGGAATACAAATTGGAAGGTGTGCCTTTTTCTCACTTTGTCTATCTAAGATGACATGGATGACCTGCAGGAGAAATTGATGCCCTTCACTATAGAGCTGCACATTCAACTGGCCCAGAATTCAAAAAGCTGAAGGAGAACAATTGATGGGATTTTGAATAGCTGTCAGTGTGGCAGGCCAGATCAGCAACAAATTGCATAAGCTGCCACAGTGTTGGTGCTCTATGCCCACTTTCTAAATATAAAATGATTGGTGTTTCATGTTCATCTTTCCTATCTCATACATTGTTTGTTATTCTTGTGGCCAACTCTAATCTGAAAATATAAGGGGAAGGGTGTAAGTAGTTCAAACTTAGCAAAGTTGACACTCAAAGAGCCACAGTAATCTACCCTGTGTCAACTTCACATCAGCGTACATCTTCTCTAAACATACCTATATTTCAAACAGAGTAGCAACACATGCTTCTACTAGCATGATGGCAACCTTTCCTCATAAGACTAAAAACATACTGTTTCCTCTTACTCTCAGGGTGGCACTCTGAATTTCCAGTTTAATGGCACCATTGCTATGATCCGTAGTTGACACCTAAGACTTCTAGAACAGCAAAGCCTAAAGTAATGGAAACAAGAAACAAACATTTCTCTAGTGGATCACTAGGGATAATAGTGAAAGGAACCACTCCCATATTCACCTCTTGATTCCCAGATCTATAAATCCTGGCTCTGGGAAAATAGCACCATGTATTTTTGCTTATTTAGAGCATATTTAGCATTCTGGGAGGCATTACCTCAGCCTTGCAAGGTGGTATTATCCAGCTGTTACTGTAACTAACATTCAAAAAGTTATTACTCCATTCTATCAGTAATGGGAAACATGGCAATACCAGTGACTCCCATAAACATGAGCCCATTGCTGCACTCATTTGCTGTAAAATGAGTTTCTTCACCAAAATCAGTGATGCATGCTATACAGTGATGCTGAATAAGGCATTTTTGCAAGTCCATGGATGACAGTATTTAGGAAGAGTTTTAGGGAGAGTAGATAAATCTACACACTTAGTAAATGTACATTCACGCAAAAACAAAGTGCTGCCTTTTCAACAATGGAAATGGTCCAATGGAATCAACCTGACACTGATGGCTGCGTGATCCTCTCCCTTCCCCCAAGAAATGGTGCCAAATGGAGATGCAGTGTTGGTCTATTTGGTAGGTTGGGAACTTAGCAGTGACTATAGCCAGACTAGCCTTGATAAGTGGAACTCCCATGTTGTTGAGCCCGTGCCCAACCTCCATTTCTGCTGACATGGTCATTTTGTCTCTGAGGCATTGTGAAAACACAGGATTGCTAGGAAAGGCTGATGGACGTAAGAATGGGTCATCTTGTCCACCTGATTTTTGAGATACTCCTCTGCTGATTATCCTTTTGGTGAGCATTGATATGGAACATGAATATCTTCCACTCTGTGCCCATTTGGAGAAGTCTGCACACAAAATCCATTCCCAGACTTCTTTTCACACATTTTGTAATAGTGTCTCTTCTAATTTCCCAACTATCCTGTCAAGCCCTTTGCTGGAACCCATGACTCAGTGTAGAATTGTATCTTTGGCCATCTCTCCCTCCAGGCAAAATGAACAACTATGTACATTATTTAATGCACTGCCCACCAGGAAAATTTCCCTTTTCCTTTAGGGCCAACATGGAGTTAAATTACATGGCTGAAGCTGTCTACATTCAGGTATGGTCGGTCAGCATATCTTGCAGAACCAGACTTGAATTTTTTCTTCTTTGGACAGCTCATGATAGGAAGTCCTACTTGTAAACTTTAGGTTCAAAGTGACATGAAACTTTCTTAAACACACAGCTTACAAAGAATGGAGCCAGGACTCAAGCCCATATCTCCCTGGCTTTAGAATCTGTTCTTTTACTTGCATGTTACACTGTTTACCAGTCTTTCTTCATATATGTAAGTGGCAAGTTCTGTAGAAGGATTCAACTCGAGCTAGAAAAGACAGGAAGTCATTGTAGATTGTTGTAAAAATTATGGGAAGTAAGATCAAGAGAGTGCATCAGACTGCAAATGGGGATATAAAATACATATGGAATATAATGAGGGGTTTTTTTGTTGTTTTTTGTTGTGGTTTTTTTGTTTGTTTGTTTTTTGAGATGGAATCTCAGCTCACTGCAACATTTGCCTCCCAGGTTCAAGTGATTCTCCAGCCTCAGCCTCCCAAGTAGCTGGGATTACAGGCACGTGCCACCACGCCCAACTAATTTTTGTATTTTTAGTAGAGACAGGGTTTTGCCATGTTGACCAGGCTGGTCTCGAACTCCTGAACTCAGGTGATCCACCCACCTCGGCCTCCCAAAGTGTTGGGATTACAGGTGTGAGCCACCACACCCAGCCTGGTTTTTGTTTTTAAACAGAGTCTCGCTGTGAGGCCCAGGCTAGAGTGCAGTGGTGTGATCTTGTCTCATTTGGTTCAAGTGTTTCTCATGCCTTAGCCTCCCTAGTTGCTGGGACTGCAAGCATGCACCACCATGCCTGACTAATTTTTTGTATTTTTAGTAGAGACAGCGTTTCACCCTGTTGCCCAGGGTGGTCCCAAACTCCTGAGCTCAGGCAGTCTGCCCGCCTCGGCCTCCCAAACTGCTAGGATTACAGGCATGAGCCACCACGCCTGGCCATAGTGAGCATTTTTAAATGATAGTTTTCTTAACTTTATCTTGAATATTTTCTGATTTGAAATTAGGATTAAAGTCTACCTCTTTGGGTTTATATATCTATATATGTAAGTTCATGTCTGAGGGAGAGAGAGTGTGCATGTGTATGTATCTATATATCTGTCTTTATAGATAGGTATAGATATATATGTATACATACGCATAAGTATTTTTTTTTTTTTTTGAGACAGAGTTTCACTCTATTGCCCAGGCTGGAGTACAGTGTCACGATCTTGGATCACTGCAACTTCTGCCTCCCGGGTTCAAGGGATTCTCATGCCTCAGCCTCCCAAGTAGCTGGCATTACAGGCGTGCACCACCATGGCTGGCTAATTTTTGAAATTTTAGTAGAGATGGGGTTTCACCATTTTGGCCAGACTGGTCTCAAACTCCTGACCTCAAGTGATCCACCCGCCTCAGCCTCCCAAAGTACTGGGATTACAGGTGTGAGCCACCACACCTGGCCTACACATCTGTATTTTTAAGATCAAAATTATTTTAGGAGCATATATATGCCTAAAATTATTATTACATCTAAATTTTTGGCCACAGATTTCTTATAATCAAACTTAGATGTTGATTTTAGTTACTGTTTCTTTTCTTTCTTTCTTTTTTTTTTTTTTTGAGAAAGGGTCTCACTCTGTCACCCAGGCTGGAGTGCAATGGCACAATCGCTGCTCACTGCAACCTCCACCTCCTGGGTTCAAGCAATTCTCCTGCCTCAGCCTCCTGAGTAGCTGGGATTACAGGCACATGGCACCACACCCAGCTAATTTTTGTATTTTTAGTTGAGATGGGTTTCACCATGTTAGTTAGGATGGTCTCCATCTCCTGACCTCAAGTGATCTGCCCTCCTCAGCCTCCCGAAGTGCTGGGATTATAGGCATGAGCCACCATGCCCAGATGATTTTTTTTTTACTGTTTCTAACCTTTCTCACTGGAATTATATTCAGGCCATATGTAAACCATAAAAATTATAAAAAATGCGAGGTCTGTTCCAAGATGGCTGAATAGGAACAGCTCCAGTCTGCAGCTCCCAACATGATTGATGCAGAAGCCAGCTGATTTCTACATTTCCAACTGAGGTACCTGGTTCATCTCAATGGGACTGGTTGGACAGTGGGTGCAGCCCTCAGAGGGCGAGCCAAAGCAGGGTGGGGCATCGCCTTACCTGGGAAGCTCCTTGCCAGCAACAGAACAAAGCTGGATGGAGAATGACTTTGATGAGTTGACAGAAGTATGCCTTAGAAGGTCGGTAACAACAAACTTCTCTGAGCTAAAGGAGGATGTTAGAACCCATCACGAGGAAGCTGTGAAAAAAGCTGTGAAAAACCTTGAAAAAAGATTAGATGAATGGCTAACTAGAATAAACAGTGTGGAGAAGACCTTAAATGACCTGATGGAGCTGAAAACAATGGCACAAGAGCTATGTGACACATGCACAAGCTTCAGTAGTCGATTTGATCAAGTGGAAGAAAGGATATCAGTGACTGAAAATCAAATTAATTAAATGAAGTGAGAAGATTAGAGAAAAATGAGTAAAAAGAAACAAATGAAGCCTCCAAGAAATATGGGACTATGTGAAAAGACCAAATCTACGTTTGATTGGTGTACCTGAAAGTGATGAGGAGAATGGAATCAAGCTGGAAAACACTCTTCAGGATTATCCAGAACTTCCCCAACCTAGCAAGGCAGGCCAACATTCAAATTCAGGAAATACAGAGAACACCACAAAGATACTCCTCAAGAAGAGCAACTCCAATACACATAATTGTCAGATTCACCAAGGTTGAAATGAAGGAAAAAATGTTAAGAGCAGCCAGAGAGAAAGATCAGGTTACCCACAAAGGGAAGCCCATCAGACTAACAGCGGATATCTCGGCAGAAACTCTACAAGCCAGAATAGAGTGGGGGCCAATATTCAACATTCGTAAAGAAAAGAATTTTCAACCCAGAATTTCATATCCAGCCAAACTAAGTTTCGTAAGTGAAGGAGAAATAAAATCCTTTACAGACAAGCAAATGCTGAGAGTTTTGTCACCACCAGGCCTGCCTTACAAGTGCTCCTGAAGGAATCAATAAACATGAAAAAGAATAATAAGAGCTATTTATAACAAACCCACAGCCAATGTCATACTGAATAGGCAACCAGCCACTGCAAAAACATGCCAAATTGTAAAGACCATTGATACTAGGAGGAAACTGCATCAACTAATGGGCAAAATAACCAGCTAACATCATAATGACAGGATCAAATTCACACATAACAATATTAACCTTAATGTAAATGGGCTAAATGCCCCCAATTAAAAGACACAAATTGGCAAACTGGATAAAGAGTCAAGACCCATCAGTGTGCTGTATTCAGGAGACCCATCTCACGTGCAGAGACACACATAGGTTCAAAATAAAGGGATGGAGGAAGATCTACCAAGCAAATGGAAAGCAAAAAAAAGCAGGGGTTGCAATCCTAGTCTGCAATCCTAGTCTCTGATAAAACAGACTTTAAACCAACAAAGTTCAAAAGAGACAAGGCCATTACAGAATGGTAAAGGGATCAATTCAACAAGAAGAGCTAACTGTCCTAAACATATATGCACCAAATACAGGAGCACCCAGGTTCATAAAGCAAGTTCTTAGAGAACTATAAGAGACTTAGACTCCCACACAATAATAATGGGAGACTTTGGCCAGGCATGGTGGCTCACACCTGTAATCCCAGCACTTTGGAAGGCCGAGGTGGGCGGATCTTGAGTTCAGGAGATTGAGACCATCCTGGCTAACATGGTGAAACCCTGTCTCTAATAAAAATACAAAAAAAAATTTAGCCGGGTGTGGTGGTGGGCGCATATAGTCCCAGCTACTTGGGGGGCTGAAGCAGGAGAATGGCATGAACCCAGTAGGCAGAGCTTGCAGTGAGCCAAGATCATGCCACTGCACTCCAGCCTGGACGATGGAGCAAGACACTGTCTTAAAAAAAAAAAAGGGAGACTTTAACACCTCACTGTCAGTATTAGATCAACGAGACAGAAGGTTAACAAGGATATCCAGGAATTGAACTCAGCTCTGCACCAAGCAGACCTAATAGACATCTACAGAACTCTCCACCCCAAATCAACAGAATATACATTCTTCTCAGCACCACATCACACTTATTCCAAAATTGACCACATAGTTGGAAGTAAAGCACTCCTCATCAAATGTAAAAGAACAGAAATCACAACAAACTGCCTCTCAGACCACAGTGCAATCAAATTAGAACTCAGGATTAAGAAACTCACTCAAAACTGCACAGCTACATGGAAACTGAATAACCTGTTCCTGAATGACTACTGGGTAGATAACAAAATGAAGGCAGAAATAAAGATGTTCTTTGAAACCAGTGAGAACAAAGACACAACATACTAGAATCTCTGGGACACATTTAAAGCAGTGTGTAGAGCTGGTTTTTTGAAAAGATCAGCAAAATTGATAGACCACTAGCAAGACTAATGAAGAAAAGAGGGAAGAATCAAATAGACAAAATAAAAAATGATAAAGGGGATATCACCATCAATCTCACAGAAATACCAATTACCATCAGAGAATACTATAAACACCTCTATGCAAATAAACTAGAATATCTAGAAGTAATGAATAAATTCCTGGAAACATATGCCCTCCCAAGACTAAACCAGGAAGAAGTTGAATCACTGAATAGACTAATAACAGGCTCTGAAATTGAGGCAATAATTAATAGCCTACCAAACAAAAAAAAGTCCAGGGCCAGACGGATTCACAGCCAAATTCTACCAGAGGTACAAGGAGGAGCTGATACCATTCCTTCTGAAAATATTCCAATCAATAGAAAAAGAGGGAATCCTCCCTGACTCATTTTACGAGGCCAGCATCATCCTAATACCAAAGCCTGGCAGAGACACAACAAAAAAAGCATTTTAGACCAAAATCCCTGATGAACGTCAATGTGAAAATCGTCAATAAAATACTGGCAAACCAAATCCAGCAGCACATCAAAAAGCTTATCCACCAAGATCAAGTTGGCTTCATCCCTGGGATGCAAGGCTGGTTCAACATACACAAATCAATAAATGGAATCCATCACATAAACAGAACCAAAGAAAAAACCACACAATTATCTCAATAGATGCAGAAAAGGCTTTTAATGAAATTCAACAGCTCTTCATGCTAAAAACCCTCAATAAACTAGGTATTGATGGAACGTATCTCAAAATAATAAGAGCTATTTATGGCAGTTTTCCTCAGCTTTGGGTGGTGGCCGCTGCCGGGCATCGGCTTCCAGTCCGCGGAGGGCGAGGCGGCGTGGACAGCGGCCCCGGCACCCAGCGCCCCGCCGCCCGGAAGCCGCGCGCCCGTCCGCCGCGCCCCGAGCCCGCCGCTTCCTATCTCAGCGCCCTGCCGCCGCCGCCGCGGCCCAGCGAGCGGCCCTGATGCAGGCCATCAAGTTTGTGGTGGTGGGAGACGGAGCTGTAGGTAAAACTTGCCTACTGATCAGTTACACAACCAATGCATTTCCTGGAGAATATATCCCTACTGTCTTTGACAATTATTCTGCCAATGTTATGGTAGATGGAAAACCGGTGAATCTGGGCTTATGGGATACAGCTGGACAAGAAGATTATGACAGATTACGCCCCCTATCCTATCCGCAAACAGATGTGTTCTTAATTTGCTTTTCCCTTGTGAGTCCTGCATCATTTGAAAATGTCCGTGCAAAGTGGTATCCTGAGGTGCGGCACCACTGTCCCAACACTCCCATCATCCTAGTGGGAACTAAACTTGATCTTAGGGATGATAAAGACCCGATCGAGAAACTGAAGGAGAAGAAGCTGACTCCCATCACCTATCCGCAGGGTCTAGCCATGGCTAAGGAGATTGGTGCTGTAAAATACCTGGAGCGCTCGGCGCTCACACAGCGAGGCATCAAGACAGTGTTTGACGAAGCGATCCGAGCAGTCCTCTGCCCGCCTCCCGTGAAGAAGAGGAAGAGAAAATGCCTGCTGTTGTAAATGTCTCAGCCCCTCGTTCTTGGTCCTGTCCCTTGGAACCTTTGTACGCTTTGCTCAAAAAAAAAAAAAAAAACCAAGAAAAAAAACGGTGGAGCCTTCGCACTCAATGCCAACTTTTTGTTACAGATTAATTTTTCCATAAAACCATTTTTTGAACCAAAAAAAAAAAAAGAGCTATTTATGATAAACCCAAAGCCAATTACATACTGGATGGGCAAAAACTGGAAGCATTCCCTTTGAAAACTGGCACAAGACAGGGATGCCCTCTTTCACCACTTCTATTCAACATACTGTTGAAGTTCTGGCCAGGGCAATCAGGCAGGAGAAAGAAATAAAGGGTATTCAATTAGGAAAAGGGGAAGTCAAATTGTCCCTGTTTGCAGATGACATGGTTGTATGTTTAGAAAACCCCATCGTCTCAGCCCCAAATCCCCTTAAGCTGATAAGCAACTTGAGCAAAGTCTCAGGATACAAAATCAATGTGCAAAAATCACAAGCATACTTATACACCAATAACAGACAAACAGAGAGCCAAATCATGAGTGAACTCCCATTCACAATTGCTAAAAAGAGAATAAAATACCTAGGAATCCATCTTCCAAGGGATGTGAAGGACCTCTTCAAGGAGAACTACAAACCACTGCTCAAAGAAATAAAAGGGGACACAAACAAATGGAAGAACATTCCATGCTCATGGAGAAGAAGAATCAATATCATGAAAACGGCCATACTGCCCAAGGTAATTTATAGATTCAATGCCATCCCCATGAAACTACCAATGACTTTCTTCACAGAATTGGAAAAAACTACTTTAAAGTTCACATGGAACCAAAAAAGAGCCTGCATTGCCAAGACAATCCTAAGCAAAAAGAACAAAGCTGGAGGCATCACACTACCTGACTTCAAACTATACTACAAGGCTATAGAAACAAAAACAGCATGGTACTGGTACCAAAACAGAGATATAGGCCAATGGAACAGAACAGAGCCCTCAGAAATAACACCACACATGTACAACCATTTGATCTTTGACAAACCTGACAAAAACAAGAAATGGGGAAAGGAGTCCCTATGTAATAAATGGTGCTGGGAAAATTGGCTAGCCATATGTAGAAAGCTGAAACTGGATCCTTTCCTTACACCTTATACAAAAATTAATTCAAGGTGGATTAAAGACTTAAATGTTAGACCTAAAACCATAAAAACCCTAGAAGTAAACCTAGGCAATACCATTCAGGACATAGGTATGGGCAAGGACTTCATGACTAAACACCTAAAGCAATGGCAACAAAAGCCAAAATTGACAAATGGGATCTAATGAAACTAAAGAGTTTCTGCACAGCAAAAGAAACTACCATCAGAGTGAACAGGCAACCTACAGAATGGGAGAAAATTTTTGCAATCTACCCATCTGACAAAGGGCTAATATCCAGAATCTACAAAGAACTTAAACAAATTTACATGAAAAAATCAAACAACCCCATCAAAAAGTGGGCAAAGGATATGAACAGACACTTCTCATAAGACGACATTTATGCAGCCAACAGATACATGAAAAAATGCTCCTCATCACTGGCCATCAGAGAAATGCAAATCAAAACCACAATGAGATACCATCTCACACCAGTTAGAATGGCGATCATTAAAAAGTCAGGAAACAGCAGGTGCTGGAGAGGATGTGGAGAAATAGGAACACTTTTACACTGTTGGTGGGAGTGTAAACTAGTTCAACCATTGTGGAAAACAGTGTGGTGATTCCTCAAGGATCTAGAACTAGAAATACCATTTGACCCAGCAATCCCATTACTGGGTATATACTCAAAGGATTATGAATCGTGCACACAAAGGATTATAAAGACACATGCACATGCATGTTTATTGTGGCACTATTTACAATAGCAAAGACTTGGAACCAACCCAAATGTACATCAATGATAGACTGGATTAAGAAAATATGGCACATATACACCATGGAATACTATGCAGTCATAAAAAAGGATGAGTTCATGTCCTTTGTAGGGACATGAATGAAGCTGGAAACCATCATTCTCAGCAAACTATCACAAGGACAGGAAACCAAACACCGCATGTTCTCACTCATAAGTGGGAATTGAACAATTTGGACACAGGGCAGGGAAGATCACACACCGGGGCCTGTTGTGGGTTGGGGGGTGGGGGAGGGATAGCATTAGGATAAATACCTAATGTAAATGATGAGTTAATGGGTGTAGCAAACCAACATGGTACACATATACATATGTAACAAACCTTCACGTTGTGCATATGTACCCTAGAACTTATGTATAATAAAAAAAGTTTTAAAAAATGCAAGCCATATTGCTGTTCTCTGTGTATTTGAAAACTAACTTTTGAATAAGTTTTTCAAATTACCAGCCACAACATCAATGTTATATTGCCTCACACTCTTCTTGGAAATTACATTAGTATATATTATTATTATGAGAAAAATGTTACTTGACGGTTACTCAAAGCTTCGTTTTGACATGTGTTCTTCCTTTATTTGGAAAAACTGTGCTACTAGGGCTATGTTTTGCCATTACAGTGTGGATAAGTGTGAATAATAAGTGTACAGAGAAAAGTTAGAATTTGCCATATCAATGTGCCATGACAGTTGTTAAAGGATTAATTTTTTTTTCCCATTTGAAATACATGGTAATCCTGTAAAGTCCATAAGCTGGTCATTTACCCTATTGAATAGATGTTTACCTATTATTAGCCATGGGTTGGTTAAGTGACAAGGAAGTCACTTAAAAATAGAGATAGAAATAGAATCCACCTCTCTTGCCTTGTAGTCTACTGCTCCTTTGGGAATTTCACATACTTCCTCCAACCAGACAACCTTGATCTCATCCTAAGTGATGATGGTAAGTGGATAGATAAATAGTGTATCTGCATGCCAACTACTGGGATCATTGGTAAGTACAAGAATTAGGCTGGTGAATAAGGCCAATATGAGGCTGTGTGTTTGATCAGTACAATTTATGTGCAGCCGCTTTAATGGGATTTGAATGTTAGGTCCAGTATTTACTGGTTCACAGCTTCATCACTAATAGTAAAATCTATCCAAAAAACTGTATGGGTATGGATGTTGGTCTCAGGTGTTGAACAATGGATAAAGTGATATATCTCTGCCATGGAATTTTACTCATGTACTGACTTAACAAATGTACTGTGTGACATCTTTAAAGATTTGATGTAAGGAAAAGGAAGTGGAGATTGCAAGCCAGTTATCAGTAATCATTGCTAAAACATGTTTCATTAAAACCCCTTTTAAACGAGTGTCTGCTAATTTGGGAAATTATTCACGTATCATGATAGTTCCTCATTTATTACAAATGCAGCAAAGTGCATACATGTATAACATACATCATAAAATCTTTCATGTTTTGCAGTAACAGCAGTTGTTTTCCTTAGGTGATGACATTAATTTGAGCATTATTTCTTATTTTTTAATAACCTTTTACATTACAAAAAAATCTGCAACTTCATTTTCTTCCCCTATCTGGAAACCATAGAAACCAATGTGAAATTATAGCTAAGAAGCTCGTCACTGGGCTATCTCAAGCTGATCTCCATGGAAACATTTCACATTCTTGAAAGGAAAGATCTTCCAATCAGACACACAACCATAACTGATGGGTGTCTGACAAATATAACAAGAAGAAGAAAGAAGTATATAGATATTTTATTGGATAATATATGCAGGAGAGTTTTTAAACTACTTCAAAAATAACATTTAAATGGTAAATATGATGCCAACTACAGAAATAAAGTAGAATACAGTTTTGAAAAAAAATTCTGTCTGTCTGTTACTCTTCTTACATATTGTTCTTTCTAGATTTTTGCATTAAAGACAACTTCCTAAAATAGTATGGACTTTGGATTCAGAAAAATCTGTATTCAGAGGCTAAATCAGCCCTTTAGCTAACTGGCTTATCACTCCCATTTTCTTATTATAAAGTTGAGGGGAATACCTGATTTACAGAATTTGAGGATTCCATTAGTTAAAATAAATGCTTAATAAGTAATCATAAAGTTTTATCTGGTGAAATGAATAATTGAGTAAAGGAAGTATTGACAATAAGGATGATGATAATGTTGATCATGGTTTCAACTTTGTAAAGAATGGTTATTAAGGGGTAGTACTTAAATATGAATGCCACATTCTCTAATGTAAAGAGCTCTATTATTTAACTTTGATAGTATAAAGACTGTTCCTAGTTCAAAATTTGGATAATCTCCAAAAATTCACTTTTATGATTGTTTGGAGGTTGGATCACATGAATGGGGTAGAGGAAACAGCTTCTTCATATTGTAGGATTGGACTCTAAAAATAAACCTGTTAAGGTAAAAGTTATATTTTCAAAATTATCTTAAATTACACATATAACTTATACATATAATTTTAATATAGCTTTCTCTTACGCATGTATAAAATGTATATAGTAATATACATTTGCCAAGGCATATACATGATGAATAGAGTTGGACAGTAGACTCAGAGTGTCAGGATGTGCCCTTTTGTGACAGCGAAGTGCAACCAAGGAGCATGTAGACTTATTGAGCAGAAAAATAGATGGAATTTTCAGCCCTATATACATTTTTTCTGTCCTTTTTTGTCTTTGTGATTCTATATCTATATTCCAGTCTCTTTAGTTTCTCCCTGCCTTTCTCTCTGTTTGCCTTTCCACTGTCTCTGTTCCTATCTTTGTCACAAAGCCTCTATAGTTGAATCTAATTAAGTTAAATACATATATGATGTGATTCCACTATATTACCATAGAAACAATATTAAAATTAAGCAGTTTTTAAACTATCTTTGCTGCAACACATGCTGAATAGTGGATGTACGACAAATTTCTATGCATATATTCAGAATTTGATTTTTCAAAAATAGGCAGGGAAATAAATTGATAGAAACAAATGTGGGTTAAGAAGTCATAGGTATTTATTAAATTATTTTAGGCATACATAATTAAATTGACTATATAATTTCTCAAATGACTGTTAATTTTAAGGAAATAACTAGAGATTCGTAGGCCATGTGTAAATTTTGATTAACCCAGGTAAGCAAATGAAGTTTGCAGTTACCACAAATTTCAAATACGTTATATTTGGCCCCACACCAATGAAACATTGAGACAGAAATACTGGTATGTAAGACAAGCATATACTAGGAATAACCTTAACCTTAAATTCTCTCCCAACTTCTTTCTTTTCCTTTGTTTATAGAGATGAGGTCTCACTCTGTCATGTAGGCTGGAGGGCAGTGTTGCGATTATATCTCACTGCAGCCTTGAACTCCTGGGCTCAAGTGATATTTCTGCCTCAGCCTCCCAAGTAGCTGGGATTGTGAGTCACCATCCCTGGCTTAACTTGAGTATTTAACTCTTACAATTATAATAATAGGGTACTCACAACAGTCTATTATTATTGCATCAACTGATGTAATGAGAATGGTGATTAAGTTCACAGATCACCCTAACAAAGTTTGTGTATCTCATAAGTTCCCTAACTTGTCTACAATTTAACAGTTCCAGTAACTCCATAAATTACTACCCAAGAATACAAAAGCAATAGAGGTTATCATCCCCCATTGAATGGGATAGGACTTCTGACCTTACACCATTTCAGAAAAGTTATTCATATGTTAATTACTTGTAAGTAACTGCTCAGTTCTCTCGTATATGTGAATATTCAACTTGTCAACATATTTACAAAGTACTAAATCTGAAATGCAAATACATTTGAATTATGCTTTTATTATGTTCCTACTGTGACAACATGAAATGTATTTGTTGAACATGATAATTATTTTGTAAAATTAAAAAAATAGTATTCATTTTACTTTACCTTGATGGAACAATATTGAAATTTAGTCATTTTCAAATTTTTGATTTTTTGGTAAAAAAAAAAGTAGAGTTATCTTTTTTTCTTTTTTTATTTGATATGGAGCCTCTCTCTGTCACTCAGACTGGAATGCAGTGGCATGATCTTGGCTCACTGCAACCTTAGCCTCCTGGGTTCAAGCGAGTCTCATACCTCAGCCTCCTGAATAGCTGAGATCACAGGTGTGTGCCACCACACGTGGCTAATTTTTTTTTTTTTTTTTGTATTTTTAGTAGAGACAGGACTTTGCCATGTTGGCCAGGCTGGTCTCGAACTCCTGACCCCAAATGAACTGCCTGCCTCAGCCTCCCAAAGTTCTGGGATTACAGACATGAGCCCACTGCACCCAGCTCGTGTTTTCTTTATTTGCTAAATGTTACACAGCTGAAAAGTGACCAATTCTTGAGCTATTTCCTAATATGTGAGGAAATTTAGAATGGTGGGTTTTGTGAAATACAATTGTAAGAAGAGAAATATATTGTTTGGAGATACTTAATCTGATATATGAAAATTTTAAGCAATATTATTCACTTGGTCTTAAGTATAACTCATTTATATAGTCATTCAGCTAATAGTTTGCATTTCTTACCCTTTAGAAATTAGTAACATACTGGATTGTGTTACAAGTACCCTATGGAATTGAATTACTAAAATTTGAAGTGATTGTGGGGAAGAAAGTGGCAAAATAACAGAAAGCATCTTCCTTTATGAATTAGTCCCAAATGCAAGCCACATTTCATTTTCATTAGGTGGAACTGATCATTTGATGAAGGTATCTTGTCACGAGCCAATCTCTCTTTGGAGCTACAAATTTGTTAGGTTTGTCTATGGTTAGTTACATACAGTAAAGTGAAGCTGAATAGAGAGACCAGAAATGCAGCCTCAAAAAATAGAAGTTTATTTCTCTCCGATTTACCATTCCAGTTTAAGCAAACACTTCAGAGCAGTAGGTTGAATACACCATAGAAATGACTTTCATAAAACAGAAGCCACAGAAGACTCAAGGACAAATAAAAAACATCAATGACTGAAAGGAGAGTTAAACATTTCTAAAGCCAAAACAGATCATGTTCTAACATTGCCCCACAACAATATAGTTATAAAATTCTAAACAACAAAATTATGTATGTGTAGTTGAAATAATATAAATACCATTATTTGAACATACTGCAATTAAAACAAAAAAAAATCCCAAATTATAAAACAGAAAGCTCCTTCCACTTGTAATTTAAAAACAACAACAAAAACTCTGTTAAACAACTTGTGTTAGGGTTCTCCAGAGAATCAAAACCACTTGTGTGTGTGTGTGAGTGTGCATGTATGTACATATTATATTGATATGTTTTGGCTCTGTGTCCTCACCTAAATCTCGTCTTGAATTGTAATCCCTATAATCTCCACGTGTCAAGGGAGGGAACTGGTAGGAGGTGATTGAATCATGGGGGCAGTTTCCCCCATACTATTATTGTGATAGTGAATTCTCGTGAAATCTGATAGTTTTATAATGGGCTCTTACCTCTTCACACACTCTCTCTCTCCTGCCATCATGTTCCTGCTTCCCCTTCCTCCATGATTGCAACTGTCCTGAGGCCTCCCCAGCCATGTGGAACTGAGTCAATTAAACCTCTTCTTTTAATAAATTACCCAGTCTCAGGTATTTCTTTACAGCAGTGTGAAAATGGACTAATATATGTATGTATTAGAATACATATGTATTCTATATATAGATGTATTATATATACATATATGATGCACATATATGTATACATTATATATACACATATATATGTGTGTACATAGTATATCTATAGAAGGACATTTGTTGTAATAAACTGGCACAGTTTTGGGGCCTAAAACATCCTTAGATCTGCAGGTGGCAAGTTAGAGACCTAGGAGGGCCATTGTGTAGTTATATTATGTATATGTACATATATATGTAATACACATATACATACACATATGCATATGGTATATGTATATACACACACACATATAGAAAGATATATATTTACCAAACTGACTGACATGATTATGGAGGCTAAGAAGTCTTGAGACCTGCAGTTGGCAAGCTGGAAACCCAGGAGAGCCCACATTTAGTTCCAATTCAAGTCCAAAGTCCTAAAAACCAAGATAGCCTACGGTATAAGTTCCAATTCAAAATCCAGAAGGCCCAAGACCCAAGAAAAGCTGATGCTTCAGGATGAGCCCAAAGATCAGAAAGGACTATGTCCGAGTTCAACAGACAGTAGGGGGAGTTCTTTCTCATTCATGGGACTATTGGGTTTTTTGTTCTATTAAGGCTTCAACAGATTGGATGAAACCCACCCACACTGGGGAGGGCAATTTGCTTTACTCCGTTTACTGATTTAAACATTAATGTCATTGAAATAGTCCCTCACAGACACACTCAGAATAAAGTCTGACCAAATATCTGTGTACCCTGTGACTCCATCAAGTTGACACATAAAATTAACCATCACATGACTGTTGTGCTGGAGAGAATATACTAAAATTTCAGACCCAAGAAATAAAGGATCACGAGAATGCAGTATTCAGAATTGGTGGGATATAGCAAAGTTTAGGTATTAGAGAAAAATTACAGATTATATAAATACCTATAACAATAAAAATGAAAAGTGTATTAAATACTCAACTGCAAGGAACAAGAAAATTTTAGAAAGGACTATACAAACAAAAATCAAGCAGAACTGACTCCAAAACTGAAATATATAGCAAACAGAACACCATTAAGAACTAACAATAAATCCAGAAGTAAACCCTATTATTTGAAATTATCAACTAGACTAAATGAACAACTAGACGAATGTTTTTAAAAAGTGAAGGGCAGGAACATAAATACAGAAAATTGGAAATGGCAATGTTTCCTTCTCAACTGAAGGAAGAATACCACAGATTATTCTGCATACCTCTATGCAAATATATTTGAAAATCTAGATAAAATGAATAATATTTAATTATAAGACAGCTATCAAAGAAATGTACAAGATACAAATAAATGGAAGTATCCTTCCATTTATTATTCTATGTTTATAGATTAGAAAAATTTATTACTTTATTTTTCATTATCTTATGTTTATGGATTAGAAGAATTGATATTGTTAAATCTGCATAATACCCAAAGCAATCTACAGATTCAGTGTTATTCTTATCAAAATTCCAATGGCTTTTCAGAGAAATGGAAAAAAAAATCCTAAGATTCACATGAAACCACAAAAGACCTTCAATAGCTAAAGCAATTTTGAGAAAGGACAAAGCTGGATAACCATCACACTTCTTGATTTCAAACTATATTACACAGCTATAATCATCAAAATATTATGCTGCTAGCATAAAAACAGGCACACAGGCCAATGGATTAGAGAGCCCAGAAATAAACCCACACATATATGGTTAACTAATTTTTGATTAGAGTTCCAAGAATATACAATGAGTAAAGGATAGTCTCTTTAACAGTCTAGGGAAAACTGGACATCTACATGCAAAAGCAGAAACTGTGCCCTCATTTTACACTGTATACAAAATTAACTTCAAATAGATTAAAAGCTTAAATAGCAAATTTGCCATTTAAGATCTAGAACTATAAAACTTCTAGAAGAAAACATGAAAAAAGCACTTTGACATAGGTCTTGGCAATGGTGTTTTAGATATGGCACCATAGGCACAGACCACAAAAGCAAAAATAAACAACTTGGACTATATCAAACTTAAAAGCAAAATCAACAATCAACAAAATGAAAAGGGAAACCACAAATTGGAAGAAAATATTTGCAAATCATGCCTCTGGCAAGGAGTTAATATCCAAAATAAAGGAAGTCACAAAACTTGGTAGAAAAGAACCAAATAACCCAATTTTAAAATGCTCAAAGGACTTGAATAGACATACAAAAGGCCAACAGGTATATGAAAAGGTGCTCAACAGAACAAATCATCATTCAAATGCAAATCAAAACCACAAATATCACCTCACACATTAGAATGTCATTATCAAAAAGACAAGAGACAAGAAGTGTTGGTGAGGGTGTGGAAAAAAGGGAACCCTGGTACCCTGTTGGTGGGACTGTAAATTGGTGCAGCCATTGTCAAAAACAGTACAAAGTTACCTAAAAAAAAATAAAAACTACAACTATCATATAACTACCATCCCAGTTATTCTTCTTGTATATCCAAAGGAAATGAAATTAGTGTCTCAAAGAGATATCTGCACCAGCATTATTCACAATTGTTAAGATATGGAAACAATTCATGTCTATTAAAGGATGAATGGATAAAGAAAATGTGATATATATATGTGTGTGTGTGTGTTGTGCACACACACAATGGAATGTTACTTATTCATAATATAGGAGATCCTGCCATTTGGACAATATGGGTAAGCCTAAAAAACACTATGCTAAGTGAAATAAGTCATGTGTAAAAGGACAAATACTGCATGATCTCACTTATATGTGAAATCTAAAAAAGTTGCCTTGAAGCAGAGATTAGAATGGTGGTTACCAGGGGCTGGGGGTGAGGGAAATGTGGAGATTTTTGGTGGAGGGGAAGAGTAATTTCCTAGCAAAATACAATTTGTCAAAATGAAATGATCCTAAAACATACAAAGTTTAAACATATTTACCTTAGGATAAATAGAGGAAACTGAAATTACTCAACAAAACCAAACCAAAATCAAGAATAAACCTGAACGGGTCCAGAGGAGAATTTTGCCAAAATTTGAAAATAAGAAAATCATAAGGCTGTCTAAACTCTTCTAGAACAGAGGTAATAAAGAAAAACCCAAATTCATATCAGGAAGCAATTATATTATTGATTCCAAACATTATATAGATTGTTCCAAAAATAAAATTACAATCAAATCTAATTTCTTAATATTGGAATAATAAATAATGGCCATGTTGAAATCAAACTATTCTTGTATCCCAGGAAATTAACAAACAAATTCCAGGAATGCAAGGATAGTTAAATGTTAACAAAAAAACTCTAGGAATGTAAGGATAGTTAAATAGTAACAAACATTAATATAATCCATTTTATTAATATGGAGATAAATCATAAATGCATAGATGCATAAAGATATTTGACAATATTTAAAATCTATTATGCTTTAAAAATAAAAATGTATGACTTTTATTTGAGTGAGCATGTATACACATTCAGACACATACACATCTTGCCTGAAATTCAGTCTCTCACCTAGTGGGAAAACATTGGAGACTTTCCCTTTCATGTCAGGTACAAGGCAAATGTATTCTCTACTTCTATTACTATTCATCATTTTATTGCAGATATTAGCTTACAAAATTAGTTAACAAAAAACATAGAGGCATAAGAATTAGAAAGCAAGAATCTCAATTTCAGATATGATTATATGTATAGAAAAACAAAAGAATTGGTAGAGAAGCTATATAAGAATTTAAGGGTGGTATCAGCTTACAAAATCATAAAATGAATCTTCAAAAAGAGGATAAGGATGAAACAATATCATTTACAAAAGTGAAAATAAATAAACAAATAGAATACCTACATGCGAACTTATGTCCAACAAATGTGTATTTGTGTGTGTTTGTGTGTATAAACAAAAACACATACCATGTTCTTGGACAGAGAGACTTAATATCACATAGACTTTAATCTCCCATGAGTTGATTGACAGCATTAAAGCTTCTCTAAGAAAAAAATTAATTTTTTTCCTTGGAGTATGGGAATTTAATTATAAACTTTATTTAAAAGAACAAATAAATAAAAGTCAGAAAAAGCTAATTTTATTAATTATTAAAACATTGTCTTGAGTCTCTAAATTTAAATTACTTTATCATTGTACAAATAGAAGCCAGACCAATAGAATAAGCAATGCATAAATAGACTTACTGCATATGTAAATGTAGTTAGTATATGCTAAAGGCAACATTAACAGTGGGAAGGAGATGGACTTTTAGTAAGTGATGATAAGACAACTGATAAACCACAGGGAAAATAGATGAAGTTGTATTTATTTCTGACACTGTTGACAGGATAAATTCCAACTGGTTTAGAGTTCTAAATGAAAAAATAAGTTATACAATATCAAGAAAATATGAGAAAACATGAGAGTGAGAAAATGCCCTAATTATGAGTCAAAATTCAGATGCAATAGAAAAACATTGATTAACCGTATTAAGAAATGACTTTCGCGTTGCAAAAAATAAGCAAAGTAAAAAACACAAATGAGTAATTGGAAAAAGTGTTTAAAAAGTATATCAATTAAACTAGCTACTATCCCTAATATTTATAAACCTTCTGAAAATAGAGAAGTAAATGACCAATGAGCAAGAGATAAAAACAGATAGTTCACAGAAAAAGAAATGCAAATAGCTCATATATATATATATGAAAATACAACTCTCTCATAACAAGAGGATATGCTAATTGAAACTAAACTGAAATACTCTTTCTCACCCATCAGACTGGTAAAAATCCCAAAGTTTGACAGTACATGTTGATGAGGTTGAGAGAACACAGGCACTGTCATAATTAACGTTGGAAATGCAAAATGATAACTATCCTAGGAGGAGAGTTTCTCAATATTCTGCATTTATCCTTTGACCCAGCAATCTCATTTCTAGGAATCTGTCTAAAAATCTGGTAAATAGATGAAAAATTATATGGATAATGCTACTCATATAGCAATTTTTTTTTGTAATTGCAGGAGACTGTAAATAAGCCAGTTATTAAGCTTTTGTGTCTCAGCTTCAAAACTCGCCCTTCTATAACTGACTTGGTATGCGTGCTGGGACTCATCCCACCGCATTTGTTTGCTTGCTGTTTTTCTTAGTCTCTGTCTGCAGGAGGCACTGCAAAATTGGAGCCTCTAGGAAAAATAAAATGATGATAGCCTTCCTGTCTTGCCTCCGGTTCCTGTGAGTGTCAACAACAGCAGCACTTCTTCATACCAACTACAAGAATTTGTCCCCCCACTGATTTAAATACTACCTTTATCATGTACTAAATGGTTGTGTCTGGAGCTTGACATGTTGATTATAAAAACCCATTTAAAAGAAAAAACAATATCCAGGAAAACCTTGACTTTTTAATAAGTAATTTTGAGCTAACTGATTAATCATAGGAAAAATAAATAAACTGTTTCAATTTCTGGTACCATTGACAGGATTAGTTCAAAATTATTCAGGGGTTTAAATGTTTTAAAAATGAAATTATTTAACTAGAAAAAAATAGGAATACCAAGATTTTATACAAGTAGTAATGACAAAACACAACTGCTACCTATGACCAGGAAAATAAAGGAGGAAAGTTGCAATTAGAAATTGGAAGCATAAAGAGGGGCTCAACAGAACTGGGACTCAGAACTCTGAAGAAGGGTTCTTCAGAGATGGTGCTGGCATCTTTGAACTTGGAAGTCCTGTAGAGTAGGCATTCAGACCTCCAAGAGCAGGCCTGTGCTGATTGGTATCTGCAATCAAATGCTAAAGACCCTTCCACTAGAATTAGAAAAACTCTAAACTAGACTCAACAGCTCCCCTTGAAGAATATTAGGAAACCACCTCATTTAAAAAATGTATATGTGTGTACATATACACATTTAAATTACATATATATGTTCATATATTTAAACATGTATATATACATTATATATAATAAACTATTATTTATAATAATTTTACATATTTTTATATATACACTGTATATACACGTATACATATATAATTTACGTATACATATTTTATATATAATTTATACATATATTTTAAGTCAAGTATTCATTCTGCCTCTTTTATGACTTTAATAAAAAGTAAGCAAATACATGGATGATGAAGGGAAGTTTCTTTTCATATTATTCCAACCAATAAATGGAGGGAAAAAAAATAAGAGTTAGAATATTGCCATGAAATGAAAGAATGTATTGAGGCAATGATAGTTAGTGACTATTAACATAAGAAAGAAAACAACCAGACTTACACCAACTGGTTGTAGAAATGCCATCTATTAGCTACTCTTGCCAAGAAACACAAAGCTGAATTTCAATCGAACTGCCAACTTACAGGAACTAAGGAGATGGAGGAAATTGTTGGACAACACCATGGGTCTGGAGTAAGTCAAGACTGTGGGAAACTCTTCTGTACAAATAACCAGTTTCATCCACAAATAAATGGCAGAGAAAGAAATAGAGGGATTGGAAACCTATTTATTAAATGACCCTGATGTGGTTATTAAACATTGTATACCTATATCAAAATATCTCATATACCCAATAAATTCCTACAACTACTATGTACTCACAAAAATAAAAAATATGAAAACTAAAGAAACAAATGAGACTAATGAGACATAATAAAATCACAATTTATGGTCATTTTTTATCTTAATTCAAAGAAACAAAAGGTATGGGGAATTTGAACAGTGTATATATGGCAATTTCAAAAGATGTTTAGATATAATGATAATATATCAGTTATGTTGAAAATATAAGTGCTCATCTTTTAGAGCTATAAAATTATGAAGCAAGATTTTTCTTTTCAGTCACTCTGCAAACTGTGGACCTCTGGCCGGCAACACCCCACCTGTGCCTTGCTCAGCCATGCTGGCATGCCCCAGCTTGCCTGTGTTATAGCTTGTACCCATGTTCAATAGCTCCCAAGCTCTTGTACTCCACCCAAAAAGAAAGAGGATATTCTGGACATTGAAGGGTGAGAAGGGTGGAGAAGAATTTGAGTGATGAAAATGGCTCTCAGTGGGGAGGTGAGCTGGAGAGGGGACAGGAAGAACAGGTTGTCTTCCCCAAAGTCAGGCTGTTTCTTCCCTGAAATTAGGCCGTCTCTCCCTATATTAGTCTACTTTCATGCTGCTGATGAAGACTTACCTGAGACTGGGCAATTTATAAAAGAAAGAGGTTTATTGGACTCACAGTTCTACATGGCTGGGGAGGCCTCACAATCATGGTAGGAGGTGAAAGGCTCATCTCACATGGCAGCAGACAAGAGAAGAGAACTTGTACAGGGGAACTCCCCTTTATAAAACCATAAGATCTCGTGAGATTTATTCACTATCATGAGAATAGCATGAGAAACACTCATCCCCCAGATTCAATTACCTCCTACTGGGTCCCTTCCACAACACTTGGGAATTGTGGGAGCTACAATTCAAGATGAGGTTTGGGTGGGGACCCAGCCAAACCATATCACTCCCTCTACTGACCGAGTTTGGGGCCTTTATAGGCACAGGATGGGGAGTGCGAGCTGATTGGTTTAGGACTATGTAAAAAAAGGTTAAAGCAAAGGCACCACTGGAAGGTGGGCACAACAGTGTAGAAAACCAATTAGGAAAAGGTAAGTATATGTAAAATAGGTGAAGGGTGGGGACCAATCAGAAAAAAGCACGCCAAACAGGAAGACAAATTCTCAATCCAGTACTAGGATTTAACATGTAGCTTGGATTTTGGGCTTTAAACTATCTTTGGCTTGGAGGTGGGGCTGCACCAAATACCATGCCTATCTGCTTAGGCATTTGGCTGCCTCCTGTCACTATCAATGAGATGTTGTCTGGAACTTGCTTCAAAATAATCCACTGTTGAGAGGGTGGCAGAAGGAGTATGCAAAAATGAAACAAGATTGGCCATTTATTGAAAAGTATTAAAATGCTTAGAATTGTATCTATGGGAGGATTTTCTAATTGCTTTTTTTGTATTTCTATCTTGTATTTGAAATTTTCCACATTAAAAAAGAAATATATTTAGTATTCTCATTTGTAGTATATGTTTTTGATATTCATAATGATGACAATGTGCATTTGAGTATTATTGAGAGGTGAAGCTGGTGGGGTTTCTGGTTCCAGTGGGGACTTAGAGAACTTTTCTGTCTAGCTAAAGGATTGTAAACACACCAATCAGTGCTCTGTGTCTAGCTAAAGGTTTGTAAATGCACCAACCAGCACTCTGTAAAAATGGACCAATCAGTGCTCTGTAAAATGGACCAATCAGCACTCTGTAAAATGGACCAATCAGCAGGACTTGGGCAGAGCCAAATAAGGGAATAAAAGCTGGCTACAGGCCAGCAGCAACAATCCCTTGAGTCACCTTACACGCTGTGAAAGCGTTGTACTTTTGCTCTTCACAATAAATCTTGCTGCTGCTCACTCTTTGGGTCCGCACTACCTTTATGAGCTGTTAACACTCACTGTGGAGGTCTGCGGCTTCACTCCTGAAGTCAGCGAGACCAGGAAGAAACTTTGCACACATCTGAACATCTGAAGGAACAAACTCTGGACACATCATCTTTAAGAACTGTAACACTCATCGCGAGGGTCTGCTGGCTTCATTCTTGAAGTCAGCAAGACCAATAACCCACTGAAAGGAACCAATTCCAGACAATTATCACGTTTTGGTCACTATAAATGCATGTCAAGTGTATTATTTCTTCACATCCTCCCAACAAATATTTTATCTGTGCATATTTATCCTCATTTGTTTGATTTCAAAACCTTTACTCTTTCAACTAACTGCCCCTCTGCTGTTATAATTAATAATACAAGGTGATAATAATTTTAGTTGTAAGTCGGTCAGTTAATATTAAGCCCTTTTATTATTAATTTTTTTTTTTTTGAGATGGAGTTTTGCTCTGTGGCCAGGCTGGAGTGCAGTAGCGTGATTTTGGCTCACTGCAACCTCCACCTCCTGGGTTCAAGTGATTCTCCTGCTTCAGCCTCCCGAGTAGCTGGGTCTACAGGCATGTGCCACCAAGCCCAGCTAATTTTTGTATTTTTAGTAGAGACAGACGGGGTTTCACCATGTGGTCCAGGCTGGTCTTGATCTCTTGACTTCATGATCTTCCCACCTCAGCCTCCCAAAGTGCTGGGATTACAGGTGTGACCCACCGCACGCCCCAGGCCTATTATTAATATTTAATCATTAAGAAATAATAATGGTTAATGTTTATTAGTGTTATATGCCCGGCACTATTCTAAGGGTTTATATGTATTTATTTAAAAATTTCAACTACTCTACGAAGTAGAACTATTAGCATTGTTTTATAGATAAGGAAATTGAATTTGCTGAAGGTCATGCAACATGTGAATTGCTTATAAATTTTAGAATTAGGATTTGAACCTAGGTAGTCTTGTACAAGCTCATGATATGTGCTCCTTTGTACTTCCCTCCCCAAAAGAAGGGCTGAATGAAAAAGATTTAGCAATTTATTGTGCTTGGAAAGCTTGCGTGATTTGAGTCACCTATCCAGAATTATTTAAGTAATTTCTCTTCTGTTAGAGATGTAGATTTCTCCTTCATTACTATTAGAAATGATACTATATTGAGCAGCTGTATACACAAATCTTGAACCTTCATTTTGGCATTTTTAGGTAGAATCTTATGACTCTACTAGGTATAATCATTTTTAAACTTTTGTTATATATTTTCAAAATGCTTCGGGGAAAAGTTTTGCTAGCTGTCCCCAGTTTCAACATTAGTTTCAACATTCTGTAATACTTTAGCCCCACTTAGTAATCTTATTTTTAAAAATGAAAAACTGAGAGGTGAAAAATACCATGTCATTTGTTTGTTAATTTTCATTTCTTTGATGATTAATCGTATCACGTATTTTAAAATATGATTGTTGTGTGTATGAATATGTGCATGTGTGTGTATGTACTATCCATTATTTTTCTTCACCTGTTTTTTGACTGACATTCTTGTCATTAAATTGTAAGACCTCTTCATATAGTAAAGTGCCCGTTCTTTTCTGTCATGTATAGTAAGTAATTTATTACTTTATTGTTTGCTTTTTACTTGTGTTCCTGATATTTTTGACAGGTGAGTTTTCAATTTTGATGTAGTTGTTTAATCAATTATATCCTTTGACCTTTTCCAATGGGCTTTTTACTTATGTAGTCTTTTGGGATTACATCAGAGAAGCATTCACAGGCTCTTGCCTTAATTGATTAGATCTTGAAACATTGTTCTTCCCTTTTTTCATAATGTTCTAGACAACTGATTTCCTTTCAGATCCTTCAGTCTACCAGGCTCTTTGGCAATTTGGACTGGAAGGGACATGTAATGCCTTCTCTTTTGGAACGTCAAAGCTGGACAAGCCCAAGTTGTTCAAAGCTGTTTTGTAGTCTGTATTAGTTGAAGAATCCTGGCTGTCAAAGAGCCTGATCTCAGCAGGGACTTCCTGGCATTGAGCTGAGGAGCATTATGAGTCTAAAGGCTGCAAGACTCAATTGTGACTGGAGAATTACCAATGCCTTGCAATATGAACATGTGATTATGATGAAAATAGGTCAGGAATAGAAAAGACAGAAGAGAAGTAATGAAAAGGCCTCAACATTTTTAAAGCAGGACTTAATTTTTGTTGGCATTGACTCTTTAGCAATGACATACATAGTCAATATTTTGTAAAATTATTGGACAATTTTATTCGTGTACATGGCTTATCTAAACTTGAATTTCCAAAGTTTCCTTTCAGTCTTTAACTCACATATAGTACATATTTGACTACAGAAATTCAATGACAACAACAAATAAATCTTTCCATTTAATACTTCAGAGATGAATTTCCGTGTCTATTTTCACTACTCAGAATTTGAGTCAGAAGTTAAAGCAGTTGTGAATTTCAAAATATGATTTTTGTTTAAAAATCTTATTATTTTGAGAAGGAACATTTTGAAACACTTTTTTTCTTCTATTTTTAACACATTAATTTGTAACAAAGTAATACAACTGCATGGTTTAAAAACTCAAGGATTGAGGAAAACCTTAACCTAAAAACAAGCCTGCTATTCTACCTCCTTCTGTCTTCAGTCTCTTTCACTAGGACCATTTTACAATCTTCTAATTGGTTTTCTGTTTTTAGTTCATCTTGTAGCTCTACTTTATAAAATTAAATTGATATTTCTCGATTAATCTATTGTAGCCATTGTCTATTGATGTCTTATGATAGATGAATTTTTAGTACTTTGTTTCAAATAATGTCCTGTCATTATTTGGGGATTGCAATACTTTTTTTAAACATCTGTGAGATTGTGGGTCAACTTTTTAAAGTTCTGTTTAATTCCAAGATAATCAATATTTCCACTGAAGAAGGTTTTGAAATTTATTCATCCTGATCTTTCTCTTGCCGTAAGTTTTTTTCTTCAATTACTAGTAATTATTGATTATCCTGTCACATTGACGATAACTGGTAATGTCAGGTTTACAAATGGGGCATTTCAATTGGCAGACTTCACTTTAGAATAAGTGAGCAGAGAACTGGAGTTTCCCTAATTGCAAAAGTGGAATAGTTTTTCTTTGGGGGCAAATGCCAATCATCCCAGTTTACCCACATTGAGCCATTTCAGTTTCATTAGAAACAAACCACCCCACCCAACCCCACCACTATGTAGGTTTGCATTTTATAGGGGTAGGTAGGTATAGATGGAAATTATTTCAGCCCCTTTATAAATTAACCCAGAGGTGTTATAACTGGAAGACTGTCTCCCTCTATTTTTGTATCCCTTCTCCATCTGCAATGAATTCTGTGGGCCAAAAGTTTTCATCCCTCTTTATTAAATTTATTTATACATTTTATTCTTTATTGTCCTTTTATAAGGATTTAAAGGAAGAAAAATTTGTATTTAGTCTGCTACTCTGAGCCAGAAGCCACAAGTTACTTTTTAAAATAAATTGTACTGTATTTTAAAAACAAATATATACTAATTGAAGAAAATGTGTAATACTTAGAAATATGTAAATAAGGAAATAACCATCAACAATGATGGTTTTACTTTAAGATAAATCCCAAGGAAATAATTACAGATGCAAGTAAAGATTTTTGTGCATAATTATCATTATAGCTTTATTTATTTTATTTATTTATTTATTTATTTATTTATTTACTGAGATGGAGTCTGGTTCTGTTTCCCAGGCTAGAATGCAGTGGCATGATCGATCTTGGCTCACTGCAACCTCTGCCTCCTGGGTTCAAGCTATTCTTCTGCCTCAGCAGAAAATATGATGAGATCATCATTGATAATAATGACATTTGGGGTTTCTCCCCCAAAGCTATATCTCTTTTTACTTCTATACATTTATCTCTAGTATATTTTTGTGTCCTACTTTTAATACAGCATTGAATAGTAATGTAATTTCATGTAAATAATAATCACTCATAAGTAAATTTTAAAGAACACATATTTCTCCATTTTCTGCATGTATGTACTATTCCCTCATGGTGGCAATTGAAAATGTTGTCTTCCTCATCACTATTATAAATAATACTATAGGCCAGGTGTGGTGGTTCATGCCTGCCTGTAATCCCAGCACTTTGGGAGGTCGAGGTAGGCGGATCATGAGGTCAGGAGTTCAAAACCAGCCTGGCCAATATGGTGAAACCCCGTCTCTACTAAAAATACAAAAATTAGCCTGGCGTGGTGGTGCGCACCTGTGGCCCCAGCTACTCAGGAAGCTGAGGCAGAAGAATAGCTTGAACCCGGGAGGCAGAGGTTGCAGTGAGCCAAGATCGATCATGCCACTGCATTCCAGCCTGGGAAACAGAGCCAGACTCCGTCTCAGTAAATAAATAAATAAATAAATAAATAAATAAATAAAATAAAACTATAATGATAATTATGCACAAAAATCTTTACTTGAATCTGTAATTATTTCCTTGGGATTTTATCTTAAAGTAAAACTTATGAATTAAAGGCTGTAAAATATAAAAAATATAAAAATGGTAAAAGTTCACAGTTTGCGTGCCAAATTGCTTTCCAAAAATGTTTCCATCACTGGTATAGAAGAGGGCCTCTCTCACCAATTATTTTATATAATATAATATTACAGTTTTAAAGTTTTGCCAACTTAATAGAAATTGCATCTGGTTTTACTTGTTTTTTTTTCTTTGATTATTAATGAGGCTTAAGCTTTTTATTTTTAATTGGATATTTTTGTTTTTTCTTTCATGAATTACCTGCTTGGATCTTTTGCTAATTTTTTGCATTCGTGACATTTAATGGTTGCATTTTGAATTTTGTAGCCAACAAAATAAAAATTTGTTCTTTATTGAAAATAGGTACATATTAATAGTTCATTTTAGAAATGTTGTAGTGTATAGCCTGACTAAAATGTTCAATTTTTAAGTTTTCTGTGGATATTTTTATCATCTCCATATGGTTATATGTGTTGCCAAAATTTTAAAAGTAAATAATAAATGACAGAAGCATAAACAAATAGCAAGAATTGTACTAGATTTTTGGTCAAGGAAAATAATTGGAAGACAACTAGAAAGAATGTAAAGAAATATGGTATCTAGCACAGAGTCGGCCTTGGAGGCTGTCACTCCATAAATATTTAGAATGAATGAATCAGGAAATTACGACCAAGCAGAGTACTACAGAGTCAGCTGGTGGTAACATCAACTCCCTCTTTCAGTCTTTTCTGCAAGTTGATAAGTAAATAAAGCAAATCAGAAATTCTTCCGTTGTTTTAGTTTTTCTATGTGGCTGAAAATAATCACATCTTCAATACAAAGAATTTATTAGCTGGTATTGTCAAAAGTGTTTTAAACTCTTCAAAATAGAGTTGGACAAATATAAGTGGTTCTTATCAAGTTATAATAATGGAGAGATCATTAAATTCACATTCAAGGCAGATACAATTGCAAAATTGGTGTTTCTTTAAATAGCAGGTGGTCTGGTTGTTTCTATAGCAATAGAAACAATTTTCAAAATGTTTTAAAATATTTCTCTTTTTGGCAAGAATTCTCTTTTTTTCCAAAAACTTATAATTGTAAAAACAATATAAGAATTGCGTTAAAGATAATTTTGGGAAAAAGAAACAAGATTTTTTAAAGGCACAGCTGTTGTTAATTTACACTGTATTTTTCTTAACTGTTAATGGATATATATTTGTTAGAGGCTATTGCAAAGCTAAAATTGGGTGAGATTTAATAAATTTTCAGTGAATTTCAGCTTTATGTGCAAAAAGTAAATAAAAATGTGGTTATGTATAATGAATTTCAATTGTCCATTCAGATGTCTAAATTCATTATCCGAACCTTTTTTGAGACCCTGCTAGGTTAAGAAACACAGAAATCATGTGTGACCTTTATATCTTGTCTGTATTCTTTCCTTGGGGTAAATTCCTCTCCTCCATGTGGAAGATTCCTGGCTACTGCACAATTAACATAATCCGTGTTGGCTTGTAAGAATAACTTATTTTGAGAACAATAACAGCACCAGGACTTTTCAGGTGATTAATATAGATATTGGGGCTGGGTACTGTGGCTCACATCTGTAATCCCAGCACTTTGGGAGGCCAAGGCAGGTGGATCACCTGAGGTCAGGAGTTAGAGACCAGCCTTGCCAACATGGCGAAACCCCGTCTCTACTAAAGATACAAAAATTAGCCAAGCATGGTGGCATGCACCTGTAATCCCAGCTACTCAGGAGGCTGAGGCTGGAGAATCGCTTGAACCCAGAAGGCAGAGTTTGCAGTGAGCCAAGATCGTGCCACTGCACTCCAGCTTAGGTGACAGAGCAAGACACACTCTCTCTCTCTCTATATATATATATACACACACACACACGCATGTGTGTATATATATATGTATATATATGTTGGTAGGAAAGGGACTATGATACTTCTGTTACAGGAATATTAGCTATAAGGAAACAGCAAACCTAGAGCTCCCATCTTTGTTGAGATGAAGACATCATCTATTTGAAAATGAGGAGATGGGATTTTATTGATAACATTGGAACCTCTGAATGGAGTCATGCATGAAGCAAGAACCACTACGTGTACTTTCTTATTAAATGAGCCAACAGATTTCCTTTTTCAACCTAAGCTAATTTGGGTTGCTTTTCTGTTCCTTTTTAAATAATAATGTCCTGATGACTTGTATAGACACTGCCTTAGTATACAGCTTCCATCTTCAAGGAAAAATAACAAAAATCAATCTAAATCCTTGTAACCTAGTGTAGATTTCTGTAGAATGCTGCAGCAAGTGCAGAGAAGCTCAGCTATGTAGAGTAACTTGTGTTAAGGCTTCGAGGTAAGAGACATACCAGCACATATTAAGAAAATGAACAGTTAACAACATTTGCAGTTTTCTGCTTCATCATGAGGGAGGCTGGAAGATATCACTTTCTCTTAACAGTAAAATGCTGCACAAACTGAAAATATACAACTCTTCTTAAATCCACCAGATAATTCAGATCACAAGACAAACTGCTGTCTTTCAAACTGGAGAGGCAGACAAGCAGATACAGAATTGACAAATTACTGGCCAATCAAGTCTAAGATTTAAAACGCCAGGGGGTCCAGGCTTGGGTTGGTGTCAGGGCCACACTTTTGAGTTTTACCTCCAGAAGCCCTATCAGGTTCTTACAGAGGATATTGGTGAAAAATCCCCTCATGCCTTCAGTTGAGGGAGGAAAAAAATTAACTATTATGTAATAGGCCCAAAGCATTCTGTTCTTCTTAATCCCTGACGTCAAGAGGAAATAATTTACTAGAATTTAAACTATTGAGGTTTTGCCAGAGCCCAACTCTATCCCAATCTAAACATCGTGTCCCACCTAAGGGTGAGGGGAACTGAGAAGCAGCTGTGAAGGTCATGGCCCCTATCCACACAGGCTTACTACAAGACATACCTAATCATAATGTGTCCAGAATTGGTGTGTTCTTGGTCTCACTAACCCAGGATGAAGCTGCAGACCCTCGCGGTGAGTGTTACAGTTCTTAAAGATGGTGTGTCTGGAGTTTGTTCCTTCTGATGTTTGGACGTGTTCAGAGTTTCTTTCTTCTGGTGGGTTCGTGGTCTTATTGGCTTCAGGAGTGAAGCTGCAGACCTCACGGTGAGTGTTAAAGCTCTTAAGGTGGCACGTCTGGAGTTGTTCATTCCTCCCAGTGAGTTCATGGTCTTGCTGGTCTCGCTGGCCTCAGGAGTGAAGCTGCAAACCTTTGCGGTGAGTGTTACAGCTCATAAATGCGGTGCGGACCCAAAGAGTGAGCAGCAGCAAGATTTATTGCAAAGAGTGAAAGGACAAAACTTACATACTGTGGACAGGACCCAAGTGGGTTGCCACTGCTGGCTTGGGCAGCCTGCTTTTATTCCCTTATCTGGCCCCACGCACGTCCTGCTGATTGGTCCATTTTACAGAGATCTGATTGGTCCATTTTACAGGGAGCTAATTGGTCTGTTTTACAGAGAGCTGATTGGTCCGTTTTGACAGGGTGCTGATTGGTGCATTTACAATCCCTGAGCTAGACACAAAGTGCTGATTGGTGCATTTACAATCCTTTAGCTAGACACAAAAGTCCTCCAAGGCCCCACTGATTAGCTAGTCACAGAGCACTGACTGGTGTGTTCACAAACTTTGAGCTAGACACAGAGTGCTGATTAGTGCGTTTACAATCTTTTAGCTAGACACAGAGTTCTGATTGGTGCATTTACAATCCTTTAGCTAGATGTAAAAGTTCTCCAAGTCACCACCAGATTAGCTAGATACAGAGTGCTGATTGGTGCATCCACGAACCCTGAGCTAGACACAGAGTGCTGATTGGTGCATATACAATCCTCTGGCTAGACATAAAAGTTCTCCAAGTCTCCACCCGACTCAGGAACCCAGCTGGCTTTGCCTAGTGGATCTCGCACCAGGGCCATGGGTGGAGCTGCCTGCCAGTCCCACGCCACACGGCTGCACTCCTCAGCCCTTGGGCGGTCGATGGGACCGGGCTCCATGGAGCAGGGGGTAGTGCCCATCAGGGAGGCTCAGGCCACACAGGAGCCCACCGTGGGGGGACTTGGGCATGGAGGGCTGCAGGTCCTGAGCCCTGCCCTGTGGGGAGGTGGCTGAGACACGGCAAGAATTTGAGCATGGCACGTGTGGGCCAGCCATGCTGGGGGACCTGGCGCACCCTCCACAGCTGCTGGCCTGGGTGCTGAGCCCCTCACTGTCTGGGGCCGGCTGGCCACTCCAAGTGTAGGGCCCGCCGAGCCTGCACCCACCTGGAACTCATGCTGGCCTGCGAGTGCCACGCGCAGCCCTATTTCCCACCCGTGCCTCTCCCTCCACACCTCCCTGCAAGCAGAAGGAGCTGGTTCTGGCCTCACCCAGCCCAGAGAGGGGCTCCCACAGTGCAGCCGTGGGCTGAAGGGCTCCTCAAGCGAGGCCAGAGTGGATGCTGTGGCCTGAGGAGGTGCCGAGAGCAAGCGAGGGCTGCTAGCACATTGTCACCTCTCAATAGGACTATAGACTACTTTCTCTCTCCCCACTTCTTACCACCACTTCGCTAAGAGCACTAAGAGCATATTCACTAGTTTATTTTATGCAATACATTATGTCCAGCTTTCAATAATTTGTACAAGGCATAATAAAAACAGAAAACAAAGTTTGAAGGGATAGAGGGAGCATTAGAATCAGACTCGTTTGGCAGGAATGTTGGAATAATCATACAAGGAATTTTTTAAAACTATGATAAATTTGCTAAGGACTCTAATGGAAAAAGTCGACAATATGCAACAACAGGCAGGTAATTTAAGTAGAGGGGTGGAAATTCTAAAATATATATATATAAATGCTAAAAGTCAAAACTGTAACAGAAATGAAGAATGCGTTTCATGGGCTCATTGGTGGACTAATCAAGGTGGAGAAAAAAAATCAGTGATCTTGAGGATATCTCAATCAAAACTTCTGAAGTTGACAAACAAAGAGAAACAAACAAACAAAAATCCTCCGAACAGAATATAAGAACTACGAGACAACAACAGAAGGTGTAAAATATACATAATAGGAATACCAGGAGAAAAAAAAAGTGAAAGAAACCATAGAAATATAGAAGAAATAATGACTAAGAATTTCCCCAAAATTGATATCAGGTACCAAACCACAGATCCAGGAAGCTCAGAGAACATCAAGAATGATAAATGCCAAAACAAAAACAAAAATACCTTATACTTAGGTGTAGTATATTCAAAGCATAAATTCAAAGACAAAATCTGGAAAGAAAATAATCTTGAGAGAAGCAGGGGTGAGGGATTTCTATGTATAGAAGAGCAAGGATAAGAATTCTATGAGTCTTTTCCTCAGAAACCATGCAAGCAAGAGAAGAGTGGGGTGAAATAAAGTGCTGAGAGTAAAAACCCACCAACATGGAATTCTGTATCCTGTGAAATTATCCTTCAAAAGCAAAGGAGAAATAAAGACTTCCTCAGAACAAAAATGAGGGAATTTGTTGCCAGTAGACCTGCCTTGTAAGAAAAGTTAAAAGAAGTTCTTCAGAGATTAGGGAAACGACAGAGGTCAGAAACGTATCTACATAAAGAAAGAAAAAGCATTTGAGAATGAATAAGAGAAGGTAAAATAAAAACCCTTTTCTTATTCTTAATTGATCTAAGATAATATTTTGTTAACATAATGATAGCAACAATGTAGTCAATAATTATAGCTATGAGTAAGTAAAATGAATGACAACAATGATACAATAGATGAGAGGGAAGAATTAAAAATTCGCTATTATAAGGTACTTGTACTATCTGGGAAGCAGTATAGTGTTATTTGAAAGTGAACTTGGTATAACAATAATAGTCGTAAATGTACATTGCAAATTCTAGGGGAACCAATAAGAAAAGGTTTTGAAAAATATAATTTATGTGCTAAAAAGACAGAAAAAGAGTCACATGAAAGAAATCAAAGAAGAAGTAAATACATGAAAATATATTCCATTTTATTCCAATTTTGTGGATAGGAAGACTTAATATTATCAAGATTTCAGAGTTTCCCAGCTTGTTATATAGATCCAACACAATACCACATAAAATCCTAGCAAGTTATAATGTGGGTATCAACAAACTGATTCTGAAGTTTCTATGGTGAGGTGAAAGACTGGGAATACTTAAGACAATATTGAAGGAAAAAAAGTCGTAGACCTGAGTAGTCTTTTGCATTTTTCTTTCTTTCTTTCTTTCTTTCTTTTTTTTTGAGATGGAGTCTCACTGTGTCACCAGGCTGGAGTGCAGTGGTGCATCTCCGCTCACTGCAAGCTCCACCTCCCGGGTTCATGCCATTCTCCTGCATCAGCCTCCCACGTAGCTGGGACTACAGGTGCCCGCCACACGCCCGCCTAATTTTTTGTATTTTATTTTTAGTAGAGATGGGGTTTTACCATGTTAGCCAGGATGGTCTCAATCTCCTGATCCACCCACCTCAGCCTCCCAAAGTGCTGGGATTACAGGAGTGAGCCACGGTGCCCGGCCTGTGTTTTTTTTTCCTTCAATATTGAAGGGAACTGACTGACACTTCTGCTCTGCAAAAGACACTGACAAGATAATGAAAAGACAGGACACAGACTGGGAGGAAATATTTGTAAAAGACGTATCTGATGGAAGACTGTTATCCAAAATATACAAAGAACAGTTAAAAATAAAACATAAGAAAATAAACAACCACATTAAAGAATGGGAAAAACATCTGAACAGACACTTCACCAAAGAGGATATACAGATGGCAAATAAGCGTATGAAAAGCTCAACATCCATGTCATTAGGGAATTACAAATTAAAACAATGGCAAGATACTACTACTCACCTGCTAGAATGGTCAAAATCCAAAATGCTAACACCAAATGCTAACAAGGATGTGGAGCAACAGGAACTCTATTCATTCTACTGACAATGCAAAATGGTACCGGCCTCTTTAGAAGGCAGTTTGGTGGTTTCTTATGAAACTGAGCATATTTTTATCTTTCTAATTATTGCACTCCTTGTTATTTAGACAAATTAATTGAAAACTGATGTCTGAAAACCTATATACAAATGTTTATAGCAGCTATATTCATAATTGTCAGAACTTGGAAGCAACCAAGATACCCTTCAATAGATGGTTTATCCAGACAATGGAATGTAATTCAGCATTAAAAAGAAATGAGCTAGCAAGACAGAAGAGACACGTAGGAATCTTACATGTATATTATAAATGAATTAAGCCAATCTTATAAGATTACTTGCTATATGATTCCAACTATATAACATTCTGGAAAAGGCAAAACTGTGGAGACAGTAAAAAGATCATTGGTTTCCAGGGGTTAGAGAAAAGGATGGGATGAATAGGAGGAGCATAGAGATTTTTAGGGCAGTGAAACTACTCTGTATGACAGAGGTCCTCAACCCCTGGGCCACAGAATAGTACATGTAGTCCCTGGCTTTTTGGAACTGTGCCAGGGCCACACAGCAGGAGGTGAGTGGCAGGTGAGCAAGTGAAGATTCATCTGTATTTACAGCTGATCCCCATCACTCACATTACTGCCTGAGCTCTGCCTCCTGTGATATTAGCGGTGGTATTAGATTCTCATAGGAACATGAACCCTACTGTGAACTGTGCATGCAAGGGACCTAGGTTTCGAGCTCCTTATTGAGAATCTAATGTCTGATGATCTGTCACTGTCTCCCATCACCCCCAGATGGGACTGTCCAGTTGCAGGAAAACAAGCTCAGGCCTCCCACGGATTCTACATTATAGTGAGTTGTATAATTATTTTATTATATATTACAATGTAATAATAATAGAAATAAAGTGTACAATAAATGTAATGTGCTTGAATCATCCCCATGCCACCCCACTGCAACCTGGTCGGCGGAAAAATTGTCTTCTACAAAATCCGTCCCTGGTGCCAAAAAGTTTGTGGAACACTGCTGTATGATACTATAAGGTGAATATATTGACATTACACATGTATACATCATTATGAACGTGTCAAAACATACAGAATGCACACCACCAGAGTTGAACCCTAATATAAACCAAATATTTTGGGAGATAACGTTTCAATGTAGGTTCCTTGATTAAAACAAATATACCACTCTGCTGCAGGATGTTGATATCTGGGGAGGCTGTTTATGTGTGGAGGCAGGGAATAATAGGAATTCTGTGCACTTCCCATTAAATTTGGCTGTGAACCTAAAACTGCTTTAAAAAATAGTCTATTAAAAATGACCTAGAATATAAGACCAGGAATAAGGCATATGAGAAAATTACAAGGGGCCAAGCATAACAATCATGCAGCGTTCTTGAATGTTGTGATAACATGTACAGGTTTTATTCATAATTGGGGGCTGTTTATGTACTTAAAGCAAGATGATTATATCAACTTGTTTATTTTATAGAAAAAATTGCTTTTCTGAATTGTGATAAATTGATTTGATGAGAGTTAGAATGGAGAAAATGAGACCAGTTCAGGGGAGACTATTGTAATCATTTGGGTTAAATCCATGAGAATATAAATGAAGAAATGGCAGATAAAGGGGAAGATTCAAGAAGCACTTAGGAGCTGGAGTAGTAGGACTTGGGTTAGTAACAGGACAAGGATTGGATGTGGATATGAAGACCAGGCTGGTCCCACATATTTCAAGGTGCCAGTATCTGAGTCAAAGACATTCTTTAAACGTTATAAATAGAATGATTAGCCTTTCAACTAAAATATGCTCTATTCTCCTATCTTGAAAAATATAGCTTCATAACAATAAATTAACCACAGTGTTAATCTGTGATTATTATATGATGTTGGTAAAATATCAAAGACAATTCAATTTAATAATTATTGTGCATGTCTGAGTGTTTTGGTCAGCATTTGTTTCATAATAGCAATCATTTAAGGAATTAAAAACTAAAATGTAATTTTACTTAAAATATATAAATTTAGTATCTTTTCAACAAAATTGTAAATATAATAAGTAAAAGTTGTTTTATATTTTTATGAAGAGTTTTTCCTCCAAAATAATTTAAATTATATATTATAATTAAAATGTAATATGCGAACTGTAATAAAAATAATCATTTTAAGTACAATTTTGGCATTCACTCTCTATCTGGTTGCTAACGTGAATAATTGGTATCATGCTTCATATATCTTTCCTCTACACCTCTATATATGGACATATATATGTACTATTACATATACAATATATTATTGCTAAGTGTTCTGCAGTCTCCATCGAGCAGTTTTGGAAATACAATACTAATTATTGAGGACCTCTGGAACTACAAATTGGGATATGAAGAGAACAAGAAAATGGATGCTTGGTGTTAATGGGAAATGATATTTCATTATTGCAAACATTTATTATAGTCATGCTCCCTGAAGAAGGATTTGACAAGTTCATTAATTTATCTTTTCATTTAACTAAGCACATCCACAGCCTGAATCTTCATACCTCTCCACAGCAAGTTCTCTCTGTGAAGTTAGTAGTGACACAATCCCCACGTCTTCTCAGCGTTAAGAAATGTTCCCTTTTGTTTCAAGATTATTGGACAAGAGATGTGAGAAGCATTCTCATGGATTCTAAAGGGTGCTAGTTAGTCAAGAGAAAAACAAAAATGGTTATACAGTTCACCTTGTGCCACTGCTGAGTGCAAGATCCAGAGTGACAGAGGTGCCCACACCTTCCTTTATAATTGTGTGTGTGCATCTGTGTGTGTGTATGTGTGCGTGTGTGTGATGCTCAGTCTCCTCTAAAATGTGTGACTCGGTGCAAGGGTCCCTCTTGCCTCAGTACAAGGCCACTTGGAGGAAGACTATGGCAATTTTACATTGTGCCTGGATCACTGGTAGGCTTTCAGAAGGGACAGGGATAATCATTGTAAGAAGAACAGGTTTAAAAGAAAATTATAGGTTCAACTTAGACAAGTTAATTTTGATATAATGGTGGGATAGCCAAACTGAGAGAGTTAGTTCAGTTAGAATACAGCTCTAGGCTACTGAATAGAGGACTGAGTTTGCAGTATAGACTTGAGAATTGTCAGCTTTGTAGATTCTAGAGAAAAAGAAGATTTCAAGACTTTAGCCTAACATTTTCCTCCTTATTTCTCCCAAAGGAGAAATCTGTTTATTAGATCCTACACTGAACAGGCTAGATCAGCCAATCAATGAAGTTAATTTGTGTTAAATGGCTAGCACCATTTGAATTTATCTCTCATTTCTCCTCTACTCTTGCAATTAACCTGTCCTTCTCAACAGTCCTAGGGCCCACTTTCTTTGTCTTTCTTTGCATATCTCTGCATCTTCCTGCCATGATGTTGTAGTGTAATAATATTGAAAACCTGCCTTAGATTGAATTGGTGTGTGTCTGAGAGTTTAAGTGAAATAGAGAAGGTAACAGATCACGCTCCAAAAATCCCAGTTTTTAAGGGTCATAAGGTTTGAGAGTTATGGTCAAAGACACCCCTTGCTAAAAGCTTCTGTCTGCCATTTGTCATTGTTCTTTGCATGTCAATCTCTGAAATACAGTGTAGTGTAGGTTAAGAGTTCAGTATTACTAGGTATCTAGTTCACCTGGAGTTGTGAAATGTTACTATGATGTTAAGTGCTAGGATATTAGATAGTAATACTTTTATTAGTTGCATCAATAGGAATAAAAGAACAAATTCAAATGGTAACAATTGAACATTAGGTATCTAGTTCATCTGGAGTTGTGAAATGTTACTATGATGTTAAGTGCCAGAATATTAGATAGTAATACTTTTATTAGTTGCATCAATAGTAATAAAAGAACAAATTCAAATGGTAACAATTGAACATATACACAATAAAAAGAGTTTTTATCCCAGTCTAGGTCCTGGGTCCCAATTGTCAACACAAACAGGAGCATTCCCTACAAATTCCTCAGTGCTGTACTTTCTTGATTTTAACAATATACTGATGGACAAAAGCACTGTTAATAAATGCCAGTACTTATATTTTGTATATATGTACATACAAGAATATATTCCCAGAAGTAAAATTTCTAAATCAAAGAATTTGTGCCTTTGAAATTTTATTTTTGTCAAATTGTTCTCTAAAGAGGTTGAGCCAATTTTTTTTCCTTCACCAGTGTATAAAAATGTCAGATTAATATTACTAAATACTTTTGGTTTTGGTAATGTTTATGGTAAAGGTGATATTAATTTTTTATTTTAAATTGCATGTTGTTGATTATGATGTTTGTAAATTTGTAATATTGTTTATATAATCTATCCATTTTTAGTGGGTTGTTGTGTTGTTAATGTGTTATCTTTAATGCCTTTATATCTTCAAAAAACATATTCTTAGTTTATTATTTGCCATTTGTACTTCTTTATAAGATTTTCTCCTGTATTTACATTTAATAATTTTGGTATAGGCAATTTTAACAATAGTTTTCTCTATAGTTTCTGGGGTGTGTGTCCCATGAGAAAAGTTATTTCCTACACTAAAATAATAAATAAATGCACTCATTTATTTATTCCTTATGACATTAATTTTTACATTTCCCACTTTGATCTGTCTAAAAATTATTGTCGTGAAAGGGTGATGTTGAGATACAGATTTATTTATTCCAGATTGCTAGCAGTTATTCCAAACCACTTTAATAAAACAATCCATCTTTTCTCTTATTGGTGTAAAATGTCACATCTCTAAATCTCCATATATGCATTTGCTTCATTTATGGTTTGTATTATATTCCTTGGATATGTCTACTTTTCTCACCCCAAGAAAGATTAAGTGAACAAAAATTATGAAATTTAAATAGCTATATAAAATCAATAGATTTTATATAAATACATATATCTGTACACATATATATAACCAGCAAATATTATGTATAGACAATTTATAGAAGAAATGCAAATGCCCTGTAGAATTCAAAATATAACCAGCTTCACTCAGAATCAAAGACACTCAAATTAATATGACAATGACATTCCATTTTTTGTCTCTCACGTTGGCAAAAGTTAAAATGTTTGATTAACACAAGTTCTCGCTCACCATTAATGGAATTAAATTGGCACTTTTTCTTTTGATTAACCACTTGATAGTAACTGTCGAGATTGAAATTGCTCATAATCTTCAACCCAATGATTTCCTACAGATATACTGGTATATATTTAAAAAGATATATATACAATATGTAGCATTACTTGTAGTATCAAGTACCAGAAACGACCAATCAGAAGTATGAAACATTTTTCAGTGAAATAGTACATACAGGTCATGCGTGGTAGCTTACACCTCTAATCCCAGCACTTTGGGAGGCCAAGGAAGGAGGATTGCTTAGGGCCAAAAGTTTGAGTCTGTAGTGATCTATGATAACACCACTGCACACCCTCTGGGTGACAGAGTGAGACCCTTTCTGGAAAAAAAAAATTACATACATTGCAGTATTTTTGGTCTTTAAAATGAATGTGTTAATATATATTATGATTAAAAAATAACCTCTGCAAATATACTATAAATGAAAAAAGATTTAAAAGCTTATTAAGCAAATACTGAATAGCTTGTAAGTTAAGATGTATGATAAAGCGTATACATCCCTTACATAGAAAAGGTATACACATATATAGCTGCATATGGATAGAAAAATTCTGAAATATACAAAACTACTGAAGGTTGATCACTCTAATCAGTGATGGGATGGAGTTTTTGCAACATAATTGACATATGGTTCATTTGTTTAGTTATAAGATGTTTTTATACATAAGAAAGTCAACAGTTCTTTAAAAAAGTGGACAAAATAAACCAGTAAGCACTTTACATAGAAGAAATTAAATACAATTGGCCAACCATACTACAAAATGATTCTTAAAATGAAATTTCATTCTTTACCTATTAGATTAGGAAAGTTTGGCAATACAAAGTGTTAGTAGTTTTTCTTCATAGTTTGTAATTTAGTGTTATTTTATTTCTAAGGATAACTAATAGTCTACTTTGTGTGTGTGGCGGGGGGGGTGTGTGTTTTCTGGCTTTTGAAAATAAAAAGATACTATAGATGCCTTTTTTTCACTATACATTCTTGATTTTCTGTTTGCCTCCACTCCCACCTCAGACACCTTCTCTGACATCTTTGATCAGCTCTAGTCCCTAGGGAGCTGACCTGTAGAGACTGTATTTATCCAAGTTCTTTTCTGGCTGGCTTCCTTTTAGGTTTTACAAAGAAGAGGCATTGAGATCATCACAAAGAAATCAGAGAGAGATTGGGAAATTTCCTTCTCCATGATCGCTCCTACTATGGTACTGTTGAAACAGGAAAAGTTCCCTTATTCCCCTCGAAGGACTTGTGACTAGGGGTGTGACCGGTTTCTTTTGTACCCTGTTGCTCACATCCCTAGGGGAAGCATGCAGACGGGCAGGTCTTGGTCATGGGCTCCAACCCCAAGGCAGTGTCCAGAGGTGAATGTTTACAGCTCCTGAAGCCCCACGGGGCATGCGTTACAGTGTGCTCTTTTAGTGTTGCCATCTGTAAGTGGCTTGTGTTAATCAGCTCATTTAGACCCTCTCTCTTACCGTAAGGACAGAGGGCTTTCTGTATCCTGGGGTTGTTGCCCTAGTGTACTTAAAAAATCGGATCACACGTGGGCTTGGAGAATGAGTGCCAGGCTTTATTGAATGATGCAGATAGCTTTCAGCAGATGGATGCGAGCCAGAAGGGGGATGGTCGTCCCCTGAAGTCAGGCCGCTCAGCAGTGGGGCTCCTCTCTGACCGCCCTCAACTGAACTTCGCGTAGTCCTGCTGTAGATGGCCTACTGACATCTGCTGGTTTTTTTTCGTGTGTTCCTCTCGACATCCAGCTGCTTGTGTGTGCTCGCTAGGGTCTCAGGGTTTTTATAGTCACAGGATGGGGACGTGGTGGGTCAGGATGGTCTTGGAAAATGCAACATTTAGACATGAAAACTGGAATGCGTCTCCTTACCTAGGTCCATTGGCACAAGCCCGAGGGCAGAACCCTTGCCAAGGACCCTGCCTTTCTCTACCCAGCACTTCCTTGCCCCCCTACCATATCACTCTTTCTCTATAAGTTGCTGAATCCTTCTTCAAATAAAACACGCGCCAGTTCGGCCCTCTTTCCTGGATCCAGTTCTCAATGTGTTTCAGGAGCACCCTCTTCCCTTCAAGCCTAGGAGTGGTAATGGCTTCTTTCTTTTGTGAGTTGCTGCATGCTATTTCCCTAGTTTTTTATCTTAACCCTTCCAACACCTCGGCAAATAATCTCTTCAATAAAATCCCTTTATCTAAACATTAAGACAGAAACCACATAAGGAAATCTGAGTGAAGAGCCTCAGAGTACAAGCAAAACCAAGAAAAAACATTTACACAAAGGACAATGCAAGGTGAGAGTTTAAATTACTAAATATTACATGAGATCATATATGGCAATGGCATTGAATCAATGAAGCAATGAAATTTGGCATTCAACATAAGGAGGGCATTGGTGACTTGATGGTCTTATTGCAAATAATTTCAGCAGAGGACTGGAGCAGAAGAAATAGATTGAGTTGGTGATTATTGGCATACCATATTTAGAAGCCTTAATTAAAAACTCTATTGTATTTATTTCATATAAAACTGGACAATTAAACCAACCCAGTGAATTACAACACCGGTTAATTTTTTTTGGACAAAACGTGTGTATTTTCTCATCTTTCTGAAATTAAAAATTCAATTATGGTATGTGAAGGCAATAGAAGACAGATTTAAACTATTTTTCATTAAGATTTTTCACCAACCACCCAGTCACCAACGTGGTTCTTAATTTATTTTCAGAACCCCATTCTCTAATACAGCTCAATAGCGAAATAGTGCCTTTAAAATTCTATTACCACATACTGGAATTGAAGATCACTCCTCTACCACTTCTCTCAATATGAAATATTAATAACCACCTACCTTAATATTTTCATAGATGTCAATATCTAAAAAAACTCTAACATCATTAGAATAATATCTACTTTAGAGTTGATAAATAAAACATAAACAAGCTAATGGGACTATCCAGTGTAAATGCTTGCCAGAAAAAGTTGTCTAATGGAAACTCATATATCTTTTGTAATGTTCCTGAGAAGGAATTTTTTTGGATAGTGTCTTACTTTGCTTAATTGTAGCAGAATCATGTCAATTTTAGTATGGTTTTGAATATATCAGTTTAGAAATGTAATGTGTTTTCTGGAAAATCAAGCATTAAAAAGATAGCAAAATCAAGACCTTTACCCACATCTTATGAAATGCAGATAGGATACTAGATTTTGGCACAGTTTTCAGGCATGAGTTAGAAGACTATAGACATCAATTAATATAAGACTTTCCAAGCATTTTAAATTTCAATGAAAAGCCATTTCTATTGTTTTCTCTAAAACAAGTGTTCACTTTATATTAGTAGCAATTAAAATTGTCATCAAATTTAGTTCTGAAGAAAAGCATCCACCTTCAAGAAAGAGTAATTTTCTATATTACTTAACTTGGGCACTGGATCAGAACACTGTGTTTTTTACCACAAGTCACAAAAGCCATGCCTTTTTATGAAACCCAAGAGGGCACTGAAATATACAGGTAGAGCCAGAGATGTGTAAATCACTTGATTGAAATGATACTAAGAGAGTCAGATATACAGCAGAGCCATGTTCTATGAGAAGGAGAATAAAAATGTAAGTGAAACTGCAGGAAACATTTACTGAATGAGGAAAATAATTTGATGGTCTGATAATTCTGCTTTGCAATAATCTGTCTACACAATATATCTACATGTGGCATGGCCAACTGCGTCAGGATAGAAAATTAAATTTTCTACAAGGATAGAGGGTTAAAACTTTTGGTGGAACCTGATTTTCTCTGCCACAGTCTGATCATTTTTCTTTGTAAAGACATGGAAAACAAGGTGATGATTTGCATGGTAGATGAGGTCTAGATGGAAGGAGATTAAGTGGCCGGCTCTATGCTTGAGACATGGAAACAGAAACCCAAAGTAACCAGAAACAGTATGCCACATAATTTATTGTAACATAAGGGAAGTTAGCTTTTCTTACCTTGTGTCCATGTTTTAATCTCACAGTAGTGATGATAGTTCTGAGATATTTCTAACTAAGAAATTAACTGTGTATTTTTCTCACTAGATGTTTTGGAAGAAAAACAAAGAGAAATGTTTTTCTCTTTGCCTTTTCCAAGACAGCCATAAGTTTTATCTCTCTAAGCTCTCTTGAGAACAAGCGAATATATAATAATTGAATCTCTTTGTTTGGGGGGAACACCTTAAAATAGGTAACAATCCAGGTATTATTTATGAAGACAGGCTCATCAAAAAGTTTATCTGAAATTGTCTGCGAGAAGCACTGTCCAATAAAATACAATGTGAGCCACACTTACAATTTTAATTATTTTATAGCTGTATTTTTTAAAGTAAAAAGAGTGAAAATAATCTTAATAATAGATTTTAGTTAATATATCTAAAATATTGTTTCAATACGTAGTCAGTGTAAAAATTATTAATGCAAGTACTTTAAGTTCTTCCTTTCATATGAAATGTTTGACACACAGTATGATTTTTATACCTACAGAATACCTAATTCAGACTGGCTACATTTTCATGGTGCTCAATAGCTATATGGAGCTAATGGCCACTGGATTGGATAGCACTGCTCTTTAGAGTTAGAGGCAGAGAGAACAGGTTGGAGGTAGCCTGATCTGGGAAACGGTGAGGTTCTCATACTGTGAGAATTGAGAGATGGTAGAAATCTGTTCTCCATCTCCTGCAGTGTGACAAGAGTTCAATGGGGGAAGGCTACAAAATACCTATGGAAGTTGGTCCATGGACACTGTGGCTGTGAGAGCAGTGATGAAGGTTTCTTTATGAACGACACTGGGTTAAAGCTTTAGAGGCATCTCTGTGGTTCACCAGAAAGAACACGGCTCATCCAGGATTTATGAATCAACATTAGGCAGCTACATACTCTATGCTGTCTCCCATGTTCCTGAAACAAACTAGGCCTCAATATTCTTATAAAATCTTAAGGAGAAATGATGGAGCTCCCCAAATGCTTAGACATTCTGCCATCTTAGTGGCTGAACACTCCAAGCTAGGATAATTTCATTTAAAATATGGCATTTCTTGCATTTGATTACTTTTTAATGAATTCACACCCTTTTTCATGGGCCTTTACCTCCAAATAAACAGTTTTATTTTATTTATTTATTTTTTTCCCCAAATGGAGTCTCGCTGTGTCCCCCAGGCTGGAGTGCAATGGCATGATCTTGGCTCACTGAAACTTCTGCCTCCTGGGTTCAAGCAATTGTCCTTGCCTCAGCCTCGTGAGTAGCTGGGATTGCAGGCATCCATCACCATGCCCAGCTAATTTTTATATTTTTTAGTAGAGACGGGGTTTCACCATGTTGGCCAGCCTGGTCTTGAACTCCAGACCTCAAGTGATCCACCCACTTCGGCCTCCCAAATTGTTGGGATTACAGGCATGAGCCACCGTGCCTGGCCCAAATAAGCAGTTTTAGACTAAAGCTTCTAAATTGAGTAAGGTATACACAACACCTCTTCTTCAAAACCTTCCACTTGTGACTCAATCTGATGTGGCCTAACTTCTGGTTTAATCCCCTGTTAAAATTAATTACACTAGTACAAAAAAGAAGAGAGTTATTAAAATCAGAAAAAAAACTCATAATTAGAAATTTATATGAATAATACATTTTGTGAAACTATTATCATTTTCTTCTACAACAAAATAAAGCTGGTTAATTGAGAATAAATTCTAGATGCCATGTAACTTGATATTTTTATAGTACCAAATGTTTCATTAAGGATTTATAGTATACTCAGTATTACTCTACTCCTGGGGAAATAAGGTTTACAATAGAGGAAACATAACAAGCAGTTTTCATTTGATACGTTAACTCTAAAGATTTGGTAATGGCCACTGTCAGCTCTTTGTGAAGAAAGTACCTAGGGCTACATTCAGATGTTCTGGGGTTGATTAGCAATGTCTGCATTGAGTTCAGGAGGTAGATTGGATTAGATCATGCTTTAGATGGGTTAGATTATGCTTTTACTGGACTAGATTATAAAACTGCGTACATTTTCTGCAAATGTGTTAGACTGTTTTCCTCCAGAAGTCATCTTTGGAGAGGAAGACACACCTTATAGTTGTTTCTGTCTCATTTTAGTGTGCAGTCCCAAATCACTGCTCAAAGACCCTCTGTGACTATCAGGAACAGACATGGCATCAGTTAAATGGAAACATGGTGCCGTGGAATGAGAATGGGCTTTAGAATTACTTTGATGTTAATCTTAACTCTGCACACTTAGTTATGTGTCTTTGGAAAAATTGACTTCCTCTTCTGTAAATGAGGATAATACAATAACTGTCTCACAGGAACGTTGTGAAGTACTCTTTAATGAGTAAAGCATTTGACATTTGTTGTTTTTAACTAAGTATGCTTTGGGGCCACTATGAAAATTTTAAGGGCAGGGACCATGACATTTTTTTTTTGTATGTATGTATTTGGCATAGGTAATCAATAGGTGTTAAATCAAATTAAAGACTTTTAAACTGGAATGTTTTAAAGTTTTACTTTTTGTGCACTTCAAAGCAAAAGGATAAATTTACATTCTTTTTCAGTGGATCAAAATCTAGGCTTCATTAGAGACAGGATAATACACTGAATGACTTCTGAGATGCTTCCAGCCCTTTCTTTCTTTGCCACCTAGATATAAAGGCAAAAAACACAAACAAACAAACAAAAAAACAAACCTGCCCATGAGAGTTTTCAGTAGGCATTCATTGGTAGTCATCATGCAGTTGTTGTAAAATACAGTTTAGTATTTTATGGCAGCTTAATCTACTTTGCCTTTCATCTGTGCATCTGTGAAAAAATAGTGACAACATGGAAAATATTCGAAATCAAACATATGGAGTGCTGGATACTGCAGCCAAATCCCGTCCCTACCAAACTGTTATTGAGAGAAAGTAGAAATTTCAAGGCTGGTTTGTATACTAGATGTTTGTAATGTACTCAAATAACCACTCCCTCAAGTTAAGATTATTTTTTAAAAATACCCCCTGGAAAAGAATAAAGAGTCACTAGAAAATTTTTTTACTGATCTTATCAAGTGTTTATAAAAGAAAGAAAAGAACTTTCAGTAAATCCATATATTAGGACCACACACACAGCATGCATCCTTAAGAGAAGATCTGAACACAAATTAATATGTGCGTATTCAAAATTAAAGATTTTGAAATAAGAATAAACTGATAACACACATTTTCTGTTTATCACAGTGTTGTTGCTGTTTTTAGTGCTGTGCCCTGCCTCATGCATATGCATATTGGAGAAAAATGGAGCTCACAAAGTGCTCCTAGCAGAAGATGCACAGTGTTTTTTCATCCTGACTCTACTATCCACATCTACAGAGGAAGTCAATCACATAGATATGGTGTGTAAAGCAACCTTCTGAATTATGCATTTAAGAAGCACCCAATCTAGAAAGATGTTCACATCATATGGACTTCAAATAAATAACTTTTGGGGTGATGGGATGGTGATGCCATTGTTTAGTACGGCTGTGTGTTACATTGTAAGTTACTGGATTTTTCTACCTCTTGGCACAATGTGAGTTACTTTGCAATCTTTCTCTTAGAGCAATATTCCTCAAAGGTTAGCTGCATTATAATCTCTGGAAGGTTTGTTAAAAATTCCTGAACTCGGCTGGGAGCTGTGGCTCACGCCTGTAATCCCAGCACTTTGGGAGGCCGAGGCAGGCTGATCACGACGTCAGGAGATGGAGACCATCCTGGTTAACACAGTGAAACCCCATCTCTACTAAAACTACAAAAAACTAGCCGGGTGTGGTGGCGGGTGCCTGTCGTCCCAGCTACTCGGGAGGCTGAGGCGGGAGAATGGCGTGAACCCGGGAGGCGGAGCTTGCAGTGAGCCGAGATCGCACCACTGTACTCCAGCCTGGGCGACAGAGCGAGACTCCCGTCTCAAAAAAAAATTAAAAAAAAAAAAAATTTCTGAACTCCACCCATAGTTCCTACATTTGGTATAGATTTAGTAAGTTTGGGGTAGAGACCAAGAATTTTAATTCCTACCTAGTACCTGGGTGATAATAATTCAGCTGGTCCAGGGACTACATGTTGAGAACAACTTGCTTTGAGTGATAGTTGAAACAATATACATAAGAGTAAATGAGCAAAACAGCAGAGCTGTCTAGATATTTTTAGTAATTATTTTCTAAAATTTGTGCACGAGGAAATTTATTTTATATAACACTCTGAATAGAAAATGCCATTGTTGATTATTTAATTAGATGCTTTTTTTTTCTGAGACAGAGTCTCACTCTGTTGCCCAGGCTGCATTGCAGTGGCACGATTTCGGCTCATTGCAACTTCCATCTCCCAGGTTCAATCAACTTTTCTGCCTCAGCCTCCAGAGTAGCTGGAATTAGAGGCACGCACCACCACACCCGGCTAATTTTTGTATTTTTTTTAGTAGAGACGGGGTTTTGCTGTGTTGCCAGGCTGGTCTCAAACTCCTGGCCTCAAGTGATCTGCCTGCCTCAGCCTCCCAAAATGCTGGAATTACAGGCATAAGCCACTGCGCCCGGCCTAATTAGATGCTTTTTTGCTTAACTTTAAATATCCAGATATTTAGCACCATGTAGACATTTGCTTTGATTACCCTATATTTTACCTTCTGCTTCTTTATATGAATTTGCTGGGTGTGAGATTGTATTTCCAGTCAAGTTGTTAATAATTTTAAAACAAATCAGACTACTTTGCAATATTCTTGCTTCAAGAGGGGCTGCTCAAGCATTCAAGATGTCAAGAAAAGTTTCACTTCAGGGTTTGATTATTAAGTAAGATTTATTCTTTTTCTGAGTACAGTCATCCCTCAGTATCGATAGGAATCAGTTCTAGAACTCCTGCGAATACCAAAATTCGTGCATACTCAAGTTCACAGTTGGCCCTACGGAACCCACATATATGAAAAGATGACCCTCTGTTATACACAGGTTTTACATACATGTGTATTATATTTACAATCTTTGTTTGGTTGAAAAAAATCTGGGTGTAAGTGGACCTGTGCAGTTCAAACCTATTTTGTTCAAGGGTCAACTGTCCTGTGTTTTCAATGATCATGGCTATCACTTGGTGCTTGTTAATTGTGATGTAGGCTTTGCAATTATGCTACTTCCAGCCATTGATTAATTAAAAGATACATAAACCATAGAGAATTTGGCATATGAACCAAACCCTTTACTTCCAAGTCAGGGAGAAATTCTGACTTTCTTTAAAAAGAAATTAACATTTAATGCACCAAATAATACCATAAGATGCTCTTTTAAGGAAAAGCAATAAAAAATAACTAAAAATAAAACCAAAATAAAAAATAAACAAAAATGAAAAATAGCAAAATTACTGCTTACATTCATTGTGTTGTTTAATATTTCTCTTCAGCTTAATTAAATATAATGAATTCTATTTTTGAAAAATAAAATTACAAAATATGCAAAAACATAAATCAGGAAAATTAACACAAATTTTACATACAAACACAACAGAATAATTGAATACATGATTTTTAGACTCTGACATCCTTTCTTTGGTTGATCAGGAACAGAAATCCAATCAAGCTTAACCAAACACAGAGAAAAGATACAAAAATCCCATAGAAATCCACAAAAACTGAAATACTTGGCCTTAGAAAATCAAGAACTGGAGTAGCTTCTGGTGATCAACAACTGGTTCTTCAGGGCTTCTCTCTAATTTCTCTGACTTCATTTTCACTTACATGTTCCTGCTTTGTCTGCTTTTCTTCCCGTTTTGCTAAACTATATCTCAGTCTGTCAGTATCTGTACTTAAATTCCAAATTCCTAGGAAAGAAATTTAATGGGTGGCTTAGCCTGTGGGTAGAATTGTCTCAGGCCAATGGTTTGTGCGTTTCTTAATCATCTTTGGTCAGATATCACAGAGGCACATGTTATATGGAATAGTCTTTTTTCCAGGGATTCTGACTTAGTAGAGTTAAAATATGAAGGCTAGGTGTATATCATAGGCAAATAATTTTTTTAAAGCATTCTTAGAGGAAGCCGGACTGGTTGGGTCATCATATTATAAGTAAAACCAGTGATTCATGTGCTGAGGGAGTACTCATGTTACAGAGAGAATACTAAAGGGGAAATAAATAGCCTTTTAGGAATGGGATTAAAATTTAAATATATAAAATAATGAAATCACACACAATAGGAACAGAGCACAGGCCCACTGAGGAAGCAAAACATTTCTTGTAGTAAAATAGTATTTGATATAGAGGGAAGTAAACAGGATTTTCTAGGAGAAATCAAATATATTCAGTCCATTAGAAGTGCCTTGAGATTTATGATGAATAGCTTACCTTTATACTTCATAACAATAATATGTTATAACTGTAATAATTCTATCTATAAAATGAAAAATTTAAACCTTTATGTTTACAACTACTAATGTCATCTAGTATTATTTGGTTATGGATCCCTTATTAAATGTTTTTCTATTTATTATAGAATGTTTCAAATTTAGAAATATGTAGATTTTCCCATCTTGAAATTAAGCTTTACATTTATGTTAACAACCAATTTTCAATAATGGAAGAAATGGATGAAAACTGATAATATACTTTGTCACTTGAACTTTTCACAATTTACAATTCAATTATATAGTGATTGATGATCAAGTGTAATGTATTATACCAAATAAGAAAAGTCTCTCATTAAAGAAACTTTTTAAGATAGTTTTAAATTAAGTTGGTTTAAATCTTCGATATTGACCATAACCAAAATTTGTAATGAGAACATGCTTTTTCACCAAATGGAATATTTTTCACCTAGCTATTCATTTAGAGTTAGCCATTTAGTTAAACAGATTAAATTTTAAAAATCGTAGATGACTTGTCATCCCCAGAATAACAAACTCTTTCTTGTAGTTTCTCTTAACCAGGTCACATACTTTCCCATATGTAACAATTTATTTCTGTAATCTAAGGCCACACATTAGTTAGCTGTCTACACTGTCTTACGCATTGAGTGGATAAAATGAAAGAGACAGAGTGAAGACTGGAAAGGTAAGTTAAGGCCAGATTTCTAAATTAACTGGGAGGCTTTCCTAAGACTTCTGGGTTTGTGATCCTTGAAATGACTAGTGCCTTTAATCATGTTTTATTTTATTTTAAAACATTTTAGGTACAATGGCCTCGTTTTTTAGATTTGTATTAACAAAGTTTTGGATAGGACCTTGGAAACTGTAGGGTGAAGAATCAAGTGTGATGTTGTAACACTCCAATATTTAGAAAAAACTATCTTCGATATTTGATAGTGGGAGACAATGAATTTTTTTTTTCTTGATGTGGAGTCTCCTTCTGTCACTCAGGCTGGAGCGCAGTGACACAATCTTGCCTCACTGCAACCTCTACCTCCTGGGTTCAAGCAATTCTCCTGCCTTAGCCTCCTGAGTAGCTGGGATTACAAGTGTACGCCACCACACACAGCTAATTTTTGTATTTTTGGTAGAGACGGGGTTCTGCCAATGTTGGCCAGGCTGGTCTTGAACTACTGGCCTTTAGTGATCTGCCTGCCTCAGCCTCTCAAAGTGCTGGCACTACAGGCGTAAGCCACCGTGCCTGGCCTCAGTGAAGATTTTTGAGCACAGAAGTATGAGCAAAGATATGCTTTAGAAAGATCACTTTAGAAAATGATGAGTTTTAGGAGTTTGAAACTTAACACAGGGAAACAAGTTAGAAGATAGTTACAAGAAACTGAGAAAGAGGTGATGAAGGCTTAAGTCAAAAAATACTAGCAATGAGAATTGGAAGAAAGAAGAAGATTCAGAGATGGAACAAAAATTTACTGAGTGCTTGCTACAAATCAGGTATTATTCTAGGTATTGTGGATATGGCAGAAAACAAAACAGAAAAATAAAACATTTTTATTCTTGGAAATGATGTATTCTATTAGTGTGAGACAAAAAGCAAACACTTTAATTAAATATTAATATATGTATGTTAGAGAGTCTCAAGTACTTTGTCGAAAAAAACAAACAAACAGAGAACAGGACGTATCTAGTAGAAGAAGAGGTTAAATAAGGTGATTTGTGAGAACTTTACTGAGAAAGCAATGGTTTAGACACTTTAAAGGAAACGAGGATTCCTAGCTTTTCTTCTAGGGTTTTTATGGTTTTAGGTCTAACGTTTAAGTCTTTAATCCATCTTGAATTAATTTTTGTATAAAGTATAAGGAAGGGATCCAGTTTCAGCTTTCTACATATGGCTAGCCAGTTTTCCCAGCACCATTTATTAAATAGGGAATCCTTTCCCCATTGCTTGTTTTTCTCAGGTTTGTCTACCATTCAGGACATAGGCATGGGCAAGGACTTCATGTCTAAAACACCAAAAGCAATGGCAACAAAAGCCAAAATTGACAAATGGGATCTAATTAAACTAAAGAGCTGCACAGCAAAAAAAACTACCATCAGAGTGAACAGGCAACCTACAAAATGGGAGAAAATTTTCACAACCTACTCATCTGACAAAGGGCTAATTTCCAGAATCTACAATGAACTCAAACAAATTTACAAGAAAAAAAAAAAAAACCCCATCAAAAAGTGGGCGAAGGACATGAACAGACACTTCTCAAAAGAAGACATTTATGCAGCCAAAAAACACATGAAAAAATGCTCACCATCACTGGCCATCAGAGAAATGCAAATCAAAACCACAATGAGATACCATCTCACACCAGTTAGAATGGCAATCATTAAAAAGTCAGGAAACAACAGGTGCTGGAGAGGATGTGGAGAAATAGGAACACTTTTACACTGTTGGTGGGACTGTAAACTAGTTCAACCCTTGTGGAAGTCAATGTGGTGATTCCTCAGGGATCTAGAACTAGAAATACCATTTGACCCAGCCATCCCATTACTGAGTATATACCCAAAGGACTATAAATCATGCTGCTATAAAGACACATGCACACGTATGTTTATTGCGGCACTGTTCACAATAGCAAAGACTTGGAACCAACCCAAATGTCCATCAATGATAGACTGGATTAAGAAAATGTGGCACATATACACCATGGAATACTATGCAGCCATAAAAAATGATGAGTTCATGTCCTTTGTAGGGACATGGATGAAATTGGAAACCATCATTCTCAGTAAACTATCGCAAGAACAAAAAACCAAACACCTCCTATTCTCACTCATAGGTGGGAAGTGAACAATGAGAACACATGGACACAGGAAGGGGAACATCACACTCTGGGGACTGTTGTGGGGTGGGGGGAAGGGGGAGAGATAGCTTTAGGAGATATACCTAATGCTAAATGACGAGTTGATGGGTGCAGCACACCAGCATGGCACATGTATACATATGTAACTAACCTGCACATTGTGCACATGTACCCTAAAACTTAAAGTAAAATAATAATAATAAAATAAAAAAAAAGGAAATGAGGATTCAAGACATGGAGTTGTCTGACAGAATGTTATTCCTGGCAGAGGATAATGCCAGTGGAAATACTGAAGCCTGGAAGTGTGTCTTGCATGTCCCAGGAAAGGCAAGGAGGTCAGTGCAGCTGGACTGGGGGGAGAAATGGGAGGAATATTAGAGAATTTGGTCATATTGACCGTGGGATGCCAGATTATTGAGAACTTTGTAGGTTCTTTTGAGAACTTTGTAGGTTCTTTTGAGAACTTTGTAGGTTCTTTTAAGAACTTTGGCTTTTGCTCTAATTGCAATAGAAAACCAATGGAAAGTTTTGAGCAGTGGAGACACAACATGCTTTATGTTGTAATAGAATCACACTGACTACTATGTTGATAGACTATGGGTGTCGGGGGTAGAAGAGAGAGAGCAGTCAGGAAAGTATTGTAATAATCCAGTTGTCGTATCATAATGCTTTGGTTCAGTGTGGTAGCAGTGGATGTATTGAGAAGTATTAGTGTCTGGAAACATTCTGAAAATAGAGACAACAGAATCTTCCAATAATTTGGTGTGACATATGAGAAATAAAGAGGATGAAGTGGCTATTAAGTGAGAAGGACAGGATGCAGGTAGAGAAAATGGGGGAGAAGAATATCAGGAGTTCAGTTTTGAACAGTTAAATTTGAAAAGGATATTAGGGCCTCTAAGTAGGGATGGTGAGTAGGAATTTGAATCCTACAACTGGAGTTTAGGAGAGAGGTCACTCTTGAGACAGAAATTTGGCTGTTCTCAGTTCATAGATGATATCACCAAGGGATTGATGTTGACAGAAAAGAGGAGATATCTAAGGACTAAAACATAGGGCATTCCAACATTAAGAAGTTAGGAAGATGCAGAGGAACAATTAAAAGAGACTGAGAAGAAGCACCAGTGAGGTAGGGGACACTAATAAATTAGGCTGTCTTAGAAGCCAGCAGGAAAAAAAAAATTTCAAAGTGGGGAGAGTAATTAACTGAATCAAATGCTGCTGATAATTCAAACAGGAATTCCAAAAATTGACCTTGGAATCCCAAAGAATCTGAAGAATTTTGCTGACATTGGCAAGAAGAGATTCTGTGGGGAGGTGGGATGAAAGTCTCATTGAATTGTGTTAAAGGGACAATGGGAACAGAGGAATCGGAGCATTAAAGAGTTTTGCCTTCAAGGACCCAAGAGGAGATATCAGATGGGAGAAAGATTTGAAAAGATAAAAAGGAAAGGTATTTGGTGGTTGCTCACTCCCCTCACAACAAAATTGGTTCATATGCCTAGACTGATGACAGCATGCATATATCAAGAGGGTATGAAAAGCTCACATAATGGTACTACCAGTGACAGCAGGACAGGCACAAAAGCTTGAGCAAAATGAAGGGCTTTGTTTTTATTGTCATTAAAGGCAGCCTATAAGAGTTTCCATGTGCATGGTTTAAACAACTTCCTGCCAGTGGCAAGGGAGGAAGAGTGAGGGCTTCCTTATTGGCTTTCCCAGCTGTGGGACAAGAGGAGAAATGGGATTTGGAAACACAGTGGTCAAACATCAAAAATGGAGTCAAATTATAACAAAGGAACTTGGCGGAAAATTTTGAGTGAGGTTATAAACAAGAGATGAAGATGGTTCTCTAATTTGAAGCCTAAGAATTGAAGATATTGATGCTGTTCAACTAAGATAGGAAACATAATACAATCAAGTCACATCTAGAAATGCCAGTCCATTCTGGCCATAAGAAAGAAGCAAGAGGAACAAGGGAAGGAAGGTGAGCAGAAAGTTAAAGTAAAGCAATAAATGTTGACAGTGTGAATTTTGGCATTTGGATCTTGAAACAATCTTCTCCTGCATCTCAATTTCTCTGCTTAAAAAAAATGATTCTGGTTTAGCTAGGATTTTTGAAATGTGAGAGGCAGCGCCAAAAGGTTCACTTTCTCTGGAGTCTGCCCTGTTTCTCATTTTTAATTACACTGAATCTTTTGTTGTCAATGTAATCTTTAATAGGATTCAGTAAGTCTCTGTTATGAATCTTCTTGACTTCTAATTTTAAAGTGTAAATAGTTTGGAAGTCATCTCTGTTGCCCTTACAATAAGAAAAAGAGCTGAAGAAATGGAAAACCAATGACTTTTCTTGACCCCATCAGAGAACTGAAATTGCAGGGCAAATCATCACCTCCAAATCTGGGGGAACATGTGAATCGAGAGAATCACAGTCAAAATCCTGCTTACATGGAACAGAAGACTCTGGGGCCATAAATTGACAGAAACACGAAATGATAATTTTGATGAGTTGCTGGAGGCTGAGTGTAGACTAGCATGAATGTGAGAAACTCATAGGAACTACAGTCTGATGAGGTCCCCACACTCTCTTGGGTTTTACCTCTAGGAACCCCATTCACCTCTTAGGTTGAAGAACTAAGAAAGATTCCCTGCTGGCTATGGTAAGGGTAAGAGAAGACTAATCACTATGAAATATACCCAGATCATTCTTCATAATAAAGACCTACTCTTCAGTAGAAAGGGCCTTATCAGAGAATTATCTCCCTGGAGAGGGGGCATTCTTCATACTCTAGCCCCCTCTAGACTTCCTGCATCAACTGAGGAGAAAAAAAGGTAAGAAACACTTGTGAAGGTCACAGTCCAGTATACAGGCCTTCTAAAAGCCTGATATTTAATCATAAGGTTATGGAATATTTCCTCTTCCCCAAGTATTACCCCTAGAGAAACACAGCTTCCCTATAATAACAGTGCAATATAGCTAAAAAGCTCCAAATTATAGGCTCCCTTTGAGAAGGAGTAGGTAGGAAACCTGAAAGACAACAGGAGAGGTAAAAACAAGGATACTGTAAGAATTTGAAGTCTCTGGCACCTACAACTACTGCAAACATTAAGCATAACCAAACTCTTAGCCGTATTCAGATAAATGTCTATTTATTTCAGATCCTATTATCTGATCATACATGTCTGGCTTTCAACAAAAAAGCCACAAGGCCTGAGAAAGGCAAGAAAAAAAAATACACAGTATGACAAGACAAAGCAGTAATCAGAACCAGACTCAGATATGGCACAGATGTTTGAATTATCAGACTGCACATTTAAAATATCTATGGTTAATGTGTTAAGGGTTCCCATGGAAAAAGTAGACAGCAGGCAAGAACAGATGGATATTATAATCAGAAAGATGGAAACTCTAAGAATAAAAAGGAAATGTTATACATGAAAACCACAATAAAAGAAATGAATTATGCCTTCTGCTGGAATCATCAGTAGAATGAACATAGTTCAGGAAAGATTTAGTGAGCTTGAAAGGTCATAAGAAACTTCCCAAACTGAAATTCAAAAACAAAAGGATGAAACACACACTCATACATGACACCACACACACACACACACATACACACACACTAGGAGAGAGCACCCAAGAACTGTGGGGCAGTTCCAAAAGGTAAAATATATGTGTAATTGGAATTCCAAAAGTAGAAGAAAAACAACACAGAGAAGACAAAATATTTAAAGTATAATGGTGAAAAACTTCCCCCAAATTAATGTCTGACACGAAACCAGAGATCCAAGAAGTGCAAAGAACACCAAACAGAATTAATTCCAAAATATCTATACCTAGGCCTATCGTATTCAAATTGAATAAAAGGAAAAGCAAAGAGAAAAATTTTGAAAGAAGCTGAAGAAAACGAGGTAGGCAGGGATCTTACTTATAAAGGAACTAGAATAAGAATTAAATGATATAGGTTAGAACATGGGTCTACATAAAGAAAGAGCAACAGAGAAAGAATAAATTAATATAAAATAAAATGACATGATGCTTAGAATAAAAGTTAAGCAAGGGGACTGGATTCAATGTCACAAAAAAGTTTGGACAGTGAATTTTAGGAAGAAAGATGTAATTGGCACTTGTTAATGTGCAGCAAGTAACAGACATACTAATTCCAAGTGTAATTAATTGAAGAAATATTGTTCTAAAGATAATCATGAAAACTAGAGCAATAAAATGGTTTTTATGCTGCTCAATGTCTTCTATATAATTCCTTCTTCCTCAGGGTGAATATTCAAATATATGCTCTGTAGAGATGAGATTTGTTCCTTTTTACTGACTGCAGTACTTCCCAGTACTAAAACTGCTTGGGATATAGCAGGCAGTCAGCACATTTTCTTAAATAAAGATAGCTAATGAAGAATAAGCAGATGAGACGGAGAAGAAGTGAGGGTTTCTAAAGCTATTTAGAAGTTTAAATGAACTAATTCAGTTTTGGATTCTTTGGTGCCTTGATAGATAACGGGGGCATTAGATGAAAATGGCAAGCAGGAGGAGAAGCAGCACGTGAAGGACAATTTAATTTTGGATACCTTGAGTTTCAGGTTTCTCAGGGACACACATGCAGTGATATTTAGTAGCTGGAAGAGATAGAATTGGTAAATGTTAGCATAATGATCAAAGTTGAAGCCCTAGGAATACAGAAAATTAAGTATTATGTAGACCAGGGGTCCCCAACCTTCGGGCAGGTTAGGACCAGTACTGGTCCGAGGCCTGTTAGGAACTGGGCGGCACAGCAGGAAGTGAGTGGCGGGCAAGCAAGTATTACTGCCTGAGCTCCACTACCTGTCAGATCACCAGCGGCATTAGAGTCTCAGAAAAGCCAAACCCTATTGTGAACTGTGCATACAAGGGCTCTAGGTTGCATGCTCCTTATAAGAATCTAATGCCTGATGATTGGAGGTGGAAGAGTTTCTTCCTGAAGCCATGCCCACCACTGTTTCCTGTGGAAAAATTGTCTTCCATGAAACCAGTCCCTGGTGCCAAAAAGGTTGGGAACTGCTGATATACATTCAGAAACATCTACCTTCTTCCAAATTCACTTATTTATGTTCAATCTCAGCAAACAGTAGCAACCTCAACATATTTACTCAAGTCAGAAAGACAGATGTTAGATTTTATTATCTTTACTCAACAAATCCAATTCATTAACAAGTCTGGGCTCTAATAACAAGGCATATAGTAAATCTGTTCACTTCTCTCCATCCTATTTTTCTCCCCTTCTCCAAGGCCCTTCCACTCTCATCTGGACATCTGTATTAGTTCCCAACTGACCTTGTTGCTTTCAGGCTTGACTTATTCCTACCCTTATCTATACCCTCCATGCTCTCCAATGGCTGCACATCATACTTAAAATCCAAACTCCCTACTTGGTCTTGTTCTCCTCCTTCTCAGACTTCATCACATACATCTTCCCCCAGGCAATGAAACCCTAGCCTTATTGACTTAAAAAAGCCAAAAAAACAAAGCTGGAGGCATCACACTACCTGACTTCAAACTATACTACAAGGCTACAGTAACCAAAACAGCATGGTACTGGTACCAAAACAGAGATATAGACCAATGGAACAGAACAGAGCCCTCAGAAATGACACCACACATCTACAACCATCTGATCTTTGACAAACCTGACAAAAACAAGAAATGGGGAAAGGATTCCCTATTTAATAAATGGTGCTGGGAAAACTGGCTAGCCATATGTAGAAAGCTATAACTGGATCCCTTCCTTACACCTTACAAAAATCAATTCAAGATAGATTAAAGACTTAAGTGTTAGACCTAAAACCATAAAAACCCTAGAAGAAAACCTAGACAATACCATTCAGGACATAGGCATGGGCAAGGACTTCAGTCTAAAACACCAAAAGCAATGGCAACAAAAGCCAAAATTGACAAGTGGGATCTAATTAAACTAAAGAGCTTCTGCACAGCAAAAGAAACTACCATCAGAGTGAACAGGCAAGCTACAGAATGGGAGAAAATTTTTGCAATCTACTCATCTGACAAAGGGCTAATATCCAGAATCTACAAAGAACTTAAACAAATTTACAAGAAAAAATCAAACAACCCCATCAAAAAGTGGATTAAGGGTATGAACAGACACTTTTCAAAAGAAGACATTTATGCAGCCAACAGACACATGAAAAAATGCTCATCATCACTGGCCATCAGAAAAATGCAAATCAAAACCACAATGAGATACCATCTCACACCAGTTAGAATGGCGATCATTAAAAAGTCAGGAAACAACAGGTATTGGAGAGGATGTGGAGAAATAGGAACACTTTTACATTGTTGATGGGAGTGTAAACTAGTTCATCCACTGTGGAAGACAGTGTGGCAATTCCTCGGGGATCTAGAACTAGAAATACCATTTGACCCAGCCATCCCATTACTGGTTATATACCCAAAGGATTATAAATCACACTACTATAAAGACATATGCACACGTATGTTTATTGCAGCACTATTAACAATAGCAAAGACTTGGAACCAACCCAAATGTCCATCAATGATAGACTGGATTAAGAAAATGTGGCACATATACACCATGGAATACTATGCAGTCATAAAAGAGGATGAGTTCTTGTCCTTTGTAGGGACATGGATGAAGCTGGAAACCATCATTCTGAGCAAATTATTGCAAGGACAGAAAACCAAACACGGCATGTTCTCACTCATAGGTGGGAATTGAACAATTGAGAACACATGGACACAGGAAGGGGAACATCACACACTGGGGCCTGTCGTGGGGTGGGGGTATGGGGGAGGGATAGCATTAGGATAAATACCTAATGCAAATGACAAGTTAATGGGTGCGGCAAACCAACATGGCACATTTATACATATGTAACAAACCTGCATGCTGTGCACATGTACCCTAGGACTTAAAATATAATTAAAAAAAATCAAACATGTTAAGTTTGTTCCTACCCTATGACTTTTGCACTAGTTCCCTATTCTGCCTGAAATGCTCCACCCAGTCCTTCATCTTGCTGTAGGTCCTTATCATTCAGAACTTAATGTAAATGTCATACTCATAGAGGCCTTATCTCACTATCCAATTTAGAGTAGCTAGGCTGTCTATCACTTTCTTATTCCTCTGTTTATTTTAAAAACATTTTTATTCACAGCATTAACTAAGATAAAATATTCTTCTTGTTTATTCATCTATATTTCATCAGTCTTCCTCAATAAAATATAACGTCCATGAGTATAAAGATTATAACTGTCTTATTCCCTATCTGCAGTGCTAAAACAAGGCCAAGCACATAGTAGTTAGTCAAAAAATGTTATTGAATGAATACATTTCTTTGAAGAAAATATATTTGATATTAGGTTTGATTTGCTTTTCAGAGTAAGGTATTGCATCTTACACATCTTCAAAACCCTCAGATGCCCAACGAATTGCCTTTCACAGAGCACTCAAAGCATGAGGTAATTTATGTATTATTGTAAAGTTTGTATTTTCATGAAAGTACTAGATTATATTCTATACTCTGAATATTCAAGTCTCTCTGTCTCTCTCTTTCTCTTTCGCTTCATCTCTCTCACTCCCTTATCCAAGTGTTAACAGTATTTTTCCCTAGGTATTGAAATTATAGTGCATTTTTCTTTATTTTGGGGAAAGGGCTGAATTTCTGTGGAGCAGAACATTTCTTCTTTGACATGACAGGATCAGAGAGAGTCCATCAATTGAAACAGCAATTTAAGCTAGAATCATAAATAATAGAATCAAAAATAATTCTGGGGCCAGGCGCGGTGGCTCACGCCTGTAATCCCAGCACTTTGGGGGGCTGAGGCGGGCGGATCACGAGGTCAGGAGATCCAGACCTTCCTGGCTAACACGGGGAAACCTCGTCTCTACTAAAAATACAAAAAAATTAGCAGGGCATGGTGGCGGGCAACTGTAGTCCCAGCTACTCAGGAGGCTGAGGCAGGAGAATGGCGTGAACCTGGGAGGCGGAGCTTGCAGTGAGCCCAGATCGCACCACTGCCCTCCAGCCTGGGTGACAGAGCGACACTCCATCTCAAAAATAAATAAATAAATAAATAAATAAATAAATAAATAAATAAATAAATAAATAAGTCTGGATTTCTTGACTTAAAAACATACAATTAAATACAATTATTAAAATACTTAAAAGGTAATTTTTTAAAGTTTGATATTGTTTGAATGTTTGTGTCTCCATAAAATTCATATGTTGAAGTCTTAATCTCCAAGATGATAATATTAGGAGGTGGAACTCTTGATACATCATTAAATTATAAAGATGGAGCCCTCATGAATGGAATTAGTACCCTTATAGAAGAGACCCAAGGAAGCTCATTGTTCCCTTTTACCATGTGAGGACAAAGCTGGAAGGCACCTTCCATGACCCAGAAAGTGTGCCCTCAGCAGACACTAAATCTGCCAGCACCTTGATGTTGGGAACTATGGTAAATTTCTGTTGTTTATAAGCTGCCCAGTTTGTGGTATATGTTTTAGTAGCCCAAATGGACTAAGATGAATAAGTATTAGTAAACAGGATTAAACATTCATGATTTTACCTGAAAAGAGTTTATTTTTAATTATATTACAAAGTATCTTTTAAAAATCATTATTTATTGTTCTCTTACCTTCCAAATATCAAAATGTATACTTTTGGAGGTGGAAAGATCTTCAGAGTTCCTAGTTCAGGCCTTCACTTTTTATATGAGGAAACTGTAAGATGTAAAATAACTTGTTCAATGTCAAACAATTTCTGGCAAAGCTGTCACTGCATTCACGGTTCCTGAGTTCAGTCCAGAGCTCTTTATTTAGAACTGAAAAGGCAAAATGTATGACAATTGCTTATGTTCTAATTGAGAGAAAGCATGACACAGGAGCAAGAGCTTCATTTTGGAATCTGGTCTACAATTATATATATCTTTTAATTATTAAACATTAAGTACTTTCAGACTTTCCAGATTTCTGTTTGAACTGGAATATGAGTAAGGTATTATACATCACTTCAAATCTGAGCCCTTCTGATTTCTAAATCCAACCATCTAAGTTCATGCTTTGCAGTTCATTTCTTCTTTAACTCTCCCATGGAGACCGTTATTGCATCATTCAAAGGGCTGAAATGAAAGATTTCTGTTTTCCTGGAGTGTTTTAAAAGTCACTGAGAAAATTCATTGAGGCTTAAAACTTTTCAAGCATGCTCAAATACCAAGGCAGGTTTCTTGTATGAAACATACAATATATTGAAGGAAAAATATGGACAAGAGGCTAAAAAGGAAGATAACATGATTGTAACAACTTCTTAAATAGGAGTAATGTGAAATAATTATGTTTTAGTTTGCAAAAAGCACTTTAAAATTTTGGCTGAATACTAAGCTCTCAGTTGAATGTATTTTTTTAAGTCATTTACTAGTAATTTCATTATTTTAAGATCTCACTTGTGGCACACTTCTTTATTTGCCAAGTTAGGAACTATGTAGCAAAACATCTACTACGTATTTCTCTCTTTCCGTTCCTATCTTATTTGTACAATGGATTTATAATGTTAAAAGGCAACTGGAAATTATGTGCAGTAACTGTAGCACAAAATTCTAAAGATGTTATCTGCAAAAAAATTTATATCATGTGAATTATGAAATCATTTAATTTAAAGACATAAGAAGGGTTGACCTGAATGCACAAATATTTGTTTTTTTGTGTGTGTGCTGGGCACTCTGCTACGAACTAATATAGAAGTTAATAAGACATAGCTGCTCTGACTCTTCAAATTTCTCAAACTAGTGCTGGAAAATTCTATCTGTCCATTGGCTATGGGCAGTTTCTTCACTTTTACCTAGATACACATGATGATTAGGGAACTTCCAATCCTAACTGGTGCAAACAATTAAGATTGGAAGGGAGAAGGAAAAGCAAAGGTACTTTTTCAATTTATCTAATACGTGTGGTTGAGAGTTACTCAAAGCCAATACTGCTGTGTATCATGCAATGCTTTCTCTTCGAAGGGGAAACTAGTTGACATAATAACATACTACCAAAGTATGGTATTTTGAGGCTCAAATTAACATTGCTTTAAGTTGCCCAGGAAGATGTTTTGGGAGTTAGGCAGACCCCTGAGTAGTGCTCCTAAGGACACATACTACTCAGATCACGGAACTAAAATTTAAGAGAAGGTTTAAACCATACTCTTTTCCTGATAGAATTTTATTGAAACCAGATACATGAAAAGATGTTACCTCTTTTGTTATTTGAAAAAAAACTAATCAATAAGGATGGAAAAAGACATAAGTCAGGTACTCTACACTTTGATCAAAAGGCCACAGACAGTCTGAGATGTGCAATATAACTTTATACCACAAAGATAGAGGCATAATTGGAGTGGCTAAGCTTCTCAAAGGGCATGATCAAAGGAGAGCTAGAGCACATGAAAAGAAGAGTGCCAGGTCGATCACTACTAGATTTCCAGAAGACTAAATTATGCCACTGGAACACAGAATTGCCAGGCTTAGGACAAGGGTTCTTGGGTTACATATAAAGAGAAAAAAATAGCAATAATTATAACTTAACATGAAAGAAAGGCAAAAGAAAAACAAAGTCATTTTAGCAGTTAAAATAATGGGACAGAATTTGAGGCAGTGACTACATCCTCTGGGACAAAGGTTATGAAGTCATATAAATGTGTTGCAATTGGATAACGACAGCAGGAAAGTGGAATTAAATTTATAATTACAAAAATTATGTTTTATATACAAGTCTAGTCACTCTAATTCACTCAAGACAATAATACATAGTCAATTTTAAAATACATTTGGGAGATAAAAAGCAATTCTTTGGAGTTTGAAATTATAAAGGAGGTAATTGTGAACAATTTTCAAGTGTTTAGCAATTAGAAAAGCTACATTTGAGATAAACAATTGAGCACAAAAGTTAGGTTAGATTATAAAGCTTGTGAATTTCATATTGTTTAAAACATACATGAGAGACAAGGGTTCTATGAGGAATGTTAAACATATTGTTAAGATCCTGGTATAATTGAGTAAAAAGAAAGTTCATCAGTTATTGTTTAAGAACTATTAAAAAGAGAAAGATGAGAGATTCTATTTTTAATTTTTAAAATACTAGAAACTGGGATGCTTCTTTAAAGGCAACTTTGAAAATAATTTCAATCTAATGCTTGGCTACAAGACATGTGGTTACAATGAACATTCTCTATGCTAAGAATGTATACTTTTTTTCTCTACTGTATTTAACACTGCTCTGTTGGAACTATACAACAGTACATGCATGATTGAGATAAGAAAGATGGTCTATTTTTTAGGGCAGGCCTGGTGGCGACAAAATCTCTCAGCATTTGCTTGTCTGTAAAGTATTTTATTTCTCCTTCACTTATGAAGCTTAGTTTGGCTGGATATGAAATTCTGGGTTGAAAATTCTTTACTTTAAGAAAGTTGAATATTGGCCCCCACTCTCTTCTGGCTTGTAGAGTTTCTGCCAAGAGATCAGCTGTCAGTCTGATGGGGAGCTCCTGAAGGAAGCACTAAACATGGAAAGGAACAACCGGTACCAGCCACTGCAAAAACATGCCAAATTGTAAAGAACATCAAGGTTAGGAAGAAACTGCATCAACTAACGAGCAAAATAACCAGCTAACATCATAATGACAGGATCAAATTCACACATAACAATATTAACGTTAAATGTAAATGGGCTAAATGCTCCAATTAAAAGACACAGACTGGCAAATCGGATAAAGAGTCAAGACCTATCAGTGTGCTGTATTCAGGAAACCCATCTCACGTACAGAGACACACATAAGCTCAAAATAAAGGGATGGAGGAAGATCTATCTACCAAGCAAATGGAAAACAAAAAAAGGCAAGGGTCGCAATCCTAGTTTCTGATAAAACAGACTTTAAATCAACAAAGATCAAAAGAGACAAAGAAGGCCATTACATAATGGTAAAGGGATCAATTCAACAAGAAGAGCTAATTATCCTAAAAATATATCCACCCAATACAGGAGCACCCAGATTCATAAAGCAAGTCCTTAGAGACCTACAAAGAGACTTAGACTCCCACACAATAATAATGGGAGACTTTAACACCCCACTGTCAACATTAGACAGACCAATGAGACAGAAAGTTAACAAGGATATCCAGGAATTGAACTCAGCTCTGCACCAAGAAGACCTAATAGACATCTACAGAACTCTCCACCCCAAATCAACAGAATATACATTCTTTTCAGCACCACACAACACCTATTCCAAAATTGACCACATAGTTGGAAGTAAAGCACTCCTCAGCAAATGTAAAAGAACAGAAATTATAACAAACTGTCTCTCAGACCACAGTGCAATCAAACTAGAACTCAGGATTAAGAAACTCACTCAAAACTGCTCAAATACATGGAAACTGAGCAACCTGCTCCTGAATTCTACTGGGTACATAATGAAATGAAGGCAGAAATTGAGATGTTCTTTGAAACCAACGAGAACAAAGACACAACATACCAGAATCTCCGGGACACCTTCAAAGCAGTGTGTGAGGGAAATTTATAGCACTAAATGCCCACAAGAGAAAGCAGGAAAGATCTAAAATTGACACCCTAACATCACAATTAAAAGAACTAGAGAAGCAAGAGCAAACACATTCAAAAGCTAGCAGGAGGCAAGAAATAACTAAGATCAGAGCAGAACTGAAGGAAATAGAGACACAAAAAACCCTTCAAAAAATCAATGAATCCAGGAGCTGGTTTTTTGAAGAGATCAACAAAATTGATAGACTGCTAGCAAGACTAATAAAGAAGAAAAGAGAGAAGAATCAAATAGACGCAATAAAAAATGATAAAGGGGATATCATCACTGATCCCAGAGAAATAAAAACTACCATCAGAGAATACTATAAACACCTCTATGCAAATAAACTAGAAAATCTAGAAGAAATGAATAAATTCATCGACACATACACCCTTCCAAGACTAAAGCAGGAAGAAGTTGAATGTCTGAATAGACCAATAACAGGCTCTGAAATTGAGGCAAAAATTAATAGCTTACCAACCAAAAAAAGTCCAGGACCAGATGGATTCACAGCTGAATTCTACCAGAGCTACAAGGAGGAGCTGGTACCATTCCTTCTGAAAGTATCCCAATCAATAGAAAAAGAGGGAATCCTCCCTAACTCATTTTATGAGGCCAGCATCATCCTGATACCAAAGCCTGGCAGAGACACAACAAAAAAAGAGAATTTTAGACCAATATCCTTGATGAACATTGATGCAAAAATCCTCAATAAAATACTGGCAAACTGAGTCCAGCAGCACATCAAAAAGCTTATCCACCATGATCAAGAGAGCTTCATCCCTGGGATGCAAGTCTGGTTCAACATATGCAAATCAATAAATGTAATCCAGCATATAAACAGAACCAAAGACAAAAACCACATGATATCTCAATAGATGCAGAAAAGGCCCTTGACAAAATTCAACAACCTTTCATGCTAAAAACTCTCAATAAATTAGGTATTGGTAGGATGTATCTCAAAATAATAAGAGCTATCTATGACAAACCCACAGCCAATATCATACTGAATGGACAAAAACTGGAAGCATTCCCTTTCAAAACTGGCACAAGACAGGGATGCCCTCCCTCACCACTCCTATTCAACATAGTGTTGGAAGTTCTGGCCAGGGCAATCAGGCAGGAGAAGGAAATAAAGGGTATTCAATTAGGAAAAGAGGAAGTCAAATTGTCTGTGTTTGCAGATGACATGATTGTATATCTAGAAAACCCCGTTGTCTCAGCCCTAAATCTCCTTAAACTGATAGGCAACTTCAGCAAAGTCTCAGGATACAAAATCAATGTACAAAAATCGCAAGCATTCTTATACACCAATAACAGACAAACAGAGAGTGAAATCATGAGTGAACTCCCATTCACAATTGCTTCAAAGAGAATAAAATACCTAGGAATCCAACTTACAAGGGATGTGAAGGAACTCTTCAAGGAGAACTACAAACCACTGCTCAATGAAATAAAAGAGGATACAAACAAATGGAAGAACATTCTATGCTCATGGGTAGGAAGAATCAATATCGTGAACATGGCCATACTGCCCAAGGTAACTTATAGACTCAATGCCATCCCCATCAAGCTACCAATGACTTTCTTCACAGAATTGGAAAAAACTGCTTTAAAGTTCATATGGAACCAAAAAAGAGCCCGTATTGCCAAGTCAATCCTAAGCCAAAAGAACAAAGCTGTAGGCATCACACTACCTGACTTCAAACTATAATACAAAGCTACAGTAACCAAAACAGCATGGTACTGGTACTAAAACAGAGATATAGACTAATGGAACAGAACAGAGTTCTCAGAAATAATGCCACCTATCTACAACTGTCTGATCTTTGACAAACCTGACAAAAACAAGCAATGGGGAAAGGATTCCCTATGTAATAAATGGTGCTGGGAAAACTGGCTAACCATATGTAGAAAGCTGAAACTGGATCCCTTCCTTACACCTTATACAAAAATTAATTCAAGATGGATTAAAGACTTACATATTAGACCTAAAACCATAAAAGTCCTAGAAGAAAACCTAGGCAATACAATTCAGGACATAGGCATGGGCAAGGACTTCATGTCTAAAACACCAAAAGCAAGGGCAACAAAAGCCAAAATTGACAAATGGGATCTAATTAAACTAAAGAGCTTCTGCAAAGCAAAAGAAACTACCATCAGAGTGAACAGGTAACCTACAGAATGGGAGAAAATTTTTGCAATCTACTCATCTGACAAAGGGCTAATATCCAGAATCTACAATGAACTCAAACAAATTTACAAGAAAAAAACAAACAACCCCATCAAAAAGTGGGCAAAAGATATGGACAGACACTTCTCAAAAGAAGACATTTATGCAGCCAAAAGATACATGAAAAAGTGCTCATCATCACTGGCCATCAGAGAAATACAAATCAAAACCACAATGAGATACCATCTCACACCAGTTCGAATGGCAATTATTAAAAAGTCAGGAGATATACCTAATGCTAAATGACGAGTTGATGTGTGCAACACACCAACATGGCACATGTATACATCTGTAACAAACCTGCATGTTGTGCACATGTACCCTAAAACTTAAAATATAATAATAATAAAATTAAAAAAAAAGAAGCAGATGACTTCACAGGAAGGCTATTTTGAAAAGACATATATAATTAACTGTACCTGAGTAAAATAGATTAAAATGTTATGACTTTGAACAGTAAAAGTTTTCTTAGCTAGACATAAAGAACACGAATCTAGTCCAGGCATGGTACTGTGTGCACCTGTAGTCCCAGATACTTGGGGGGATAAGGCAGGAAATTGCTTGAGCCCAGGATGCCAAGGCTGAAGTGAGCTATGACCATATGATTATGCCACTGCACACCAGCCTGACCAACAGTGTAAGACCCTGTCTCTCTGTATCCCTCTCTCCATCTCTCTCTCTCTCTCACACACACACAAGGAAATGATTGATATTTTGACGGCCTTAAAAGTTATACAGTAAATTGTTTAGCCACCACTTTGACAAACAATAAAAACAAGACACAAAAGTATAAGCCACCGTTGTTATCAGGGGTTTTTGTGCATGTAATTGACAAATGTTTTATATTAATAATATATGCATATAAATATATATAATATGAAAAATTTTATATTCATAATAAAAAAAGTCAGGAAACAACAGGTACTGGAGAGGATGTGGAGAAATAGGAACACTTTTACACTGTTGGTGGGACTGTAAACTAGTTCAACCATTGTGGAAGTCACTGTGGCGATTCCTCAGGGATCTAGAACTAGAAATACCATTTGACCCAGCCATCCCATTACTGGGTATATACCCAAAGGATTATAAATCATGCTGCTATAAAGACACATGCACACGTATGTTTATTGCGGCACTATTCACAATAGCAAAGACTTGGAACCAACCCAAATGTCCAACAATGATAGACTGGATTAAGAAAATGTGGCACATATACACCATGGAATACTATGTAGTCATAAAAAATAATGCGTTCATGTCTTTTGTAGGGACATGGATGAAGCTGGAAACCATCATTCTCAGCAAAGTATCACAAGGACAAAAAAGCAAACACCGCATGTTCTCACTCATAGGTGGGAATTGAACAATGAGAACACATGGACACAGGAAGGGGAACATCACACACTGGGGCCTGTTGTGGGGTCGGGGGGATGGGGAAGGGATAGCATTAGGAGATATACCTAATGTTAAATGATGAGTTAATAGGTGCAGTACACCAACATGGCACATGTATACACATGTAACAAACCTGCACATTGTGCACATGTACCCTAAAACTTAAACTATAATAAAAAAAAAAAGAAAGATGGTCTAATACTTACTCAGATGAATGGACAATGAGCTATTTAAAAACAAGAGGAGATTAAATTCATGTGAAAAATGTGATGTCAGCAGTTGACTACATGTTTTGATGCTTAAAAAGTTTTAATTCTATAATCCTTTTTTTTTTTTTTTTGAGACGGAGTTTCACTCTTGTCACCCAGTCTGGAGTGCAATGCAGTGGTCTTGGCTCACTGCAACCTCTGCCTCCCGGGTTCTAGTGATTCCCCTGCCTCAGCCTCCCGAGTAGGTGGGATTACAGGGGCCCACAACCATGTCCAGCTAATTTTTGTATTTTTTAATAGAGATGGGGTTTCACCATGTTGGCCAGGCTGGTCTTGAACTCCTGACCTCAGGTGATCCACGTGCCTCAGCCTCCCGTGTAGAATATGTTATTCTAAGAAAGGCAAGACAATTTTTTACATAACTTCTTTTACAGCTGTATACAGTGAATCGTAGCTAGGAAGATACTAGCACTTAAGAGAGGGTTTAAACCATATCCTTTTCCTTAGAACTTTACTGAAACCTGGATAGTGCTTCTTAAACTTTATGATGCATCTGAATCATTCACTGTCTTGTGAAAAGTGCAGATTCCTGTTCAGTTAGGTATGGGGTGGGGTCTGTGATTCTGCACTTTTAATTTTTCTCCTTGTCTGTGGGCCACACGTTGAATAGCAAGTCTCTAGGTCATGTCTGTAAAATGAAGGATGTGGGCTACCAAGCCTCTGAAATCTCTAAGTGTGCTTACATTCTGCATTCTTTTAAAGCTGACACTTTTGGTACTGGATCAGACTTAGCTTGTGTTTCTGGAAAGATGTGTTGTTCTGAAACACACCTCAGGGAAGATGATAGGCACTGAAGGACACTGGGAATGCAGATCCAGATCACTGGAAGGAGCAGATATTTTCTTATGAGTATGTAATACCTCACTAAGACATTAGTTTTCACAACATTTACACCACCATTAGAGTACCTTTAAATTCCATTTATGTGTACTATGAAAGCTTATATTCTAGTATAGATGGGATGATGCAAACTGATGCTTCCTTGCTAAAAAAGACAGACTGGGAAGTAAGTTTCCAAATGGAAGAAGACTGGGATGATTATAAAAAGGCTATTGATCAGAAGTGAGTGGCTTGAAGAAGGGCTCTCATCTCCTGTGTTTCAAAATGAGAGGGACTCAATTTCAGCAGATATTCCTGACATAGCAATAGCAAAGTGAAAAAAGTTTAAAAAAAAAAAAAAAAGAAGGGCAAGCCAGGGAAAGTAGAGGTGAGTCACAAAATTTTATGTAGTGCAAGAAGAAAGAAGTGTCTCGGTTAAGAAAAGCTGGTCACTAAGTACATGGGTGAACTGTCAAGCTTTAGTACAAGTAAATATTGTTTTAAAAATTCTTGAAATTAGGACCAGTAGGAGATGATGATGAAGTAAGGTAGAAGGAAATGAGAAGCACATTTGAAAGCCCAGATTTGGGCAGATCTTTTTTTAGTGGCCTATAAGAACTGTGGGTTTTTGGTTTACTATTTTAAGTCTTTAGAAGGGAAAACTTGGAGCCTGGACTTTTCTTATTTCTCAAAAAGAAAACAAATAATAACAATAACAAATAGGATGAAAAACAATTCCAAAAATTAATGAAAAGAGGAACTACTGTAACACTATAAATCATGATTTATCAAAAAGTATAAGAAGTTATAAAGCTAATCTGTTGGTTTTCCCATAAACAGTTCTTAACTCCTTCCCTATCTACCAGCTTGATGCTGAGAACTGTCTAGGAGATGGCAGGGCCATAATATGGAAATAACCAGAATCCCAGAATCATCATGTGGAGGAAAATAACAGGAACGTATGCATTGAACTGCTATATGATTGAGAAATGCTTTTGCAGTCTGGTCAGACACTCATTCGGTGGTTGTTTATTACAGTAGCTAGGTTAACCTAACTAACATAAAAATTTATATCAGAAGTGGTGTGCTGCTTTAAGAAGGCACTTAAATTTGTGCCATTGGCTCAGCAGGCTGGTTGTAGATAGTAAATATAGAAGGCCATAAAGCTGGAGATCCTTATTTGTCATGACAAAAACATTTGATAAAACTGCCACTTGTGATAACTTGGAAAGTAGATCAAGTGCCTACTAAGCCTGTAACTCTTAAGAAGGTTTTGAAAAGAGCCGGAATATAAGGATACATTGTTTGCCTTTCACTGGTATTACCAACATATCACAAAAAAAGGCAATTTTCAGGCAAACATGATGAAGATTTTCCATGATTGCAAAAGCTGATCAATAGCTTCTGGAGTTCAAATAATAGTAAATAAGACAGAAAAGACACTGAGGGCATAAGGACCATCTAGACTTCTCAGGTAACAAATGTGGCTAGGTTGTGGAGCCATATAAGATTAAGGGAGTTGCCCTTCAATTGAAGCACATTATTTCAACTGGCCTCAAAGTAGCAGAAATTTAAATTTCAAAGTAGTAGTAATAGAGCTTTCTTTTGTGGAAGGAAGGGCAGGGATGAAAGAAAAAGATATGGTAGCAAGGAAGACTTGAGAACTATATTTAGAAAAGACTTTTGGGTGTTTCAGAGCACTAAACTGACTGAATGACAATAGATATAGTTTCTGAGAGAAGTTTTTTTTTCTGTATTCTCTTATGGAACTGTATTGGTAAGGAAACCATGAGCCTCGCCAAAAATAACTTGTCTGTAACCAGTCTTTAACCCATACTTCCAACTTGCCATAATAAGAAACAGCCTGATAAGGTAAGGCAGACTGCTGACTCCTAAGGAGGACAAAATGCCCTACACCCTCCCAGTGGGTGCAGCCAAGTACCACCTAGTCCAATGGATAATGTGGTTGCTTCCAGGTAACCAAGTCCAGGTCTGAGCAAAGAGCCTGGAAGGGATCTTCACAATCACTGCACAGTAGGATTTCCTCGTTGCTGTGGATCCGTGACTGCTGTGTGTTTCCTGTTTTCCCTTTTTAGAGTAGGATTCATTAGGTATATCTTTTCCATGCTTCATCATTGCATACTGGGTTGTTTGTATTAGCTGGCGATGCAACAAGTTTGTCACTTTGGTTTATATGTTGCTACACCAAAAGGAATACCTTAGGACTTAAGGAAGAAGATAGCACATTACCTGAAGATCGTGCAATGCAAGCTGGGTTAAGTAGCCAAGTGGAGCTTTGGGTATTCTTTCTTTAAAAGGGGAATGAATTTGCCTTGAGAATTAAAAAAAAAAAATACAAACAGATAATTGGTGTCAAGAAGAGAGATTGTAGCAAAAACCAGTAGCTAGCTATTTGCCAAATCTGTTTCTTGCTTTTCTTGGGCTTAGAGCGAGACTACATTTCTCGGGCTCCCTTGCAGTTAGGGATACCTGTGGGACTGAATGATATCCAATAGAATGCAAGCAGAAGTAATTTGCACAACTTGCAGACATGACCCAAAAACTATCATGGACAGTTATGTGCCCCATAATGGAAAATATGATATATAAAATATTACAGACACTATAGGGAATAGAGAGATGAAAAATCCTGAATAATCAATTCCTTTGTAATTAGCAGTGGGTTTAAAGACAATCTTACTTGAGCCCTCTGTATACTATTGGCTGCCATTTATTTATTTTTTACCTTGTGAAAGAACAGACTGATTGAAGGAAAAATTTAAAAAGTGGCATAGTGATATGTTTTCTCTCCTCTTCCTCTGGAAGTCATATTTGTAGCTCTTGCCCTATTGATAAAGTATTATTTATTTATTTAAAAGTTTTAATCTGGCCTGTTAATGCCCCTCTTCATTAATTTCTTCATTTTGGCAGGATACGAAATAACAGCACTTTTACAATGGCAATGCACAGAGCAATACTGATTGCAATTGGTCTATGTGGATAGGCATAATAATGAGCCATTGATGAACTCTGACTGCTATGCTTAGTAGTACATTGCCAATACAAGCACTAATGAGTACTTTGGAGCCATTATATTTTGCCTCTGTCATTGCCAGACTGAGAAAAACTTTTGGAGAATGCAGGACAACTGAGTCTATCTGAATTCCTTTTCTTGGTCTATTCCTGTAGTTGTTGATAATTTCTCAATACAGAAATTATAGAAATGTGAAAGTTTGACACATATACAAATATTGTATTTTCTTAATTCTATATGGGCAGTTATATGTGATTTTATGTATATCTGAATTACATACATGGACTTATGTTTTATTTTATATCTCTAATGTAGGTAACAACAGAAAGGTCATCTTTTGGTGTCTGCTTTGAAAGATAATTTTTTAAGTCTTGGGAGGCAGATAGAATTATGTCAGAGACATTATATTTTACAATACTTCTCATAGGCTATTAGCTAGCAGTACTTGTGAGGGTGGGGTGATAAACTGAGAAGATGAGCTACCAGGAGTACACCAGACTATGAGTAAAGTGTGTATAAGTTGAACTAAAAGCAAAAGCAAGAGAAGAAAAAAATGGAAGGTTAAAACAAGTGGACAATTGAAGAGGCAAGGTAAAGGGTCATGTAAAATAAAGGAAAATAGTGCAGTAAGTGAAATAACTTAGAAAGGAAAGGTTATGTCCGTACATACTACTGTGCAGAGAAATCTAATTTTCATGAGAATAAATTAACCAGTCACCCTCACATGTTCACATGTGCATACACACACATACACACACCATTCTGTAGCAACAGTTGATAGTTATAAAATACTGGTTTAGAGTGTTTCCCTCTCTATGTGACAGAAGTGTCTCTAAGTAACTGAAGGATCCCTTTGTGGAAGCCTAGGACTCTTGACCAGATGTCTCCTTTTGCCATATATTTTCTTTATCAATTGTGGTCAGGCAAGGTTGAGGCATACTTGAGAATGAAATAAAGATGTTTAATTTATAAATGAGCCAATTTGGTATACCTGAGGTGAAAATCCTTTTTATTGCCAAAGGTCTTTGCTTTAGTAGAAATGAGGTTGCCTCTAATTGTCTGCTTATTGAAGATCTATGTATGAGGAAATATTTTCAAATCAGCAAGAGTGCTTTTGTTTTGTTAAGGCAAAGACCTATGGTCAGTTGTTAACCGATCCACTGAACCTTGAGCCTGTTTCTTCCTACACTGATGCAAACATATGTAAACCATTTGCAGACACTCTCAGTACATATGGCCCAGTCATCTCCTTTGTTTTACTCTCCTTAATCATTGAACCATGAAGGTAGTTAATTATTAGCAAAACACCACGGATATGTTTTATGTATACCTGTTGTAATTGTTATACCATCATCTTTATGACTTCCTCTTATTATGATTAACTATTGCCATTACAATGATTGGTGTACGACTTGACCCATAAGAACTATTCACTGTAGTTGCAAGCACAGCTTAAATGTATGTGGGAAAGATCAAACCCAGTTAATACTTCAACTGTGAACACCAAATTCTTGCTAAAATTTTTTCTTTTATGCATGTTATAGGATTTCCATTAGAAAAGGTTGGGCATGAGAGTGGCAGAATCTAAGCACAGATCTTAGGGACAGAAATCCACACACAGGAAAGTTACCAATAGAGGTGCTACATGCTGGTCAATATCTTTCCCAACATTGTTGTGTTAAAAAAAATGTAATCTATTTTTTTTGTTTTCTTCCAGTAGAGGTGTCACTCTTCCCTGATTCTAATGCTATATGTAAACCAACTATAATAGATTTCTAGAGCTGCCATAATAAAGTATCATAGAATATGTGGCTTAAACAACATACATTTATTTTCTCAAAGTTCTGAAAACCAGATATCTGAGATCAAGGTGTTGGGAGGGTTGGCTTCTTCTAAGAACTGAAGAAAGAATCCATTTCAAGCCTTTCCCATTGGCTTATAGATAACCATCTTCTTCCTGTGTCTTGACATCATCTTTTTTTCTGTTGTCTGTGTCCAAATTTCCTTTTCTTATAAATGCACCAGTCATATTGGATAAGGGCCCATGTTAATGACTTCATTTAGCTCAATTACATCCTTAAAGAATCTATATCCAATTACAATTACATTGAGGTACTTAGGATTAGGACATCAACGTCTGAATTTTGGAGGAACAAAATTAATTGTATATCATCCACCTTCTTAATAACTTTTATCTCTTATGGTGCATATCCCACTGTGAGACACAGTGTATATGGAATGTATAGAACTTAAATAGATTTTTTTTTTGAGACAGAGTCTCACTCTGTCACCCAGGCTGGAGTGCGGTGGTGTGATCTTGGCTCACTGTAACCTCTGCCTCCTGGGTTCAAGTAATTCTCCCAAGAAGCTGGGATTACAGGCGTCCACCACCATGCCTGGCTAATTTTTTTTATTTTATTATTTATTTACTTTTTTTAGTAGAGACAGGGTTTTGCCATGTTGGCCAGGCTGACCAGGCTGAGGTTGAACTCCTGACCTCAGGTGATCCGCCCGCCTCAGCCTCCCAAATTGCTGGGATTACAGGTGTGAGCCACCATGCCCAGCCCATTTTTAATAGATTTAGGGGGCACAAGTGCAGTTTTGTTACATAGATATATTGCATAGTGGTGAGGTCTGGGCTTTTACTGCAATCATTTCCAAAATAGTGTACACTGTGCCCAATAGACAATTTCTGATTCCTTACCCTCCCACATTTTGAAGTCTCCAAAATCTATTATTCCACTGTGTATATCCATCTGTACACATTGTTTAGCTCCCACTTATAAGCGATATCATGTGGTACTTGATTTTCTCTGAGTTATTTCACTTATGTTGATGGCCTCCAGCTTCATCCATGTTGCTACAAAAGACATGATTTTGTTCATTTTAATAGCTGAGTAGTAATTCATGGTATATCTGTGTGTATGTGTGTGTATCTCACATTTTCTTTATCCAATTATCCATTGATTTGATGGACAGTTAGATTGACTGCATGACCTTACTCATTTCTATGCTATTGAGAATAGTGGTGCAATAAACATAGGAGTACAGGTGTTTTTTTTTATACAATGATTTCTTGTCCTTTCCTCCATCTCCATTTTTTGAAATAGTTTCAGTAAGATTGGTATCAGGCTGAAAAGCAAAGAATTGCTGGAGAAATTTGCATAACTAAAAGGGAGTCGAGTGCTGATAGCAAAGACAATGGGAAAAAGGCTTCCAAGGCATTTCAGAGATCTCCAGGGCAGACTTCTCCCATCATTGGCCCTGAGGCCTAGGAGGACTGAATGGTTTCGTGAGCCAAGCCTAGGGCCCCACTGCCCTGCACAGCCTTGGGACATTGCTCCCCACATCCCTGCCACTCCAGCTCCAGCCTTGGCTTAAAGGACCACAGATATTGCTAGGGCCTCCACTTTGTAGAGCCGAAGCCACCATAAGCCTTGGTGGCTTCCATGTTGTGGTAACCCCGCAGCCACATGGAGTGCAAGAGTAGTGGGGACTTGTCAGCCTCTGCCAAGATTTCAGAGGATGTATGAGAGAGTCTGGGTGCCCAGACAAAAGCCTGCTGCAGGGGTGGAGGCCTCACCAAGAATCTCTGCTAGGAGAGCATGAGGGGTTGGAGGCACCACATAGAGTTCTCACTGGGGCACTTCTTAGCGGAGCTGTGGGAAGAGGGCCACAATCCTCCAGACCCCAGAATGGCAGATCCACTTGCAGCTTGCAATCTCAGCATGGAAAAGGTGTAGGCACTCAATGCCAATCCATAAGAGCAGCTGCAGGGGCTGAATCCTCCAAAGCCATGGGGACAGAGATGCCCAAGGCCTAGGGAGACCACACCTTGCACCAGTGTACCCTGGATGTAGGACATGGAGTCAAAGGAGATTATAATATTTTGGAGCTTTAACATTTAATGACCGCCCCGCATGGCTTCACATATCCATGAGGCCTGAAGTTTCTTTCTTTTGGCCAATTTCTCCCATTTGGAATGGAAGTGTTTAGCCAATACCAGTACCACCATTGTGTCTTGGGAATAGGTAACTTGTTTGATTTTACAGGCTCATAGTTGGAAGGAGACAGGTCTCAGATGAGATTTTGGACTTACACTTGGGACTTTTGAGTTAATGTTGGAATGAGTTAAAACTTTGGGGAGACTATTGAGAAGGGTTGATTGTATTTTGAAACGTAAGAAGATGAGATTTGAGAGGTATCAGGGTAGAATAATATAGTTTAAATATGTGTCCCTGTCCGAACCTTATTTTGAATTGTAATTCCCAGTGTTGGAGGTGAGGCCTGGTGGGAGGTTATTTGTTCATGTGGGTAGATTTCTGGTAAATGGTTTAGTAATAACCACTTGGTGCTGTCCTCATGATAGTGAGTGAGTTCTTATGAGATCTGCTTGTTTAAGAGTTTGTGGCACTTCCCCACTCCTTCCCTTGCTCCCACCATGTTAAATGCCTGCTCCAGCTTTGTCTTCTATCATGTATAAAAGCTCTCTGAGTCCTTTCCAGAAGCCAAGCAGATGCTGGCACTCTACATGTAGAGCCTGCAGAACAGTGACCTTTAAACCTCTTTTCTTTATAAATTACCCAGTCTCAGGTATTTCTTTATTGCATTACAAGAATGGGCTAACACAGGGTCCCCAACCCCCTGTTAGGATCTGGGCCACACAGCAGGAGGTGAGTGGCGGGTGAGCAAGTGAAGCATTATCTCTATTTTCAGCCCCTCTCCATTGCTTGCATTACAGCTTGAGCTCCATCTCCTGTCACATCAGCCACAACATTAGATTATCATAGGAGTACAAATCCTGTTGTTAACTGTGCATGCAGGAGATCTAGATGGTGTACTCCGTATGAGAATCTAATGCCTGATGATCTGTCACTATCCCCCATCACCCCAGAGGGGACTATCTAATTGTAGGAAAAAAAGCTCAGGGCTACCATTGATTCTATAGTATGGTGAATTGTATAATTATTTCATTATATATTACCATGTAATACTAATAGAAATAAAGTGCACAATAAATGTAATGTGCTTGAATCATCCCCAAACCATCCACCCCCACAATCCCAGTCTATGGAATAGTTGGCTTCCATAAAACTGGTCCCTAGTGTGACAAACAGACCAGACATGTCTCCTTGGGGACTGCTGGCCTACTAATTTTAGGATTGTTTTTAATAATTCTATGAAAAAATGATGTTGGTTATTTGATAGGAATTGTGTTGAATCTATATATTGCTTTGAACAATATGGTAATTTTACTGATATTGATTCTTCTAAATCCATGAGAATGGATGGATGGTTTTTCCATTTGTTTACATCATCTAGGATCTAGGAATTTTCTTTTTCTTTTCTTTTTTCTTTTTCTTTCTTTCTTTCTTTTTTTTTTTTTTTTTTTTTTGGAGATAGGGTATTGCTCTGTTTCCCAGGCTGAAGTGCAGTGGCATGATCGTGCTTCACTGCAGCCTTGACTTCCCAGGCTCAGGTAATTCTCCCACCTCAGCCTCCTGAGTAGGTGGGACTACTGGTGCGTGCCAACTTGCCTGGCTAATTTTTGTAATCTTTGTGGAGACGGGGTTTTGCCATGTTGCCCAGGCTTGTCTTAAGCTCCTAGGCTCAAGTGATCTACCTGCCTCAGCCTCCCAAAGTGCTGGGGTTGCAGAGATGAGCCTCTGGACCCATCCCTATGATTTCTTTCATAATTATTTTGTAGTTCTCCTTATGGAGATAATTTACTTCCTTGGTTAAATGTATTTCTAGGAATTTTAATTATATTATATCTATTTTAAGGGAGGTTAAGTTCTTGATTTGGATCTCTGATTGTCATTGGTGTATAGAAATGCTACTAATTTTTGTACATTGATTTTTGTATCCTGTATCTTTAATGAATTTATTCATCAAATACAGGGTTCTTCTGGAGGAGTCTTTAGGGTTTTCTAATATAAGATCATATCATCAACAAACAGAGATGATTTGACTTTCTTTTTCAACTTGGATGGCCATTATCTCTTTCTGCTGCCTGATTGCTGTAGCAAGGACTTCAACTACACTGTTGATGAGGAGTAGTGAATGTGGGCATCCTTTTCATGTTCCAGTTCTTAGGGGAATTGCTTTCACACTTCCCTGTTCAGCATGATGTTAGGTATGGGTTTGTCTTCTGTGGCTCTTATAGTTTTGAGATCTGTTCCTTTTATGCCTAGTTTGTTGAGGGGTTTTATCATGAAGAATTGCAGAATTTTATCAAATGTGTTTTCTGTATCTATTGAGATGATCATATATTTTTTGCTTTCAACTCTGTTGGTGTAGTGAAAGACATTGTTTGATTTGTGTATGTTGAAGCATTCATTCATCCCTTAAATAAAACTCACTTGCTCGTTATTAACTTTTTTATGTGCTATTGGATTTGGTTCACTAGCATTTTGCTGAGGAGGTTTGCATGTGTGTTCATCAGGGATATTGACCTGCAGTTTTCTTTTGTTGATGTGTCCTTGTCTGGTTTTGGTACCAGGATGATACTGGCCTTGTAGAATGTATTAGGGAGAATTTCCTCCCACTCAATTTTTTGAAACAGTTTCAGTAAGATTGTTACCAGTTCTTCTTTGTACATCTATTAGAAATTGGCTGTGAATCCACCTGGTCTTGGACTTTTTTGGGAGGAGACTTTTTATTACTGACTCAATCTCACTACTCATTATGTGTCTGATCAAGATTTCTGTTTCTTTCTGGTTTGGTTTTGGAAGGTTGTGTGTTTCCAGGAAAGTATTTATTTGCTCTAAGGTTTTTAGTTTGTGGGCATAGGGATGTTTATAGTAGTCTCTGATGATCTTTTGTATTTCTGTGGAATCAGTTATAGTATCTCCTTTATCATTTCTGCTTGGCTTATTTGAATCTTCTCTCATTTTGTTCTTGGTAAATTTAGCTAATGTTCTATCAATTTTGTTTATCATTTCAAAAAAACAACTTTTCATTTTAATGATCCTTTGTAATTTTTCTAGTCTCAATTCCATTTAGTCTTATTGTGTGATCTTTGTTATTTATTTTGTTCTGCTAGCCTTGGGCTTGGTTTGCCCTTGTTTTCCTAGTTCCTTGAGATGCAACATTAGGTTGCAATCTTTCTTTCTTTTCAATGTAGGCAATCAATGCTATAAACTTTCCTCTTAGTACTGTTTTGCTGTATCTCATAGGTTTGATCTGTTATGTCTCCATTTTCATTTGTTTCAAATAATTTTTAATTTCCATCTTAATTTCATCATTGAGCCAAAGATCAATTCATGGGCAAGTTGTTTAATTTTTATGTGTTTTCATAGTGTCAGTAGTTCTGCTTGTTCTTGATTTCTAGTTTTATTTCACTGTCATCCAATAAGATTCTTGATATGATTTAGATATTTAAAAATTTCTTTAGACCTGTTTTATGATTGTTGTCTATCTCCTCTTAGGTGTGGTAGTATTTGTTTTATGAATCTGAGTGCTCTAATTTGGGGTGCATATATGTCAGATTGTTATATCTTCTTGCTTAATTGATCCCTTTATCATTATATGATGTACTTCTTTAACTTTTTTCACTGTTGATGATTTATTCTTGCTTACTTTTGGTTTGCATTTGCATGAAATATCATTTTTTACCCCCTTACCTTGAGTATCTAAGTGCCTTCACCAGTTAGGTGAGTTTCTTGTAAGCAACACTGTGTTGAATTCTTTTTTTTTAAATAAAATCCATTCCTCCAATAATGTATGTAAGGATGCATTTACAGCATTTACTTTCAAGGTTAACATTGATATGTGAGCTTTTGTTCTTGTAATAATGATAGTTGTCACCTAGTTGCTTTGTAGTCTAAATTGTGTTATAAAAATAGTTTCATAAACCCTGTGAGTTATGTTATCTCATATTTTTTATGATGGTGTGAATAACTTTTTGTTTCCATATTTAGAACTCTCTTGGGCATTTCTTGTAGGATCAGTCTAGTGATGACGAATTCCCTAAGCATTTACTCCTCTGAAAACAACTTTATTTCTCTGGCATTTATTACACTTAGTTTGGGTGGATGTAAAATTCTTGGCTGACAGTATTTTTCTTGAAGAAAACTAGCAATAGAACGCCAAACTTTTTTTGACTTGGAAGGTTTCTGCTGAGAAGTTCATTGTTGAGCTAATGGAGATTCTTTTATAGGAGATTAAACCATTTTCCCTTGCTGTTCGTAGAATTTTTTTCTTTCATGTTGACTTTATGAAGTCTGATGAATGCATACCTTGGTAAAGTCCATCTTGCAATGTATCTTTCCAGAGTTCCCTGAGCATCTTATAACTGGATGGATAGATCTGCATCAAGGCTAAGGAAGTTTTCCTGAATTATTTCCTCAAATAAGTTTTTCAAACTTTTTACTACTATTTCACCTTCTCACTCAGGAATTCCTATGACTTGTAGATTTTGGCATTGTACATCATCTCTTTGAAAACTTTATTAAATTTTAAAGTATTTTTCCTTTATTTTTGTCTGTCTTAGTTAATTTGAATGATTTGTCTTCAAGCTCTGAAGTTCTTTCTTCTTGGTCTAGTTCATTGATAAAGCTTTCCACTGTATTTTGTAATCCCTTCGAAGAATTTTTAATTTCCAGAAGTTCTATTTTTTTAATACCTATGGAATTATTTATTCATATGGCAAACTTTTTCTGATCTCTTTGTGTTGGCTGTCTACTTTCTCTTGGGCTTCACTTAGCTTATTTAAAATTAACGTTTTGAATTGTTTATCAAATATTTCAAAGAATTCATTTTGGTTAGCATCTACTGCTGGAGAGCTTGTGTGATCCATTGGGGGTGTTATAACACTATTTTTTCATATACCAGGGTTATTTTTCTGGTTCCTTCTCATTTGGGAAAAGCTATCTCATGATTTTTTAAATTTACTTGTTTTTGGATGGGTTTACTTTCCCCTTTGAGGATACAATTATACTGTATGTTTTGTATGGTTGCTTGGCTTTAGTGTGAGTGCTTTCAGTGGTAAAGGCTCTGTATGTATTCTTTGGGTATAGATAGCCCTTGTGCAGTGGCTTTTTCAAATGCTGGTTTTAGTAGCAATATACTGATGTATGAGTGGACTCACTGCCTTCTGCAGGCCTGAAATTGCAGAGGTCTCAGTAAGCTTGTGTCATTCCTCAGTTCTATGCACTTCTTGCGTTGTGCAGCTCAGCTTCCAGGCCAGTAGGTGGTGCTAACAGGTAAGAGCTGGCTACAGCAGAGGCACATGGGTATATGCTTGATCTCTGTTTACCAGAAGAAGCTGTTTGTTGCCTCAGGCAATGAGCTAACCTGTGGAATGCCTGTGCTCTGAGCTCTCTGCTCAGCTTAACGTGAGGGACAAATGAAGGTGGAACTGGACTGCCAAGCTCACTCTTGTATACCCCAATGGCAAGCACAAATACCATCCCTGATTGTGGTTTTGGGAATAGCTCCTGGTGAAATGTTCTGAGGTCTCTGTAGGGATGGGGAGCTAGCTACCCCAGCTTCATGATCTGGGCAGGCAGTAAAGCAATCAACTTCCCTGTCACAACCCTGTCCTGGGGCTCAAGCTCTCATCTCAGACAGACACTGCAGTCTATCTTTAGGTCACAATTTAGCTGAGAGCTGTGGCGGATGCCTGCCCTGTAGTGCTCCTTCAATATGGCTTTGGTGTGGAACCTCTTTCCTCAGCCCCAGACAGACAGCTTTGTGGCTCACCTGTCCTCCACTACAGGAATCCTGCCATTTCATGTGGAGAGGAGGAAGGGCCCTGTCTTTTGTGCAATCCCAGGTCTGGTGGGCACACCACCAGTGGAGGCACATCCACCCCCTAATATCCCAGGAATGGCCATCCACAGGTGGCCATTGCCTAATCACCCATGGAAGCAGCTACAGCATTTGCAGCAGGGAAGCAGAGGGAAAGCACATCTTCATGTCCATTCCTGAGCACTGGGGTCACTTGCCTGCTGGAGTGGAACCACACTCTTTCCCCATAGAGATGAGCGTAGCACCCACATCTGCACTGGAAAAGATGCAGTTACTATCAGTCCATAAAGGAAGAGTGCTCAGGCACAGGAAAGTTTATGCTCTGGTTTCCATTGGCTCTAGGTGTGCTCCCTTGGCATGCTGCACTTCCCTTTCCCCTAGGAGCAGCATACCACAAGAGCCACACCACCAAGAATCCTGCAGCTACTCTAGGTCCAGCCAGGCCTGTGGGGCTTCAGCAATTTGAGCAGGTGCCAGGGAATGTTTTTCTGGTTCCACTGCCCATGTCGTGCCTTGAACTTGCAAGGGCAGAGGAACTGTCTGATAATTCAGAAACCAGAAGTCTGGCACAGGAGTGAGGGGGGCCAAAAATACCTCTACCTACCCTTTCCTTGGAACACCAAGTCTCTTGGGGTTTGATCTTTGCTAGACTCTTGCCTCCTTCTTTTTCCATACCCTAGCTTCTTTCCATGAGTTTTCTGATGAACTCTGGATTGCTCTCCTTAATATTTTATTTGAGTTTCACTTATTCATCTGTAACTTTGTTCTTCTTTCTGAGGAAAACTGGTATCTGATTGCTCTAGTCAGTCAGCTTGAAGAGAAAGTGTAAAAAAACCACCATTTTTAAAATACATACTTTTTATGGACTCAAGCTCCCAAAGCTATTACAAAGCAATTTGATGGCAAGGTAATAATTGGTCACAATATTAATCACCCTTCTTTTCCCATAACTCCCTTCTGTCTATGTCATTGTCAAATAAACATTCTAAAGCAACCAATGTTGAAGACTGAAACATACCAGTATATTGCTAGAGCAACCAAAATAATCATTTAAGCTTTAAGCATCACTTGCACCCAAACTTCAATTAATTTTTATAGACATACAAAACAAATTATGAACTAAATAGATAGATCTGAGTAATATGCCATTAAATTGAAAATATGTTGAAACTTAAAGTACTGCATCTCTAATGCTTGCCCTCTATAGGGGAGCATTATTACAAATATGACTTAGTTAATTCCTTCAGAATTAATTTCCTTAGTTAAATCCTTCAGAAACTGGCAGGCATAGAAAAGCACAAAAAAAAATATAGAGGAAAAGTTTGTAAATACTTCTTGATATATTTTTACCTTAAAGGAGAAAGTAAGAAGTAGAACTCAGAACTTACAAATCTAAGCAGGAAATAAAAAGAAGGGTAATCATGTGAAGAAAAATAATCTTACACAATTATACTGTGAGCACAGAGATCTGGAGAGAGAAATAGGTGACTGGACAGTCATAGCCAATCAATTAGAAATGGATTTTAAATGTTTTTTTTTCTTTTAAAAAACAAAGTGTCCCACACTTGTGCAATGAAATTAAAGTCCTGCTCAACCCATGCATCTTCAAAAGAATCATATTATGATGTTCAAACTTTCTTCTCTGAATACAGAAGGAATTAAGCACCAAAACAGCTATAAAGTAGAGGAATTGCAGTGTTGATTTAGGGTGGAAGGTAAGGATTCTCCATAAGTAGCTTCACTGCCAAATGCCCTGTGATGGCTTTTAGATAATACCCAGTTATCTAAAGATCAAGTACACCGCTCTTGCATATCTCTTAGCTGCTCACTTGACTGACCCAATGGCCCTGGGAAGGTGTGCCTGGAAGCACTTATCAAAATTAGTTTTGAAGGCACTGGGATGCTAAAGCTCTCCAACTGACACCTCCAGAAATGGATACAAAATAGGTATTATTTGACAGGTGATTCAAATTTGAGAAGGAAAAATTAAAAAAAGAAGTAAATACCCGGCAACATGATAAGTCTTAAGGGAATCCCTTAAGACTTGTAACTTTTGCCTGCTTTACTGACGGTTTTATAGTTAAACATAAGCATTTCAATGCCAGGTACTTCTGTTTAGAATGCCCTGAATTGAATGCTGTCACTCATAAAATCATTATTTGCTGAGCTATTAAAATAGATAATTTAACGAGATTGACATATACTGCTTCTCTGATGTATACCACATTATACAGAAATGGAAAATGCAAACTAAATTTAAGAAGATCTAAAAAATGAGGGTGAATGATGGGATTTAAGGGATACAACAAGAAATATCAGCTTTCTGACACTCCCTACTTAACCGTTTTTTAGAGAAGCTAATGCAGATTATAATGTCAAGTTCTGATCACCATGGCAACATTTATGCATGCAAAAGGCACTCACATGGTTATGAAATTTCTTGATTTCACATTCTGGAATCAGAGTTTAATCAGTTCTCTATCCTACTGGGAATAGGAAAAATAGGGGAAGCATAAAAGAAGTCTGTGTCTACTGACAGTTGCAATCTGTCACTTTCATTTTCCTGAAGGCTAAATAATAAAGACCTTTCTTGGACCAGAGATTGGGATTTCAAGCAAAATTTTATCTGTTTTGCTGGCTCCAGTAAAATGCTGCCACACTTTAATAATATAATAGGAGATAACCCTTAGAAAATGTCAAGGGAATTTTCCTTCCCCTGTTCAGTTAAATTGTTCCATTTTCTCAAAAGTACTGTAGATCTTTAAATTATTAATAGAGTTACTTAGTAAGGGTGAGAATATATTGTGCAAAATACATATAGTCTATCTATTGTAATCTCTATTTTATTTTATCTAATTATCATACATTTTTAGGGTAATTTTTCCTAACTATGTAGTTTGCCAATTAAGGTGGGACCATGAAATATACATAAGAGCAAAGAGGAGGCCACCATGATATTTTGATATCATTAATTATTCAAGAATAGCAGTGATATAGATAAGAGTCTATCATTGTTTTATGTCTGTGAAATACTATAAATCAAATATTTTTTTCTTGTGGCTAGCAGACAAAATATGACATTCCTACCATATCATGAGGCATACCAATTCTAAAGATCTGAATCAAACTAAGCAGGTTTTTAAGAGTTATGCTTTTAGAGAATCCACAAAATGTCACTTACACTTTCAGTTTATACAAATGCACTATGTTCAAACTTGATAATTCTTATCTGCAACTAATAAATTATAATAATAAAATTTTGATTTCAGATATAATTAGACTTATAGAGCAGCCATAACATTTTATTAATATGTAAGTACTAATCATGAGGTTTCTGGAGAACAAGGATGAGTCTTGAAAAAATTTATACTAATTTCTAATTTTCATTTAAGTTTTGGACACCTGCACCCCTCCTTCTTTCTCCTATGACTTGATAATCGCATTTTGTTTATATCATCAGTTTCACTAAACATCATTCAATAATTTAATAATAATAAGACTTCCAATAATGTTACCAAAGAGGATATGTGATTCCTTTCTGAAGGAAACAAATATTAAAATGGATAAAATTGTCCAAAACAATCATTGCAAGGGCTTCAAATAAGCATGGTAGGAAAGAGTGGCCCTTCTTGCTTAGGGCTGCTCCTACTCTCTGCCTCCCTGCAACATGCACTTAGTTAAATTTTCAATAATTATAACTTTATCTTGAAAACAAGGGGCTCTGCTGCCACAAAGGTCAAACTCAATTCTGGATGGAGGGTGAAAACCTGCATCTTTGCTGTCTCAATGTTGCAGTTTGGTTTGTGCAAGCATAAGGCCATAAATTGATGGAGAGTTCCTAAATATGAAAGAACCATAAAGTAAATAAGGTAACTTCTCCACAGGTCACTGGTTGACTGCTAAACCTTGCTTGTGTGAGAGAGACCATGGAAAGATGGGCAAAATGTGAAAGGCAAGGAAGATGGAGAATGGTTTGCAACTCATTCACATGCTACTCTATTAGCAGAGGATGGAAGTCTTGAGACTTACATGGGCACAAACTCTGCCCATCACAGTCAAAGTGCTGAAAGTCAAAGCAAAGAGTGTATTACTTAAGCTACAATTGAAAAACAACTCATCATAAATGCCAACAATGTTAATTATCCCTCATTAGGAACAGTAAGTTAAAAAGGCTGTAGGATGGCATATTCAAAGTTCTAAAAGAAAAAATTTATAAATCAAGATTTTATATTCAGCAAAACAATCTTTTACAAATGAATGCAAAATAAGGACAGCATGAGATAAACAAAAACTGAGATTGGTTTTGTTAGTAGACATCCACTACAAAAAATGTATATAAATAATGTGTGTATATATAAAAACACACAAATATTTGTACCTATAAAGTTAGTAGAAGGGAAGGGTAAGGAAATGAAGCTAATCTGGCTAAAAGTTCCTAGATTTGGCAGGGTGTGGTGGCTCACGCCTGTAATCCCAGCACTTTGGGATGCCAAGGCAAGCAGATCACAAGGTGAGGAGATCAAGACCATCCTAGCTTACACGGTGAAACCCCGTCTCTACTAAAAATGCAAAAAATTATCCGGGCGTGGTGGCAGGTGCCTGTAGTCCCAGCTACTCGGGAGGTTGAGGCAGGAGAATGGCGTGAACCCGTTAGATGGAGCTTGCAGTGAGCCGAGATCCCGCCACTGGGCTCCAGCCTGGGTGACAGAGTGAGACTCTGTCTTAAAAAAAAAAAAAAAAAAAAAGTTCCGAGATTTTACTGCAATTAAATCAGTATTATCCAAAACTAGATTTTGAAAAGTTAAAGATACACATCAAAACTACAGCAACCACTATGAAAAGCTCAAAAATATAGGTGAAAAACAGCAGAGGAATTAAAATGATATAAAAATATTTGTTTACAACAAAAGGAGGAAGTAAAGAAAGATCAGAGGTACTCAAAAAAATAGAGTATATATGCAAATCAAATAAGAAAAGGGTAAATGTAAATCAGGATACATCGTTAATTACATTAAATGTGAGTGGATTAAACATTCCAATCAAATATCAGAGATGGGCAAACTGGATTAAAAAGAAAGGATCCTACTTTATTATTTTTTTTTGAAAGGATCCTACTTTCTAAAAGAGATAAACTTATAATGCTTCATAAAGAAAGTGCTCAAAACAAAAATAAAAACAAACATAATGATGGAAGTATATGAAAGGGAGACAATAGTAAAGTAGAAAAATTTAGGAAGGTCAAAGATGGAACAATTTAGTCAACGCAATAAGTAAAGTGGTAAAGGATTTTAATCCAATACAAGATAAAATCCATGAGTCTACATTGATATAAACAAATATTGAATAAATATATGGGAGAGAACAGATAAATTTCCTATACAGAAAAATTCCAAATAATTTATCTAACTATTTCACTCTTAATGAGGTGGAGCATAACTCTTCTCTTCTTAAATGGAGTCTGCACATAGTAACTTCCTTCTAAAAATACACTATAGTAAAGGGGGAAAGTATGAATTTATAATGGACAAATCTAACAAAAACTATTTCAGTAAGGTTATCAAGGTCAACATCAACTGTGATGAATCATGTTGATAGTACATATCTTTCTTTTTTTTAACAAAGCCTCTCTCTGGTGCCCAGGCTGGAGGTGCAGTAGCATGATCTCAGCTCACTGCAACCTCTGCCTCCCAGGTTCAAGCAATTCTCCTGTCTCAGTCTCCCGAGTAGCTGGGACTACAGTCCCATACCACCACGCTCGGCTAATTTTTGTATTTTTAGTAGAGATAGGGTTTCACCTTATTGGTCAGGCTGGTCTCGAACTCCTGACCTCAGGTGATCCATCCACCTCGGCCTCCCAAAGTGCTGGGATTACAGGCATAAGCCACTGTGCCTGGGCTGTATCTTTGTAATATATTATAAGAATGACAATTCCCCTCCATAGTCTTACACCCCCATAACCATAAACCCAGTCTAAACATGAGAAAAATATCAGAAAAATCATAATAGAGGGACATTATACAAACACTTGAATAGTACTCCTCAAATTCTTAAGATCATCAAACACAAGGAAATTCTGAAAAACTGTCCCTTAGGCCAAGAGGAGCCTAAAGAGACATGATGACTAACTGTAACGTGGCATCCTGGAAGACATCCTGGAACAGCAAAAGGACATTAGGGAAAAACTGAAGAAATCCAAATGAAGTATAGACTTTTACTCAATATAGGTTTGTTAATTGTTATAAATGTGCCATAAAAATGAAGTATGTCAATAATAGGGAAAACTGCATGTCAGGTATATGGGCTATCTAAACAATCCTATATGTGGTATATCTAAAATTATTCTAAAATTTTGAGAAATAATTAAAAATTGTCAACCTGATCTAAAAATGTAAATGTAAATGGGTCTGAAATTGATAGGAATGCCACTGTATTCCTGCTTAATTTATATAAGCAGAAATCTTCTAGGTCGAATGGACAAAAGACGAATTTGAATTGTAAAAACAGAGAATCACAGCCTCTCAATCAATTTCCAGACTTGAGCTACTTTACAGTTTACAGACCCAGAACCCCTTGAATGAAGGGGAGGCCAGTCACCTTGGGGAAGGACCCCACTACGTTACCAACAATTTATGCTGTTTGTCTTTCTCCCATCCTTCCCCAAGGAGACCTCTGGTATTTTACCAGGGTAATTGTGCACTGGGGAAGGGAAATGATCAGACATTTCAGGGACTACTGGACACTGGCTCTGAGCTGATGTTGATTCCAGGGGACCCAAAACATCATTGTGGTCCTCCAGTTAAAGTAGGGGTTTATAGAGGCCACATAATTTATGGAGTTTTAGCTCAGGACTGACTTACGGTGGGTCCAGTGGGTCCTCAGACTCTCCTGTGGTCATTTCTCCAGTGCCAGAATGCATAATTGGCATAGACATATTTAGCAGCTGGCAGAATTCCCACATTAGTTCCCTGACTGGTAAGGTGAGGGCTATTATGGTGGGAAAGGCCAAATGGAAGTCATTAGTGCTGCCTCTACCTAGAAAAATAGTAAATCAAAAACAATATCGCATCTCTGGGGGGATTTTGGAGAATAGTGCCACCATCAAGGACTTGAAAGACACAGGGGTGGTGATTGCCACAGCATCCCCATTCAACTCTCTCATTTGACCTGTGCAGAAGACGGATGGATCTTGGAGAATGACAGTGGATTATTGTAAGCTTAACCAAGTGGTGACTCCAGTTGCAGCTGCTGTACCAGATGTGGTTTCATTGCTTGAGCAAATTAACACATCTCCTGGAACCTGGTATGCAGCCACTAACCTGGCAAATGCCTTTTTCTCCATCCCTGTCCATAAGGCCCACCAGAAGCAATTTGCCTTCAATATACCTGTACTGTCTTACTCAGGGGTATATCAACTCTCTGGCTTTGTGATATAATCTTATTTGGAGAGCTCTTGATCACTTTTTGCTTCCACAAGATATCACACTGATCCATTACATTGATGACATTATGCTGATTGGATTCAGTGAGCAAGAAGTAGCAAACACACTAGACTTATTGGTGAGACATTTGCATGCCAGAGAATGGGAAATAAATCTGACTCAAACTCAGGGAACTTCAATCTCAGTAAAATTTCTAGGGGTCCAGTGGTGTAGGGCCTGTCAAAATATTCCTTCTAAGGTGAAAGATAAGTTGCTGCATTTGGCCACTCCCATAACCAAGAAAGAGGGACAATGCCTGGTGGGCCTATTTGGATTTTAGAGGCAATGCATTTCTCATTCAGGTGTGTTACTCCAGCCCATTTATGCAGTGGCCCTTAAGGCCGCCAGTTTTGAGTGGGGTCCAGAACAGGAGAAGGCTCTGCAACAGGTCCAGGCTGCTGTGCATGCTGCTGTGCCACTTGGGCCATGTGACCCAGCAGATCCAATAGTGCTTGAGGTGTCAGTGGCAGATAGGGATGCTGTTTGAAGCCCTTGGCAGTTCCCCATAGGTGAATCACAGCAGGAGCCTCTAGGATTTTTGAGTAAGGCCCTGCCATGTTCTGAATATAACTACTCTCCTTTTGAGAGATAGCCCTTGGCCTATTACTGCGCTTTACTGGAAACTGAAGGTTTGACTATTGGTCATCAAGTCATCATGTGACCTGAACTGCCTGTCATGAACTGGGTGCTTTCTGACCCATTCCATAAAGTGGGTTGTGCACAGCAGTATTCCATCATTAAATGGAAGTGGTATATATGTGATCGGTCTTGAGCAGGTCCTGAAGGCACTAGTAAGTTACATGAAGAAGTGGCTCAAATGTCCATGGTCTTTACTCCTGCCACCATACCTTCTCTCCCCTAGCCTACACTGATGGCCTCATGGGGAGTTCCCTATGATCAGTTGACAGAGGAAGAGAAGACTAGGGCCTGGTTCACAGATGGTTCTGCATGATGTCCAGGCACCACCCGAAAGTGGACAGCTGCAGCACTACAGCCCCTTTCTAGGACATCCCTGAAGGACAGTGGTGAAGGGAAATCTTCCCAGTGGGCAGAACTTCTAGCAGCGCACCTGGTTGTGCACTTTGCATGGGAGGAGAAATGGCCAGATGTGCAATTATATACTGATTTATGGGCTGAAGCCAGTGGTTTGGCTGGATCGTCAAGGACTTGGAAGAAGCATGCTTGGAAAATAGGTGACAAAGAAATTTGGGGAAGAGGTATGTGGATGGAACCCTCTGAGTGGTCAAAAACCATGAAGATATTTGTATCCCACGGGAGCCCTCACCAACTGTTGACCTCAGCAGCGGAGGATTTTAATAATAATCAAGTGAATAGGATGACCTGTTCTGTGGACACCATTCAGCCTCTTTCCCCAGCCACCCCTGTCATCGTTGCCCAAGAGGCCCATGAACAAAGTGGCCATGGTGGCTGGAATGGAGGTTATGCATGGTCTCTGCAACATGGACTCACCAAGGCTGACCTGGCCACTGCTGAGTGCCAAATTTGCCAGCAGCAGAGAGAAGCTCCAAGCCCTCCATATGGCACCATTCCTTGTGGTGATCAACCAGCTACCTGGTGGCAGGTTGATTATATTGGACCTCTTTTATCATGGAAAAGGCATAGGTTTATCCTCACTGGAATAGACACCTACTCCAGATATGTGTTTGCCTATCCTGCATGCAATGTTTCTGCCAAGACTACCATCCATGGGCTCACGGAATGGCTTATCCACTGTCATGGTATTCCACACAGCATTGCCTCTCACCAAGGGACTCACTTTATGACTAAAGAAGCGAGGCAGTGGGTTCATGCTCATGGAATTCAGTGGTCTTACCATGTTCCCCATCATCCTGAAGCAGTTGGATTGACAGAATGGTGGAATGGCCTTTTGAAGTCACAATTATAATGCCAACTAGGTGACAATACTTTGCAGGGCTGGGGAAAAGTTCTCCAAAAGGCTGTGTATGCTCTGAATCAGCATCCAATATATGGTACTGTTTCATGGGTCCAGGAATCAAGGGGTGGAAGTGGAAGTGGCACCACTCACCATCACCCCTAGTGATCCACTAGCAAATTTTTGCTTCCTGTTTCCATGACATTACTTTCTGCTGACCTAGAATTCTTAGTTCCAGAGGGAGGAATGCTGCCACCAGTAGACACAACAATGATTCCATTAAAATGGAAGTTAAGATTGCCATCTGGACACTTTGGGCTTCTCCTATCTTTAAGTCAATGGGCTAAGAAGGGAGTTAACAGTGTTGGCTGGGGTGACTGACACCGACTATCAAGATGAAATCACTCCACAACGGAGTTTAGGAAGAGTATGCATGGAATACAGGAGATCCATCAGGAGTCTCTTAATATTACCATGCCCTGTGATTAAGGTCAATGGGAAATTACAACAGCCCAATCCAGGCAGGACTACAAATGGCCCAGACCTTTCAGGAGTGAAGTTTTGGGTCACTGCATTAGGAGAAAAACCATGACCTGCTGAGGTGCTTTCTGAACCAAAGGGAAGAGGTGGTCATCAATAACATCTATGACCATGTGATCAGTTGCAGAAACGAGGACTGTAATTGTCATGAGTATTTCTTCCTTCTTTTGTTAAAAACGTGTTGGTGCATGTATACACTTGTACTAAAAAACCTCATTTTATTTCTTTTTTTCTTTATCATGTGACATAAGATTTATTGACTTGATATCAGCATTTAAGTATTGTTAATTTACAGAATTTTGGTTGAGGATTGGTGTGTACAAAGGATAGTTGTATTATGTTAGGTGTAATTATGACCTTATTATTGTCTTTATTTGAAGATTATATATGATCTCAAGAGATGTGTATGGGTTCAAGTTGACAAGGGGTGGACTTGTGATCATTAATGATGAGTGTCAACTTGATTGAATTGAAGGATGCAAAATATTGATCCTGGGTGTGTCTGTGAGGGTGTTACCAAAGGAGATTACCATTTGAGTCAGTGGGCTGGGAAAGGCAGACCCACCCTTACTCTTAGTGGGCGCCATCTAATCAGCTGCCAGTGAATATAATGCAGGCAGAAAAATGTGAAAAGACCAGACTAGCTTAGCCTCCCAGCCTACATCTTTCTCCTGTGCTGGATGCTTCCTGCCCTAGAATATTGGACTCCATGTTCTTCAGCTTTTGGACTTTGACTGGCTCTTCTTGCTGCTCAGCTTGCCGAGGGCCTATTGTGGGATCTTGTGATCTTGTGAGTTAATACTTTATAAGCTCTCATATTTTGTATATATATATGTGTATATCTATATCAATATATAGATATATATGTGTATATATTCTATTAGTTCTATCCCTTTAGAGAACCCTGAACAATACAATGTGTGAGAAGAAAATTCTTGAGATTGTTTTTTGATATCTCTTTTCCCTGGTGCTAGGAAAGGAATAAGATATTAGGACTAAAAGATGCTCAGTGCTTAATGATTCTCTATGAATTTTAAATAGATATACTCCCTTAGCAACTAGTGGTATATAAAATATATCATAATAGGTCCAAAAATGGCAACAGCTGATCAGGTGTATGCCAATCCCAAATTCTAGCAAAATATCACTCTAGAAACCATTTACCATACATGCTGGTATGCCTATTCCCAGTATTCACAATTCCAAAATTAGTACAAATTTCAACACCCTCTCAGTCACTTTCTGAGTAAAGAGTTGAATGATGAGAAAAGGAAGAGGAATGTGCAACTATCTGTCTTTAAGTGGTGACTGAAACTAAATAGGCAGGGTGTTGGGAGAGTGTGTATGTTGGGGATAGGGGAGAAGTAGAAGACATCCAAACACCTCACCTATTCTGCCAAAGAGTTAACTATACTCGTGTAATATGGCTTAAGTGCCTTTAACATTTTATTTATTCATTTCATTCATTCATCTCCACAAGCCAATGCTCTTCATAAGCTGTAAGAGAAAAAAGCATTTGAGCAAATACAGTTAAAAGTGTCAAGGGTGGGCCGGGCGCGGTGGCTCACGCCTGTAATCCCAGCACTTTGGGAAGCCGAGGCGGGCGGATCACGAGGTCAGGAGATCGAGACCATCCCGGCTAAAACGGTGAAACCCCGTCTCTACTAAAAATACAAAAAATTAGCCGGGCGTAGTGGCGGGCGCCTGTAGTCCCAGCTACTTGGGAGGCTGAGGCAGGAGAATGGCGTGAACCCGGGAGGCGGAGCTTGCAGTGAGCCGAGATCGCGCCACTGCACTCCAGCCTGGGCGACAGAGCAAGACTCCGTCTCAAAAAAAAAAAAAAAGTGCCAAGGGTGTATGGATGCTTGCATACTCCCACCAGTGCCCCATGGCTGCTGGCATGCTCAAACTAGCACAGACCCTGCTGCCACCACCCTGATGAATTGCCTTGGCTGGCAACCTCAATCAGAGTGTTGTGACCAGCAGACTGAGAACAGCTTTGTCCCTCCAGTGCAGCAGTTTTCTAACCTCAAGGGGCCAGAGAACAAAGTTGAAGGGCCTGGTATCAACCCCTCAAAGTTAAAGCATACAGCCTGAGAGTGCTGAGCTGAGCCTTGACCACCTGATATCTTATAAAAATGAAGCCACTTGACTCCATCCACTTTATACCACAATCAAACCTCCAAGGGCCTCAAAGAAGATAAAAGCAAAGCATTCCATCCAAAGAATAGCAACTTTAAAAATTAAAGAAACATCAGCCCACACAGATGAGACAGAACCAACACAAGAACTCTGGCAACTTAAAAAGCCAGAGTGTCTTCTTACCTCCAAATGACCACACTAGATCCCCAGCAGTGGTTCTTAACAGGGCTGAAATGACAGACATTAAATTTATAATATGGATAGGAATGAAGATCATTGAGATCAGGAGAAAGTTTAAACCCAATCCAAATAATCTGAGGAATACAATAAAATCGTACACGATGTTAAAGACAAAGTGGTCATTTTAAGAAAGAACCAAACTGGTCTGATAGAGCTGAAAAACTCACTACAAGAATTTCATTATACAATCACAAGTATTAACAGCAGAATAGACCAAGCTAAGGAAGGAATCTTAGAGTTCTAAGACTGGTTCTCCAAATTACCTCAGTCAGATAAAAATAAAGAAAAGAGAATGACCAAAACCTCTGAGAAATATGGGATTGCATAAAGAGAAGAAATTTATGACTCATTTTCATCCCTGAAAGAGAGGGAGACAAATCAAGCAAATTGGCAAACAAATTTGAGGATACTGTCCACAAACATTTCCTCAACCTTGCACGCAGGCCAACATTCAAATTCAGGGAATACAGAGAAACCCTGCAAGATACCATACAAGATGACCATCCACAAAACATATAATCATCAAATTTTTCAAGTTTGACATGAAAGAAAAAAACATTAAAGACAGCTAATGAGAAAGGGCAGGTCACCTACAATGGAAACATCATCAGGCTAAGAGCAGAAATTCCTGTAGAAACCCTACCAGCCAGAAAACATTGGAGGCCTATATTTAGCATTTTTGGAGAAAATAAATTCCATTAAAAATTTTTATATCCAGCCAAACTAAGCTTCAGAAGTAAAGGAGAAATAAGATCCTTTTCAGACAAGCAAATGCTAATGGAATCAGTTACCACCAGACTTGCCTTACAAGAAATCCTTATGGAATGCTAAATATGGAAATGAAAGACCATCACAAGCCACCAAAAAATACACTTAAGAACATAGACCATTGACACCATAAAGCAACTGCACTATCAAGTAGACAAAATAATCAACTAAAAACATAATGACAGGATCAAATATGCACATAAAAATATTCGCCTTGAATGTAATTGGGCTAAATGCCCTATTTAAAAGGCACAGAATGGCATGTTGTATAGAGAAGCAAGACCCAATGGTATGCTGTCATCAATAGATCCATCTCACATGCAATAACATTCAGGGGCACAAATAAAAGGGATGGACAAAAATCTACTAAGCAAATGGAAAAAAAAAATGAAGAGTAGGGCATGCAATTGTAATTTCAGACAAAACAAAATTGAACCAACAATGTTAAAAAATGACAAAGAAGAGCATTACATAATGGTAAATGGTTCAATTCAATAAGACTTTACTATCCTAAGCATATATGCACCGAACACAGGAGCATGCAGATTTATAAACAAGTTACTAGATACCTGCAAAGAGAATTATATTACCACACAATAATGGTGGAAGACTTCAACAACCCACTGACATTAGACAGGTCATTGAGATAGAAAACTAATAAAGATATTTGGGACCTCAACAAGATGCTTGACCATATAAACCTAACAGACATCTACAGAACTCTCCACTCCAACGCGACAGAATATACATTCTTCTCACTTACAAATGGCACACACTCAAAAACTGACCACAAAATTGGACATAAGCCCCACCAATTAAAAAAAATGGAAATCATACCAACCATACTTTTGGACCACAGTACAATAAAAATAGAAATCAATACTAAGAAAATTACTCAAATCCATACAATTACATGGAAATTAAACAACCTGCTCCTGAATGACTTTTGGGGAAATAATGAAATTAAGGCATGGATTAAGAAATCATTTGAAACCAATGAAAACAATGATAATACATACCAGTATCTCCGGCACACAGCTAAAGCAGTGTTAAGAGGGAAGTTTATCCCACTAACACCCACATCAAAAAGTCAGAAAGATCTCATATTAACAACCTAACATCACACCTAGAAGAACTAGAAAATACAAGAGCAAAGCAACCCTAAAACTAGCAAAAGACAAGATATGACCAAATAAGAGCTGAACTGAATGAAATTTAGACATGAATAACCATGCAAAAGAGTAAGGAATTCAGGTTTTTTGAAGAATAAATTAGATTGCTAGACCACTGGCTAGACTAATAAGGAAAAGAAGAGAGAAGATCCAAATAACCACAGTGAAAAATGACAAAGGAGATATTACCCTTTATCCCACAGAAATACAAAAAACAGTGACAATTATTAAACCTCTGTGCACACAAACTAAAAAACCTACAAGAAATGGATAAATTCTTGGAAATATACAATCTCTAAAGATTGAACCAGGAAGAAATTGAATCACTGAATAGACCAATAATGACTTCCAAAATGGAATCAGTGATAATAAGCATTCCAACCAGAAAAAACCCAGGAGAAGACAGATTCACAGCAGTTGAATTTTATCAGATGTATAAAGAAATCTGGTATCATCCCTACTGAAACTATTCCCAAAAAATTGAGGATGATTGACTCTTTCTTCATTTATTCTATGAGGCCAACATCATCCTGACACCAAAACCTGGCAGGACACACAAAAAAGGAAATCCTCAGGCCAACTTTTCTGATGAACGTAGATGTAAAAATCCTCAACAAAATACTAGCAAGCTGAATCCAGCTACACATCAAAAAGATAATCCACCACAATGAAGTAGGCTTTATCCTGAAATGCAAGGTTGGTTTGATATATGCAAATCAATAAATGTGATTCATCACATAAACAGAAGTAAAAACAAAAACAACATTATCACCTCAATAAATACGAAAAAGCTTTTGATAAAATTCAATATCCTTCCATATTAAGCCTCAATAAACTGGGCATTGAAGCAACATAACTCAAAGCAGTAAGAGCCATCTATAACAAATCCACAGCCAACATCAAACTCAATGGGCAAATATTGGAAGCAGTCCTCTTGCAAACCAGAACAAGGCAAAGATGCCCATTCTTACCACTCCTATTCACTATAGTACTGGAAGTCCTATTCAGGGCAATCAGGCAAGAAAAAGACCTAAAAGTCATCCAAATGGGAAGAGAAGAAGTCAAACTATCTCTGTTTGCAGACAGTATGATTCTATGCCCAGAAAACTCTGTAGCTTTTGCCCAAAGCCTTCTAGAGCTGATAAACAACTTCAGCAAAGTTTTGGAATACAAAGCCAACATACAAAAATTAGTAGTATTTCTATACACCAGCAACATCCAAACTGAGTGTCAAATCAAGAGCTCAATCTCATTCACAATAGCTGCAAAAATAAAAATAAAATCCCTAGGATACAACTAACCAGGGAAGTGAGAGTTTTCTATAAAGATAATTACAAAACACTACTGAAAGAAATTAGAGATGACACAAACAAATGGTAAAAAATCCATGCTTACGGATGGGAATAATCAATATTGTTATAATGGATATACTGCCCAAAGCAATTAACATATTCAATGCTATTTCTAGTAAGCTACCCATGACATTCTTCACAAAAATTTAAAATGCCACTATTCTAAAATGCATATGGTAACAAAAAGAGCCTAAGTAGCCAAAGCAATCCTAAGCAAAAAGTACAAAGCTGGAAGCATCACATTACCTGACTTCAAACTGTACATTAAGGCTATAGCAATGAAAGCAGCATGGTACTGGTACAAAAACAAACACATAGACCAATGTGAAAGACAAGAGAACCAGAAAAAGGCCACACACCTCCAACAATCTGACGTTCAACAAAGTCAACAGTAACAAGCAATGGGGAAAGGACGCCCTATTCAATAAGTGGTTCTGGGATTACTGGCTAGCCATACGTCAGAGATTGACACTGGACCCCTTCCTTATACCATATATAAAAATCAACTCGAGATGGATTAAAGACTTAAATATAAGACCTGAAGCTCTAAAATCCCTAGAAGAAGATCTAGCCAATACCATTCTAGACATATGTCCCTGCAAAGACTTCCTGAGAAAGACTCCCAAAGCAATTGCAACAAAGACAAAAATCGACAAAATGGTACCTAATTATACGAAAGAGCTTCTGCAAGACAGAAAAAAATTATCACCATAGCAAACTGACAAGTCACAGGATGGGAGAAAATATTTGCAAACTGTGGATCTAACAAAGGTCTAATACCCAGATTGTATATCTATACAGAACTTAAACAAATTAACAAGCAAAAAACAACCCCATTAAAAGTGGACAAAGGATATGAACAGATACTTCTCAAAAGAAGACATATACATGCACAACAAGCATATGAAAACATGCTAAACATCCCTAATTATTAAAGAAATACAAATCAAAACCATAATGAGACACCATCTCGTAGTCAGAATGACTATTCTTAAAACGTCAAAAAATAGCAGATGCCAGCAAGCTTGTGGGAAAAAACGGGAATGCTCGTACACTGCTGGTGGGAATGTAAATTAGTTCAGCCACTGTGGAAAGCAGTTTGGAAGTTTCTCAAAGAACTTAAAACAGAACTACCGTTCAACCCAGCAATCTTATTATTGGGTATATACCCAAAGGAACAGAAATAATTCTACCATAAACACACATGCATGTGTATATTCACCACAGCCAGCACTGTTAACAATAGCAAAGACATGGAATCAACCTAGATGCTCATCAATGATAGACTGGATAACAAAAATGTGGTATGTGTGTATATATATATATATATATATATATATATATATATATATATATATATACATATATACATATACCATAGAATACTACACAGCCATAACAAAGAATGAAGTCATGTCCTTTGCAGGAACATGGAGGGAGCTGGAGGCCATTATCCTAGGCAAACTATCATAGGAACAGAAAAATCAAATACCACATGTTATCACTTACAATTGGGAGCTAAACATTGAGTACACATAGACATAAATAAGGGAACAATAGACACCAGGATCTACCTGAGAGTGAAGAGTAGGAGAGTGGTGAAGATAAAAAAACTACCTACTGGGTACCATGCTTATTATGTGTTGAATGAAATAATCTGTACACCAAACCTCCATGACACACAATTTACCTATATAACAATCTGTTCATGTATCCCTGAAACTAAAACAGTTTTACAAGAAGTTCCAGGCAATTTTTGAAAATTTGAATTCTGATTTAGATCCCTGATCTGATTACCCTTATTGCTTTGCTGCAGTCCTTCAGTTTTTGAATTATATACTATCTCCAGGACCAACATCAGGAATCATTTTATGCTGTACAGTTCATTTCAAGCATTGATACACTTAGAGTAGCCATACTTCATTTTAGTGCTGGCAATTATAATCCTGGCTTATTTATTCTGGAGCACACTTTAAGTTAGCCCTTTTGCTAAGCTTTTTCTCGGATGCATCTGATGTTATGCTCTACATACTCCTCTTCCCCTAATTTGATTGCTTATCCTTTAGCTTGGGATTAGTGTAGTGTGGATTAATTGACATGACTGATGGTATGTTTATTCTCTAGGAAACTGCAGTGCTGGAGATTATAATACATATGCCAAATTTTCTCTTGTGCTTCTATCATTTCTCTATTCTTATCTTCATTTATCCCCTTCACAGCATGTAAGCCTAATGGGTATTATGAATGTTAGCTTAAGAGAGTCCTGTTGGAGAGGTTAATGAATTTAGTAGCGGGATAATTTTAATTTTGTACACTCAATAAAGGTATGTATTTTTTAAGTGAGATTTTAAAAAGCAATGGTGGGTGAGTATAAGGGAAAAAGCTACTGCCTTTTTTCCTTGTTAAGAAATAGTTTGGTGATAGAGGGTTTAAGATGGAATGAACAGATATCATTTTTATATTCACCTTTTGATATATTGAAAGCTATTCAAAGAAAGAAATAAGATAGTAGAGTCCCATCAACCCCACGCTTCTATGGTTAATCCTGACTTCACATGGCAATTTCCATTCAATGAATTGAATCATCAGTATCCAAAAAATTAAATAATAAAAATGTCTGGCATGTATCTGTGTAACTTGTGGATATTATATTTCAAATGAGATACTCTTGGGAGGGTTAGTTTCGGGGGTGTTAAATTTGACTTCTTTGTAAGAAGCATGATTATTTTGAGCATTTTTTTCCCAGAAATGAACTGAGTCAGATGGCATACCTGCTTTCATTTAGGTGCTCAAATTATTTCTCTACAAAACTCTCTTCAGTTCCCTGGAAAACAAAATCACCTAAGAAAATATTAGATGTGTGACTTAATAGAGATTCCCTGTCTCTGATATTAGCTTTCTTGAATTTTGGTCCAATTAAATAAACCTTTAAGAAGAATGAGTAATGTGCATGACTTTGGTTGGCACAGTGAGGGAAGACACAGTGATTTTTACACTCCATTAATTCATACTTAGTGGACCAGTTATGTTGAGTTTAGCATAAATGTTTTTTGCTAGAAATGTGATGTGTGTGAATTTATAAGGTCACAGATTGGCAAGCATAGCGATGTAAATAAGATAAACCACCCAGCTTTGCATATTCTAGTTAAGATGGTCAAATAATTCACTAGTCACACTGATACATTTTTGAAAGTTAAAAGAGTGGGTAACAATAATTATGTAAGGACAATAGTGAAAACATAAACTTCCTCAAAGCAAACCAGGGAATGTAATTAATTAATACTCAAACCAGGGAATATAATCTATCAAATCAATTAATAGTAAGTTTTATGCAGGGAAGCTCTGTTTCAAAGGATTATATCATATCACATCAGTCAAATTCTTGCCAGCTAACTTTCTGGGGTATATAGACACCTTTCTACTTTCATTATGATTTTTTCTTGGTCTGGGTGAACTATATGCAAACTCTCCAATTACTGGAGAACGCAGTTACTTCTCAACCTCAGTTTGATTCACTTCTTTGCCTTCTTCTCCAATTATCTCAAAAGTAGATGACTTCTGTTGTCTAACTTCTGTCTTCCCAAATGTATTATACATTGTTATGAAACTGATCTTTGTGATATCTTCCCCCCAAAATAGTGCAGATGTTGGAACATCAAATTTGGTTCATTCACTCAGTATGTTGAAGACACTATATCCTAGATACTGTAGAGAAATCAACAAAATTAAGATATCTTGCTTACTGTGAAGATTATGCTTTAATAGGCATAATTAGACAAGCACATAGATAGTAGTAAAAAACATGTAAAACATGTACAATAAGTGCCATAAATAAAATAGAATGTGTACAAAGGAAATAATAATCATATTCATATTGAGGAATCAGGAAGCGTTTCATGAGAAAGTAGACATTTGAAAGAAATTTTTTTTTTTTTTGAGACGTAGTCTTACTCTGTCACCCAGCTGGAGTGCAATGGCGCAATCTCTGCTCACTGCAAGCTCCGCCTCCCAGGTTCACGCCATTCTCCTGCCTCAGCCTCCCAAGTAGCTGGGACTACAGGGGCCCGCCACCAAGCCCGGCTCATTTTTTGTATTTTTAGTAGAGATGGGGTTTCACTGTGTTAGCCAGGATAGTCTCCATCTCCTCATCTCGTGATCTGCCCACCTCGGCCTCCCAGAGTGCTGGGATTACAGGTGTGAGCCACTGCACCCGGCCCATTTGAAACAAATTTTAAGTAGATATTTCAATGAAATGAGGTGGAGGAAGAGAAAGAGATCACATTTCATAAATAAACATTAAAATATTAAAAATTAAGATGGTAAATTTTTAATTAATGTGGTAACTGGTTGGTGGGCAGATTATCTTATTAACATATTTGCACCATCTACATTAAAATAGAAATTCAAGCAGTATAATTGGTTAGGTTAATTTATGTGGAGGTTTAATAAAAAGAATAGAACTGAGAAATGGACTTGAAAATTGTCCATTTTTATGGTGTAATTGTCATTACAAAGAGCTACCAGATATTTGAAAAAATGAAATAAAGTAGAGCTAAAGACAAAAAATAAGTTTGATAATTCAATTAATGAAGACTGCATTATTTAAGGAAATCCATGAATATATAAGTAAAAATGGAAAATATTTGATTAGATGATGTGAGTGAGAGTAATTTTAGTGAAGTAGCAAATGTAGATGGTAGATTTGAAAAGTTTATAATTAAATTGGTAAAGGGATGAAGACAGCCTGTATAGATTACTTTTATCCAAAAGTTGGCAATAAAAAGAAGAAATAGAGCATGATCTGCATCATACCAGAAACAATTGCAACAGCTAACTGTGGCCTGTAGCAGTTATATTGTCCTTTCAGTGAATTAAATAGAAAATAAAATTTTTAACAGATGAAATGAGGAGATATTTCACCACACCTTCCATTGACCTAAACTTTTTCAAAAGCCAAACATCAACTAGAAATGCCTGTGGCAAGATTTAAAAGGACAGAAAGGACTAAACATAGCCTAGTATTTGGATTAGAATATAATCAAATATCATGGTCTATTGGAAAATATCTAACCCTACTATGAAGCCAATTCAGTTGAAAAATAAGAAAAATGGGTACGTTAATCATGAAGGATGAAAACTGTCTTGAAGAAATACTTATTGATAATTACAGGGTTTTAAAAAAAATTATGACCTCTACATATCTTTTTTTTGATGTGCTATTTTCATTTTCATTCACTTTTAATTCTACTTTTAATGTTTCCCTGGAAATATACCAAGATAAAATCAAATACTTTTGAGTTACTATTACTTTATTTTAAAGTATATCTTTCTGTACATGTAATACAAATGTAATATTTTGTCAATGGACCATGTAACTGAATTGGTTTAAGATGGAAATATTCATATCTATGGAGTACTTCTCAATTACAATGTGATCTTTGTACTGTTATTACAAAATGCTCGATTCACATCCAAATAAATTTAAACATTGGTCTCCTCCAAACTGTTGCCTCTGGTAAATATTTTCTTTTTTCATATTGACATAAATATGACTTAAAATAATCCCTTTCTTTACATGAACATTCTCAGTGTGATGCAGATTATTAAAAACAATTCTTAGATGATTAAGTACCAAATAGTTATTTTCTTTCAAAATTAAACAATAAACCAAATTTCAGTGATTTCTTTATCTTAAAAATTAAGCTTAAAAACAGTGTTACCAATTTTGCTGGCAGATTAACCTTTTATATGAGGTACAGAGAGAAGAGAAAGTTTGAATTGGTATTGCAAGAATCAAAGTAGAAAATAAGTGGCAAGTAGAAATGCAGAGAGAAAATAGCCTGTTAGGTTTTGGTAATTTAGAAGGAATCTTGTAACAGCATTTTAAATTCAGATGGGTAAGGACTAAAGTGGGCCACCAACTAGGCAGTTGTCTATGAATTCTCTGTAGGGAAAAGCAAAGCTTTCCACTCTGTTAAGAAGAGAAATACGAACGAGTAAAAAGAAAACCATAAATGTGCTCAGAAATGGAACCTAAGCATATTGGGGACTTGCTATATAAAACTTTTCCATCTATTATGCCAAATAAGAAAATCTAAATGAGTTAGTTTAAGGAAATAAGGAAAAGTGTGCCAATCATTTTTACTACTTTATCATAAAAATAGTTTTTCCTCCTTATTTAAATTTTTTTGGATAATTTCTTCAATTTCTTTCTATTTCATATTGTGTGTGATCAACAATTTCAATATGTATGTCTGATTTCCCAGCGCAGATCTGCCAACCTCAGTATTAAAGCAGATCCTGAAACAGCACTGTAACTCAGTTTCAGCTCCTCTTAGCTATGGTCTGAGAGCAGTCCTTCCAATCTAGGACTCAGAGGAAGGCACCCCCATCTGTACCCCTGTAGTCAATCCAGCTAAACTTAGTTCCACTGCAGGTCTTGAAATGGCCCTGTAGCTCAGTCTCAGCCCCTGTCACCTGTGTTCTGAGAGCAGTATTGCTTGCCCAGAGACCAGCGTGAGATATACCCATCCATACTTGCAGAGGCAGGCCTGAAGGCCTCATTTTGGCTGTGGACCCTGAAGCAGCCATTTGACTCAATTAGAGCTCCACTCAGTCATAGAATGGGGAAAGGAATTCATGGCCAGGAGTCCACCCAGACACCCAGAAGGAAACTTCCCTGAGATCCATGGGAATCAAACCTGTCTATGCACTCAAATTTATCTGTGAACCTTAAAGCTAACCTTCATCCTAGTACCAGCTCTTCTTGGCAAAGTCCTTGAGGCAGTCTAGTTGACCTAGAGACTAGAAAAGATCCACACCCACTTGAGCCTTGGTAACTGTCCTGCTGAGTACAGACTACACTGAGGACTCAGTAGCAGTCACATAAACTGGCTCCAACCCTACCCAAGTGCAATCCAAGAGTCAGTTCTATCAGCCTGAAACCCAACAGGAGAAGGTCTTCACCTGCCAAAAGGAGTCTGTAAAGACTGGATGAGGTGTTTGTTTCTTCAAATGAAAGACACTAATACAAGGATACATGGATAATAATCAATCAGTTAAATCTGACACCACTAAAGAAAATGAACAGAGTTTTAATAACTCATCTCAAAGAAAAGGAAATATACAAATAGCCTAGAAAAAAACTCAAAATCATAATCTTGAAGGGCAGTGAGGTGCAAGCGAACAGACAGAAAGCTAAACAAAATTTAGAAAATGATGAATGAGGAAAAAAAACCCTTAATCCTTAATAGACAAAGAGCATAAAAAGAACCAAACAAAAATCCTGGAGTTGAGAATACAATAACAGAAGTGAAAAATTCAATAGAGAACTTCAACAGAAGACTTGATCATGCAGAAGAAAGAATTAGCAACATTAAATACAGGTCATTTGAAATTAGCTAATTAGAGGGACCAACATAAGAATGAAGAAGAGTGAAGAAAGCACAAGAGCCTTAGGGGACACTATCAAATTATGAATAAAGTATATGTTACTTAACAATGGGGATATGTTCTGAGAAATGCATTGTTAGGTGAATATGTCATGTGAATATCATGGAATATATTTACACGAATCTATAATTGTAGGCTACTGTACACCTGGGCTTTATAATATAGCATATTGCTCCTAGACTGCAAACCAGTACAACATATACTATACATAATACTGTAGGCAACTGTAATACAATGGTAAATATTTGTGTATCTAAACATATCCAAGCATTAAAAAAGGTATGGTGAAAATACAATATTATAATCTTATGGGAACACCATCATATATGTGGTCTGTTTACCAAAATGTCATATGGCTCATGACTATATACAAATGAAATTTTCAAATACGAGAGAGAAGGAGATAGAAAGCTTATTTAAAGAAACACTGGCTGAAAGATTCCCAAATCTTGAGAAGAATATGGACATCCAGATTCAGGAATCCCAAAGGACTTAAGTAAAAGCAACCCAAAGAAGAATACTTTGAGATGCACTATAATCCAATTGTTAAAAGTCAAAGACAAAGGGAGATTCTTGAAAAGGGTGAGAGAAAAGAGACTTGTCAAAGACAAGGGAACTTCCATAAGGGTATCAATGGACTTCTCAACAGAAAACTTGCAAGTCAAAACGGAGTGAGATACTATATTCAAAGTGCTGGAAAGAAAACAAAAACAGAAACAAGAACAACAACAACAAAAAAACAACCTGCCGACCAAAAATACTATACCCTGAAAATCTGCCCTTTGGAAATGAAGAAGAAATAAAGAGGAAATTCATCACCATAAAACCTGCCTTATAAAAAATGGTACAGGAGTTCTTCAAGTTGAAACAAAAGAACACTAAGTAAAAACATGGAAACATATGAAAGCATATAATTCATTACAAAGGTAAGAATACAGTCAAATTCAGAATATTTGAATATTGAATAATGTAATGGTGATGTGTAAATCACTTTTATATTTAGCTCAAAATTCAAAAGATAAAAACATTAAAAATAATTATACCTTTAATAAATTGTTGATGGATACACAATATATAGGCATTAAATGACCTCAAATGTGGGAGGAGTAAGAAATAAAACTGTAGTGTTTCTGTTCACAATTGAAGTTAAGTTGCTATCAGTTTTTAAAAGAATGGTATAACTATAAGATATTTTATGCAAGCTCCATGGTAACCACAAAGAAAAAAAAACTTCTAGTGGATAAGTAAAAGACAGAGTAAGGAATCAAAGCATACCACTATAATAAACCGTTATATCATCAATAAAGACAGAAAGAAAGGAACAAACGAACTACAAAATAAGGAAACAATGAACATAATGGCAATTCTACCTCCTTACCTATCAATAATCACTTAAAATGTTAAGATATTCCATGTAAAGTATAACCAAAAAAAGGGCTGCTTATACTTATATTAGAAAAAATATATTTTATGTCAAAACCTCTCAAAAAAATTAAAGAAGGTAATTACATTATGATAAATGGGCCCATTAATCAAGAAGATATAATAATTGTAAACAAATTCACCCAAGAATAGCTCAGCTAAGTATATAAAGCCAATTTTGACAGACATGAAGAATAAAATTGCCAGCAATAAAATAACTGTAGGGGATTTCAATACCTCACTTTCAGCAATGGGTTGATCATTGAGTCAAAAAATCAATTGGGTAACAGTGGACTTGAACAATACTATATGCCAAATGGACCTAACAAACATACAAAATGCTCCATCCAATGTAAGTAGATTATATTGTTCTCAAGAGCACACAGTACATTCTCGATGGTAGGCTATATTTTGGACAACAAAACAAGTCTTAACAGATTTAAGAAGATTAAAATCATTTCAAGTATCTTTTCTAACCACAGTAGTATTCACTTAGAAATCAGTAACAGAAGAACTTTCAGCAAGTTCACAAACACATGGAAGTTAAATAACACAATCCTTAATAACCAGTGGATCCAGGAAGAAATCAAAAGGAAAAATTAAAAAACTTGAGAAATGAAGAAATGGAAACATATTTTAAAAAATATTTTAAAATATAGGATGCCACAAAAGCATTTCTAAAGGGAAAGTTTATAGGAGTAAATGCTTACATTAAGAAGAAGGTAATAAACAAGTTAATTTTACACTTAGAGAAACTAGGTAAATAATAAACTGAGCCCAGAGTCAGCAGAAGGAAGGAAATGATAGATTATTACATAAATAATAAAATAGAGATTAGAATGACAATAGAAATAATCAACAAAACTGAATTGGTTTTTGAAAAGATACAATTAACAAATCAGTAGCTAGATTAAGCAAGAGAAAGAGAAGACTACAAAATAAAAATTTAAATCAGAAAGCAGATGTTACAACTGAACACACAAAAATACAAAGGATCACAAGACTACTACGAAAAAAAATGAATACCAACAAATTGAAGAACCTATAAGTAGATAAATTTCTGGTAACATACAACTTAGCAAGAATTAATTATGAAGAAAATGGAAATCCAAATAGACCAATAATGATGAAGGAAATTTAATTATTAATCAGAAACTTCCCAACAAAGAAAATCCTAGGACTATATGGATTCAGTGGTGAATTCTACCAAGCATTTAACTAATTAACACCAATCCTTCCTAAACTCATCCACAAAATTGAAGAGGAGAAAACACTTCCAAATTCATTTTTTGAGGCCAGGGTTCGTTACCCTGATACCAAAAACAGACAGGGACTGTACAAGAAAAGAATATTATAGTACAGTAGCTTTGATGAACGTAGATGCAAAAATCCTCAACACAATACTATGAAATGAAATTCAACAGCTCATTAATAGGACAATATGCTATAATCAAATGGAACTTATCTCTGGAATCCAACAATGATTCAACCTGCACGTCAATAAATATGATGCCACAAGTATGCTTTGGGCAATATGGCATTGCAGATTCAATGCTATTCCTATCAAACTACAAATGGCATTATTTGCAGAACTAGAAATAACTAGTTTTAAACAGAAAGAAGTACAAAAAAAAACATAGAATTATCTCAATAATGCATAAGAAGCCTTATAAATGGTGCTGGGGGCCTGGCGCGGTGGCTCACGCCTGTAATCCCAGCACTTTGGGAGGCCGAGGCGGGCGGATCACAAGGTCAGGAGATCGAGACCATCCTGGCTAACACGGTGAAACCCCGTCTCTACTAAAAATACAAAAAAATTAGCCCGGCGTGATGACCGGCACCTGTAGTCCCAGCTACTTGGGAGGCTGAGGCGGGAGAATGGCGTGAACCCGGGAGGCGGAGCTTGCAGTGAGCAGAGATCGCACCACTGCACTCCAGCCTGGGTGACAGAGCGAGACACTGTCTCAAAAAGATAAATAAATAAATAAATAGTGCTGGGATAACTGGCTAGCCATATGCAGAATATTGAAACTAGACTCTTTCTTACACCATATACAAAAATCAACTCAAGATAGATTAAAGACTTAAATGTAAAACCCAAAACTGTAATAAACCCTGAAAGACAACCTGAGCAATACATTCTGGACATAGAATATGGCAAAGATTTCATGACAAAGATGCCAAAAGCAACTGCAACAAAAGCAAAAATTGACAAATGGGATCCAATTAAACTAAAGGAATTCTGCACAGAAAAATAAACTATCAACTGAGTAAACAGGTAACCTACAGAATGGGAGAAAATATTTGGCTCACTGTTCTGCGGGTCATATAAGAAGTGTGGCACTGGCATGTACTTCTGGTAAGAATCTCAGGAAGATTCCAGACACAGCAGAAGGCTAAAGGGGAGCAGGGATGTCACATGATGTGAGAGAGAGAGGGAGCAAGAGAGATGGGAGGGGTGTCACACTCTTTTAAATAGCCATGTTTTGGGGAACTAGCAGAGAGACAATTCACTCATTACTGCCAGGGCAGCACTAAGCCATTCATGAGTGATCCACCACCAGGACACGAACACCTCCCACTAGGCCCCACCTCCAACACTGGGGATCACATTTCAAATGAGATTTGGAGGGACAAATATCCAAACTATATCACCTTGTCACTTAAAGTCCTAAAGAGAATGAATAATTCTTACTTGAACTCGCCTGGAAAGTGGTTTCTTTAAGACTGGTTTTGCACACACAGAAAAACTAAAGCAAAACTTTTCTCTAACTTACAAATACTGGGAGCTAAACTGCTTTACTTTGTTTTTGCCATTTTTCCTATGAATTTCCAAAGGGATACATGACTTTGCATTTTGGGATGATACTTGTGATCAAATTCAAAAGTCTTGGTATGTCGTTTTATTTTGCAATATGAAGTATATTCTTTTGTTTACCTTGGGTCAAACAAAAACTCAGCCTAGCTGGTTTCCTAACATCAAATTTTCAAATAGACAAGGAAGCAGGGTTTTGCTTTTTTTCAATCTCTTGAGAAATTTTCTGGTCATACCACACTCTTTGCTACTTTTCAGACATTCTGTGAGATTATTTTACCCACATAATTGTTTATACAGTTTATAGAAAAAAAAGAGTGTGCTTGCTTTGTTCATTGAAATACTAAACACCATGGATTTGTCAGGACATTATTCTTGTTCACATCTCTGAATTTAGGAGGAATTATACACGGTGTTATTGTATATTAAATCCCTTAGAAGCACTCAGCCTTGATGACGAGAGGGCTAAGAGAAAACCTCCTATTGTAGGAGCCTAGTTTTCTGGGATTTAGTCATGCATTGATATCTTTTCCTATAACTGCCTTAGGACTACAATGTCCGGTGCTGCAACACGGTTGGGGAAGAAAATAGACAAACAATGATGTGAAATATATTATACAAATAATGGCAAGTACAGTGCAGTACATGGCAAAAATTGGAAAATTTATGGCAATTTAACATTCTGGCAAAGGCAAAAGCAACCTAGGTTTTGTAAATCCCAGGAATGTATTAGGCTTCACTTAGATTTCTAAGCAATGAGAACAAAAGACTTTCTCTTAACTTTCACAATGCTATATTAAATTCATGAATTCTAGGAACCTGAATTTCGAGAAGAACATTTGCACATAATCCAGCCATCCAACTCACTGTAAGAAAATGTTACAAACCAATGGGGAAGAAATTTCTCTTTTTATCTTTTAAAGCAGTTTCACTGTATTATGTCTAATATTGGAATTGTATTTTAATTATCAAGCTAGAAAATTTGGGGGTCAATTGAATCTGTGGATTCATATGTCACATGACTTCTAAAAAATCCTAAGCCATGATCTCTTCAAATGTTCCTCTGGCCCATTCTCTGTCTCTTCTCTCTTTCTAAGACTAGTCAAATATAAACTAAACCTCACTCTGGAATTTACATATTTTCACTCTCTTTTCCACTTTTTCCCCTTTGTGCTAGATGCTGGATAATTTCTTCTAATCTATATAGTATTAATTTTATCTTCTCTATGTTTAGTGAAATGCCAAATACATTTTTTGATTTTTGTTATTGTATTTTTCTGTAGTTCTTTTTTTTTTTTTCAGACAGGGTCTCGTTCTGTCGCCCAGACTGGAGTGCAGTGGTGCAATCTTGGCTCACTGCAACATCCGCCTCCTGGGTTCAAGCGATTCTCCTGCCTCAGCCTCCCCAGTAGCTGGAATTACAGGCAGATGCCACCATGCCCAGCTAATTTTTGTATTTTTAGTAGAGACAGGGTTTCACCATGTTGGCCACGCTGGTCTCGAACTCCTGACCTTAGGTGATCCACACACCTCAGCCTCCCCAAGTCCTGGGATTACAGGCATGAGTCACTGTAATCCGTGCTCGGCCTGTAGTTCTTTCTTAAATGTACTCTTAAATTTTCCTGTTACCTACAAATGGTATCAAATTTACTGCTTACTTCTTTAAACAGAGTAAATGTGATTTATAAATGTATATTTAATAATGCAATATGTGAAGTCTGTATGAGTTTGTTTCTGCTCTCTGTTTTATGCATTGATTCTTGATCCTATTAAAATTCCTCGTGTGCCTGTTTATCTTTGAATGTTTGCTGGTTATTTTCCCTAAAAAGTTTATTTGAGCGAGAGTCTGAGGCCTTGGGTAAAAGCATCTCTATATGAAGGTTATTCTGTGGATACAAATACTTGGGAAACTTAAAAAAAAAATGTATGTGTGTGTGTGTGTGTGTGTATGAATGTGTGTATATGTGTGCAAGTATGTGTTTGTATGTATATATTTGTGTGTGTGTATTTACAGATACAGATAATTTTATCCTATTTTTGTTTTGTTTTATCTTCAGCTGGGAGATTCACACAAATAACTTAACCATCTACTACCAGAAACAGGAAGTCTCTCGCACATTATATATTACATTTAGATTTAGGAGCTGAGATTGGACCTCATGACCCTGTGGATGGTTATATACTTCTAGGGAGAAATTATGGTGCTGATTAATCTTATTTCTGAAATCCTTCTTCCTCTTTTTTCACTTTCGTCTTCCAGTTATCTAAATGATAAAACAATAATACGCTACAAGTCAGTAAGACATTTTATTATTGATAGAATATCTTAAGAAGCCAAAGCATTACACATATTCAAGGTTAAAATCTATAAGACATTTTTGGCCAAGGACTTGTTCATGTTGCTCTTAATAGAGTATCTAATACTTTACTTTCTAACTATTTGAGGCCTGTTTCTGTGACTAGCTTTAGGTATTTGCCTCCAGAATGGAATGGCCTGACATTGCAAAAGCATTGGAATAAAGCAGTGACAAAATCCTGGTGAAAATCCTGGTGTGTACTTTAATGATGACTACCCCTGGAAACTGGTAGATGCATAGAATCTCTCTATAGATACAGCTATCCACTTGGAGAAATTACTTCCTTCAGAAAATGTAACCCAATTTATTAATATAAATCTATCTATTCACAGGTATTTGTCAGCTGAGCATGTACCATGTTCCCAGCATTGTATCATTCCTGACAATAATAGTAGTACAGTGTGTTTCAACTATCTAGAGAAAATAATTGTTCGTTAAAAATTTTTTTTCATTTTGCTGCTGTCACAAATTTAACTTAGTTGCTACCTCAGCATTCATTTTTAGGCCTGACATCAGTTATTTGAAACCCAGCTGTACCCTGTCACCTTTTGCCTATTTAAAAGTTCCACTCCCTCTGGATCACCAAGAACTCATCAGGTAAACCCTCAAAGAGATATGTAAAAAGGGAAAATAAATAGCCACCAAAAATACAAACCATTCTGAAGGTCTTACTTAAAACAAACAAACAAGCAAAAAACAGAGGGGGAAAGGGATTGATGATCTTGTGGTCAGGGTGTCCAAGGGAGAGAATACAGTCATGGTTTCTTAGTTTCCGTTTCCGATTGGGCCAGTAAAGCCCCTTCCTCATTCTTCTTTTCCACTTATCAACAGAGACAGAAACTAAAAACCATAACTTCATGTTGCTAAAAGCCTAAAACAAAACAAAATAGAACAACAACATAATAAGGCAGCTTGGAAATGACTGCTGCTTTAGGCAGCTGTAAATCCAAAGTAAAGAAAAGGAACTTTAAACTTTAAGTACTGAGTAAATGTCAGGTTTAACAAATATAATACTAGCCTTAAATTAATTATTGAACTAAAAACAATCCCCTAGATTAGATACAGAAGGAGAAAATAAAAGGTAACTAAATTGTGCATATATATATATATATATATATATATATATATATATATATAATATTTTAACAGAAGTATGTGACAAATTGTGTATGTCTATATGGTCTGTTTCCAGACCACCACAATAAAGGGATTATCACAATAAGGTGAGTCACACAAATTTTTGGGCTTCCCAGTGCATATTAAAGTTATGTTTAGACTATACTGCAGTCTATTAAGAGTGCAATAGCATTATGTCTAAAAAATATGCATATCTTATTTTGAAATACTTTATTGCTCAAAAATGCTAACGATCATCTGAACCTTCGGAAAGTCATAATTTTTGCTGGTGAAATGACTTGCCTCAATGTTGATGGCTGCTGACTGATCAGGGTGGTGGTTGCTAAAGGTTTGGGTGGCTGCAACAATTTATTAAAATAAGACAATAATAAAATTTGCCACATTAATTGACTTCCTTTCACAGAAGATTTCTCTGTGGCATGTGATACTGTCAGACAACATTTTACTCACAGAAGAACTTCTTTTAGACTTGGAATTAATCCTCTCAAACTCTGCCACTGTTTTATCAACTAGATTTATGTAATATCCTAAATGCTTTGTAGTCATTTCAGCAATGTTCAAAGTATCTTCGTCAGGAGTAGATTCCATCCAATTTCTTTGTTCATCTATGAGAAGCAACTCCTCATCTGTTCAAGTTTTTTCAAGAGATTGCAACAATTCAGTCATCTTCAGGCTCCACTTCTAATTCTCTTTCTATTCCCATCACATCTGCAGTTACTTCCTTCACTGAAGTCTTAAACCCCTCCAAGTCATCCATGATCATTGGAATCAATTCCAAACTCCTGTTAATGTTAATATACTGACCTTCCCACATTAATCACAAATGTTCTAAATAGCATCTAGAATGGTGAATCATTTTCAGAAGATTTTCCATTTACTTTGCTAAGATCCATCAGAAGAATTACTATCTGTGACAGCTATAGCTTTTATGAAGTGTATTTCTTTTTTTTTGAATTATACTTTAAGTTCTAGGGTACATGTGCACAATGTGCAGGTTTGTTACATATGTATGAAGTGTATTTCTTAAATAATAAGTCCTAAACATGGAAATTATTTCTTGTTTCCCGGGCTGCAGATTGGTGCTGTGTTAGCAGGCATGAAAACAACATTAATTTCCTTGTACATCTCTGTCAGAGATCTTGGGTCTCCAGGTGCATTGTCAATGAACAGTAATACTTCAGAGGGAATCTTTTTCTCTGAGCAGTAGGTCTCAATAGTGGGGTTAAAATATTCAGTAAGCCATGCTATAAGTAGATTTACTGTCATCCAGATTTTGTCTTTCCACCTTTAGAACACAAGCACAGTAGATTTAGCATAATTCTTATGAGCCCTAGAATTTTTCGAATGGTAGATGAGCTCCTAGCAAGAAACTCAGTTTGGCCTTTAAAGCTTTGAACTTGGGTGTTGACTTCTCTCTAGCTATCAAAGTCCTGGGTGAAATCTTCTTCAAATATATGGCTGTTTTGTCTGCATTTACAATTTGTTGTTTACTATAGCCACCTTCATCGATGATCTTACGTAGATCTTCTGGATAACTTGCTGCAGCTCTGCATTAGCACTTGTTGTCTCCCTTTGCAGTTTTATGTTATGGAGATGCTTCTTTTCTTAAACCTCATGAATCAGCCTCTGTTAGCTTCAGACTTTTCTTCCACTTCTTCCTCAACTCTCTCAGCCTTTAGAAAATTGAAGAGAATTGGGGCCTTGCTCTGGATTAGGCTTTGGCTTAAGTACATGTTGTGGCTGGTTTGATTTTCTATTCAGACCAATAAAACCTTTTCCACATCAGCAATAAGGCTGTTTTGCTTTGTTATCATTTGTGTGTTCATTGAGGTAATACTTTAAAATTCCTTCAAGAACTTTTGCTTTGCATTTGCAGCTTGGCTAAGTGTATGGCTCAAGAAGCCTAGCTGTTGGCCTATCTGGGCTTTCAACATACCTTCCTCACCATGCTTGATCATTTCTACCTATTGATTTAAAGGAAGAGATGTGAGACTCTTTCTTCAGCTGAACACTAAGAGTCTATTATAGGGTTATTAATTGGCTTAATTTCAATATTATTGTGTCTCGAGGAATAGGGAATCCAGAGAAGAAGGAAAGAGACAGGGAAAGAGCTGGCCCAGTATAGCAGTCAGAACACAAACAACCTTTATGGATCAAGTTTGCCATCTTATATGGGCCCAGTTTGTGGTGCCCCAAAACAATTATGATAGTAACATCAGAGAACACTGATTAGAGATAGCATAACAGATGTAATAATGATCAAAAAGTTTGAAATATTGTGAGACTTACCAAAATGTGACACAGAGACATGAAGGGAACACCTGCTGTTGGAAAAATGACTCCACGATAGTCTTGCTCCATGCCGAGTTGCCACAAACTTTTAATTTGTAACAAATGCAGTATCTGTGAAGTGCAATAAAGTGAAGTGCAATAGAATGAAGTATGCTTGTACAATTTTTACTTGTTGATATTGTTTGGCTCTGTGTCCCCACCTAAATCTCATCTTGAATTATACCCGCATAATTCCCACATGTTGTGGGAGGGACTCAGTGGGAGCTAATTTGAATCATGGGAGCAGTTCCCCTTTACTGTTCTCATTGGTAGTGAATAAGTCTCATGAGATCTGATGGTTTTATCAAGGGTTTCCGCTTTTGCATCTTCCTCATTTTTTCTCTTGCCACCACCATGTAAGAAGTGCCTTTTGCTTCCCGCCATGATTCTGAGGTCTCCCCAGCTATGTGGAACTGTAAGTCCAATTAAACCTCTTTTTCTTCTTAATCTCAGGTATATCTTTATCAGCAGCAGGAAAATGAACTAATACACTTGTTGATTAAAAAACAAGCACAAGGAAAAAATATGAGCCAATTTTTTAATTAGATTCAATTGAGAAAATATTACCTTTAAATGAATATCAGAACAAACATTACATAGGTGAAAAGTAAAAAACTTAAAAATTACACACATTTTAATTGAAAGTTTGCATGAATGTGATTTATCTGGAGAATCACCATTAAATTTAAACTATTATATCACTGTGATTCATATGGAGAATTGCTTTTATTCTTAAACTTGCATATCACAAGAAAAATTAAAATTACGAGTAAAATAGTGATTCCCATATTTAATAATTACTTTACACTTTAAAGAAATATCCCACACATCAAAATTTAATGATACAAATGAGCTTGATTCTTCATTGTTAATTAATCGAATATAGGTTCTATTGACAAGAACAGTATCCATAGGGGATACATATCTAACCTATTTCATTTTTTTTCTGAACTCATCATAGAAAAATCAATCTCACATACATAAGTTGATAGTGATGGAAGAAGTGATTCTGAAGCATTTTCAGCAAGGTTGAGTATTTATTTTTAACTTTATCTAGGACAAATCAAGAGATGCTGTATTTTCAAAATTCACCATTGATGGTTCATCGATAGCCAATACCAACCATTTATCCTGCAAGTTATTGTTAAATTAAATTAAATTTCTGATGAAAGAAATTGATTTTAGTTGCTATTGATAATTGATAAATGAATATTCTTTTTTTGTGTGTGTGAGACAGAGTCTCGTTGTGTTGCCCAGGCTGGAGTGCAGTGGTGCAATCTCAGCTCACTGCAACCTCCACCTCCTGGGTTCAAGGGATTCTCCTGCCTCAGTCTCCTGAGTAGCTGGGACTATAGGCAAGTGCCACCATGCCTGGCTAATTTTTGTATTTTTAGTAGAGATGGGGTTTCACCATGTTGGTCAGGCTGGTCTAGAACTTCTGACCTCGTGATCCACCTGCCTTGGTCTCCCAAAGTGCTGGGATTACAGATGTGAGCCACAATGCCCAGCCCATGAATATTCTTTTAATGGAAAATTCTTAAGACCACTCTATCAAATTTCTATGGTGCTTGTCAATACCCTTTTACGGATTTGAATGATTGATCAAAATAATTCCCTACCTACTTGATAATTGTTATTAAATTATAAGCCACATCATAACACTCTGTAGACACTATCTTATTACAAACTTCACTTCAGTTTTTGCTTTTATGTCTTATCTGCCATTGAAAACCACATTGCATTCCTTCCTTGCATGGAAGTATTAAGATACCAGACAAATAGGCAAGGCTGGATTCTCAATTCACAATTTTTAAATGTTGATAGAAAATTGCTTTCTTTTATTGCAGAAATACTGACATTCTGTCCGGTAGTCCAAACATTTTTGACAGTTTTCTTCTTGATAGCCATTGTACAACAGCATGCAACAACAATTTATGATCAGCTTTCATTTCACCTTCTAATGAAGAGAATAATCTAAAATTTGATACTTTAGGTTTTTGTAATTCATAACTTTTTCCGTGTCACTAAACACATTATTTATTACACTTAACTTTTTTTAAAAACATCAAAACATTTCAGAGAAGTAAGAAATGTGGAGATTAATATTCTTGTCGAAATCTGGATGATTACTCCAGAATGTTTTCTTGCCTTTGCAGCTGTACCATCAGATTATACTCCTACACAGAACTAGAATTCCAAATTTAATATTTTTATACACTTCAGGTTTAGATGTTTTTAAGCAATGAAGCTAACAAAATTCATACACAAATTGCACACGTACTAGAAGAATTGACATGCTAAGAATATCTCTGTACTCTATACTGTGTGTTAGCTGTAATAAAAAAATAATTTGCTAGCCTTATTTATTCTATGAGTATTTCTTCTGTATCATTAGTTTGCTTCTGAAGTCGACCTATGATGTCACTGAAAAGTGGTATTTGAACTATCTTCTTTGCTATAAACTCACCCACTATTTTCAGACTAATGCCTATAAAATGGTCTTTCACTAAAATTTCAGCAATTATGTATACATACACTGTTTTAGCAGCCCACAGTGCTAGTTACAAACTCACAAAACAATACTGCTTATATATAAAATATTGAACATTTACTTCCCCTATTCAGTACTTTTCCTTTTAAAGGATACAATTAAATTAAATCCTGTTTTATGTTTTAAATTTAAAACCTATTTAAATTTTGTTGATTCCATTGCACTATTAGCCAGCATATTTGCCCATACACCCTGTGGTTTTAACACTTAACCATCAATTATGACTACTAAACAGAATTTAAGACAGAGTGTACTTCTGAGTAAACCAATATAAACATTTTAGTCTTATTATCTTCAAAGTTACTTTCATCACCATTTATTAAATTATTTTATTTTATTAAACCAATATAAACATTTTAGTTTTCCTATCTTCAAAATTACTTTCATCACCATAATTTAATTTATGACTGACTAGGTGCGGTGGCCTGGATCACGCCTGTAATCCAGCAATTTGGGAGGATGAGGCAGGTGGATTACTTGAGGTCAGGAGTTCGAGACCAGCCTGGCAGACATGGTGAAACCCCATCTCTACTAAAAATACAAAAATTAGCTGGGTGTGGTGGCAGGCGCCTGTAATCCCAGATACTCGGTAGGCTGAGGCAGGAGAGTCACTTGAACTTGGGAGGTGAAGGTTGCAGTGAGCTGAGATCATGCCATTGCACTCCAACCTGAGAGACAAGAGCAAAACTCCATCTCAAAATAATAAAAATAATAATAATGGTAATAATAATAATTTATGACTGCTGCTGTATTTTGAAGAGACGTATTATTTCTTTTTTTTTTTTTTTTTTTTGAGACGGAGTCTCGCTCTGTCGCCCAGGCTGGAGTGCAGTGGCGGGATCTCGGCTCACTGCAAGCTCCGCCTCCCGGGTTGACGCCATTCTCCTGCCTCAGCCTCCCAAGTAGCTGGGACTACAGGCGCCCGCCACTACGCCCGGCTAATTTTTTTTTTGTATTTTTAGTAGAGACGGGGTTTCACCGTTTTTTTAGCCGGGATGGTCTCGATCTCCTGACCTCGTGATCCGCCCGCCTCGGCCTCCCAAAGTGCTGGGATTACAGGCGTGAGCCACCGCGCCCGGCCGAGATGTATTATTTCTTGACAAAAAAAGAAAATCCAGTGAAGCTTGCCTGTGTCACCATAGTTCAATTAGGGTTAAAAATAATAAAAATTTTACTTCTCTGAATTAGTTAATTATGTTAAACTGAAAACTAAACGCCATGCTTAATTTAAAATGAAGTAAATTTGAAATATAGATACATGTTTAGATACTCATATATTTAATATCTTTACACGATTTTGGATAACAGTTATTAAACTAATCACACACTGTAATGTGGTCTTACTGAATGTGACCTGTATGAAGCTTCTGCTCTTTTTCAGTCAACATGCCAGTGTGGAAACACTAAAACTGTTCAAATAGACAAGTGTACTGATTATGTGCTTGGGTGTCATAACAACGGCAAGTTGTTTTAAAAGTTTCTAAATGTTCTTCTGTCCTGTACTTATATTGCCACAGCCAGTAAGAAAAACTTCATGGACCAGTAGTGGTGCACAGATCACATTTTGAATAGCACTAGTATGGCACTCAGTTGTGGCTCCTGAAGAGGTAAACCTAAATCCTGGACTACCTCTCTGGTATGGACTATGTACGTGTAGCAGAAGAGTGAGGATTAAAAAGAGACAGAGTAACTCTAGTTGGTGGAGACTTGAAATACAAATAGGGGTTTGATCTCATAGCAACAGGTATTTGGGAGCCAGCATAGCTCTGTGAGCAGAGAAATAACATGATGATAGTCATGCTTTGGCAACCAGTGCTCTGGCAGAATGTTGGAACTTCATGATGATCTAGTGCAACCTACTCATTTTACAGATTTTAAAAAATCATTTAAATAATCACCAAGAGAATCACGATTAGCACCCCAAAATGGAGAATATTATCCTTATAAAGAAGGTTTTGAAGAAAGTCCAAATAAAATGTATGTAAGAAAGAGCTCCTATAGCTTGCTATACTTAAAATTAGGTGATGTTGGGATGCTAATAACAGTTAAACTTGGAAGGGCACTGCATAAGACCTTAACTCGACCCACCATGACAAAAACGCTCTGATACTTTATTGTCTTTTCAAAGTTGCTCTTCATTCAGTGACCTGGTCAGTTTTCAGGTCACTCCATTCCCAACAGCTATGTGATATGCATCAGCCATAACCACTGAAGAATGAAGAAATTAAGCAGTTACAGAAGACATTGGGGAACTACAAAAATTCCAGGACTGAAAGCAGCAATGTGAAGTTGCAATTAGCCTAGTTTTATTATTTTTAGATGGCATTTCACTAAGGTATGTAAAATTGCAAATAGAACAGAACATAAAGATTTATTCCTTTGTTTTTAAATTTAGTGAGTATATTATGGTAAAAAGTTTGAATTAATTTGGAACCATTAATTTTTCCAGGAATATATTAGATATTGTGAGTTACCTATTAAATGTCCACTTCATCTTTTTTATGTGGTATCCATTGTTTTACCAATTACACATGAGCTTGGGAAAAAGTTGACTGTTGACTTTGTCCCCAACTCTAGAGGTGGGAGAGAAAAATGGGCCAAAATTTAGACAGAGATAAAATGGAACTTGACTCACATCTGACATCTTTAGTCATTTCGCAACTAGTTCCTGTTAGACAATCTCCATCTCACAAAAAAAGATAATCACATTCTTTGAGAGAATGAGTGAAAAACCTTATTTAATGGCAGAAGTAGCCTCAGAAGAATGAGGACTGGAGAAAAATAACTGATTGTACATAACTATTTCTCCTTGTCGTATCACTTGTGGAGACAGAGATCAGAAAACAAGTGGCTTGAGTTTGTGAGGTTAACCTATTCAGCAAATGGGGTTTCAAATTCAGTTGGTCCTTTTTTCTTATGGCTTTTTCACAACACTATATTTGAAGATAACCTCTGTACAATAATCATTCTACTAGGATGGAAGTTTCTAAAAGAAGATAACTTCAAAATGGCAGGAATTTTTCTTTGTTTACCTTCTTAACTAATTAATTATTTAATTCAAGAAACATTTATTGTTAATCTACCATGTATAAGATACTGTTCACTTTACTGGAGGTGCAGCAAGGTTTCTACTGAATGGGACTTTCATTCTACTTGAGGAGAAAAGCAAGAAAAAGTGAACAAAATGTAAGTAGTATAACTGCAAAAAGTAATTAAGCAAATTAAGGAATCAGACATAGTTTTGTTATAGAAAATGATGGGGATTGGATAGGTGCCCATTCAATAGGATGATCACAGAAGGCCTAAGAAGATATATTTTGACTAAGAAATTAATGATGAGTAGTCAGACAAAGGAAGACCAGAGGAATTGCCTTTCTGTTAGATGGGACCGTAATCTCAGAGGCCCTACAATGGGAAATAACTTGAATCTGATTTGTCATATTCACCCCTGAGTCCCTAGTAATTGGAAAATATTAAGCATACATTAAGAATTCATTAAAAACTGGCTAAATAAGTTAATAAATTATGAAGTCCTTTTTACATTTGGAAAGATTAAACTAGAGAGAGATTTGTTATTTGCCTAGGGTCATATACATATTTGAGAAAGTTGGAAGTCATAGATGAACCAAGTGCTTGCTTGAGATTTTGTCATAGTTTTTAATGTATAATATACTGTTAATTAATTTGATTTACCATGTTCTCAAACCCACAAGACAGCTGTATTTTATTGATTTCTATTAAATATGAAATTTAATTACCAATTTCATAATAAGCGATGTGGGACTTTTGTAACTAACTGGATGCAAAAGTGCTGAATGTTTGACTTGAGAAGATAGGTACACACAAAAATGAACATTCATGTAGGGGAAAAAACTGGACGTGGGGAAAGATCTGTTCACATAAGCTAGGAACAATATTTATTTAATACACAGGATGAATAATTTTACCACCTAGATTTTTGTCTATACAAACATACACTTCCTAATGATAATGGAAGGTATTTAACTTGGAAAATAACTAATGAGGGGAAAAGTTGAAAATGAATCATAAAAAAATTGAAATTGAGAAGATTCAAATTTATTAATATTTTAGCATATTATAATTTCTGAAAGGCTGCAACTTCTTCCCTTGTCACAAACTCCCCTCCTAGGTAGGTAGAGTCATTAAAAGTACTTGAAATTAGTCTCTGTGCAGAACAATGTTAATGAAATACCTCTCGGCAAACACAGGGAGTGTTTCTTATCAGAGAATTGGGTTTGGCATCATAGGATGTGGTAATTTCACATTTATTCCCATGGCAAAATCAAAAATTACTTTTGTATTCTACCTACCTCTCAGTAGATAAATAATAGATATCATAGATTGTTTTGCCTGAAATTTAGATTTAACTTGAAGAGGTGACTATCTATTTAAAAGAAAATACTAGCATAGGATTCCTGCTTTCTTAAATCATCTCTCCCCAATGCATTATTCTTCCAACACTTAAGTATTTTTCATTTGTAGCTGTTGAAAAATTTGTTGACATTCATTACTGAAATTAATGCCAAGGACCACAACAATCTTAATTTAGTGTTTGCTTCATATAGTTCTGAAAATAATTTTCATTAAAAACTTAAATTTTTCCTCACATAATGCCGTATTTCATCTGAAAAAGATAATCCGGGCTAGAGACCAAATAATGTGTTAACTAGATCTAACAGCCAGGTAATCGCAATGGATGAAATTCATTGATGATTTGTTTGAATGGGCTGTAAAATCATGAAAGCAGGCACAATGTCTATGTTTGTTACAAGATACTGTTTAATTCCCTTCAACCTAAAGAGGCCTTTCCAGTTTAGTAGGTATTTATTAACTTTCCTTGAATGAATTATTTAATTCATCAGAAGTAATTGCAAAGGCAGATTTGAAAAGAAAGATAAGGGTTTGAGAGACTTGAGGATGTTGATTTAAAAGTAAGCATAATTGAATGACTGCTATGGAACCAGTAAGGGTCTGGCAATGGATAAGAACACTGGCTTTGGAATCAGTACAACTTGGGTTTGGATCTTGCTTTTATCTTCTACCAGCTGTATGCATTTGAGCTGCTTAATTTTTCAAATCCCATTTTCCTTTTCTGTAAAACAGGGATAGTGATGCCTAAGTCAAATATCTGTTGTGAGGTCCCTATGAAGTGATATTTGTAAATAATCTCCTCTCCCTCCACTCTATCCCCTTTCTCTTCTCTTCTTCTATCCTCCCTGCCATCAGCCCGCTACTCTTTAAGTTGGGAATGAAAAGCAATGAAATTAGAAGATGATGAAAAAAATGCAAGAAGAGCCAGAAGTTCAAATTAACAGTCATGCAAAAAAGATAGGGCCTATTGATTCCTCATTTGCACATTAAGATCAACCCAGACTTCTGGGATTCATTCTGATCTGAAGCAGAGGGAGCTCAAGCTATCCAGGTGAAGCAACTCTTGATGCTAATCTGCCTTCAGCAGGTTTGCCCTGATTTGTTAACTAGGCTTCTGCTTTTCTTGAATCCAGATGGTCCCTAAATCTTCAGTAATTAGGAGTCCATATGCATGCATTGTTACTGTAGTGCCCTCTTAAGTCACCTATTCCTTCCTCAGAATTAGAGTCTTGCATTTTTCTTGCCAGTTTCTCTTCTTGGGTCTTGAGTCCAGGCCCTGAACTCTGACATGAGGCCAGAATAATTTTGTCTGCTTACTATCATCCTTGCTGATGACTGCCAAATCCCAAGAAATAACAATAAATACATTATAAATTCATTAATTTAACCTCTGCTGAGCTTGCAGTTCTCCTTAGAAATTCTTTTTCTGATCTTTGGTCAGTTTCCCCACAATTCCTCACAAATGCTAACTCAAATCATTTCTATAGGGCAAGATGCCTCTAAAACTTAGGAAACGGTTTTATTTTAACAAGAAATCATACCACCATGTAAGGACATCCTTCGTCTCTACCTCTGATTTTGTTCGTATTTTAATCCACGTGTATTACTTTCCTGAGGCTGCCATAAGAAATTACTACAAACTTGGTGGCTTGAAACAACAGAAATTTATTCTCTCACAGCTCTGGAGGCCAGAAGTCTGAAATCAGGGTATCAGTAGACCCACAGTCCCTACAAAGTTTCTAGGGAAGAATCCCTTCTTTGCTTCTTCTAGCTTCTGGTGGTTTCTGGCTTCCTTGGCTTGTGGCATCATCACTTTTATCTCTGCTTCTGTCGTCATATACTTTCTTCTCTGTGCACCTGTGTCAATTTCCCTCTACCTTTCTCTTATAAAGAAGACATGTGTGATGGTATTTAAGGCATGCCTGAATAACTCAAGAATATCTCCCAACCTCAAGACCCTTAACTTAATCACATCTGCAAAGACTCTTTTTCTAAATAAGGTAACATCACAGGTTCCAAGGAATTTGACAGGAATATTTCTGGGGGGACATTTTTAAGCCTATTCTGCCATGATTTTCCTTTTCTCTTCTATCTTCTATCCTTTATCTTGATCCCCTCCTTCCTTAGTTTGGTTCCTTTGAAAGCAAACCCAGAAAAAAAAAGTGCTTGATTATACGGGGGGGGTGGTCTCAGAGAACAGGAGTGACAGAATGGAAAGTGTAAGACCAAAAGGGAAAAAGTCAGTATGAGGTTGCTTTATTTACAGCAGGTAAAATGAAGGATCAGTTTTTGTGAAGTACCTGTCAGTGTTATTTACCCATTTTGTTAATTGCATGGTTTGTCTTTTGTCATTGATTTGTAAGTATCCTTTACATAATTTTTATATAAGTACTTTGATAGATTCAAGTATTAAAGTTATCTTCTTTCACTCTGTAGCCAGCCTTTTAATCTACTACCCATCAATCTGGGCCAAAGAACTTCCTTAATAGTATTTCTTGGTTATTCTATTTAGAGGTTTTCTTAACAAAGTTTCAATATTTGTCCTATAATACTCCTATGACCTACCACTTTTATTGTATATTTTCAATAAAGAGATTTTAATTTTTTATTTCCCAAAGTAATTTCTGTTATAAGTACATTTGTTTCAAAGTATTAGATCCATAAACATTAATTTACCTGTAGATTTGTTTAGTAGCCACCTGGTTCATTTCACATAGGAATAGCGCACAGAAACTCTAGCTGCTTCTTTTCTGATAATAAGACTTTTTTTCCCTAGGCTTCTGAGTAATTCATCCAGAAAAATGGCCTTACTACATCAGGTCTGCATACATGCAAAACATTCAATTTCTTTTAATTTGGTACAAATATGAACAAGACAGATTGTGTCCTGAAAGAGTTCACTATGCAAGAGAGAATAAAATAAACAAATAACAATGAACCCAAGATGGGGTAGATTTGATTTTAAAAAAGAAAGGAAAAAAGTTCAAATAAATTTCCTAGTATACCATGTCTCATAGAATAGTGCCTAGGCTGAACGGCAGTTGTAATTGAAAACATTTATTTGTTTATATCTTAGTAGTGGGTTTTGGAGCAGAACTATGTAGAAGGTGGCTAGTGAAGTGAACTTAAACGATAAATACCTTTTCTCAGCCAGGTTTTAGAGAGTAATACAATCAAAGAAAATAATTAACAAGAGCACTTGTTAAGATGGACAGCACTAGACTTTTTTCAGGGTCAATGTTTTCTATGGGTATTTCTCTACCTTCACCAGAATTGGTTACAAATGAGGTCACATGTGCTTTGCTCCGCCAGATCTCAACAGCTATGAGTCATTGCCCATTTGTTAGCAAAATTCTAGTCTTTTCTAGTAAGTTCTCTCCTCATATATTGTTGAGATTATCTGGGGACCCTTCTGTGTCCTTGATTCAGGACTCCTTGTGGCTTGATTGCTGCCAAGTGCTGGGGAACTCAAACATAGTTCTCAACACTGCAATTCCTGGCCTCCAAAGCCTAACTTGCTTGCTTTTTTTCGCCTCAAGTGATTCTGTCATGCTACAGATGGTGGGAACTGAGAGTCCTTTGAAGCTCCAGAAGGTTCCCAGAAATTTGTATCTTTCTGAAGCATTTATTTAAGTAGTCCCAACTACCTTCTTCTCCAATGTTGCTGAGCTACACTCTCATTAACTTTGAGTTTATCATTATTGGATTTTTCCTATGCTATAGACTGGTAGGTGTGTTCCACTGAAAATTCAGTATGTACAGATATATACACATGTTTGTAAGGTTGATATAGGAAGTGTTCCAGTATCAGCTGGACACAATTTCCCTTCAGCAATATAGACAGGTGCTAAATCCAGCTCACTCATTCATTCACAGTTGTATTAAGATAGTACTCACTTTTTGTGGTGTATATATACACATATATATACACACATATATATATACACACACACCCCAAATACATATATGTATATACCAAATATATATATATATATATGTATATACACGCACACATAAATTTTGGTGTTTATATATATACCAAATATACATATATACATATATATACACATAAGTTTGTCACCAGAACAAAATCTTGGGCACCCAATAAATAATTTTCATGAGTGAATTAACGAATTGATTTTTCTTCCGTTACTTCAGTGTCATTTCTTTTTATTTGATCTATGTAGAAATAAACTCAGTCTTAAAAGATTTTAGATATTTGTAATATTCAAAGTGAGAAGATGTATGTTAAGACCCTGTAGATTTTCCTTCTTAAAGCTCCTCTAAAAGTTTACAAAACTCTTGTCCTCTGCAGGTGGGTGAATGGTTCAAGGTTCAGTCTTATCACCCAAGCTGAGACAATTAGAGTCTACTTTTCAGGTTTTTGAAAAGCCTCATGGAGACTACAAAGAGAGAGGGTGGTTAAAACCAAATCATCATATGGTAAAAGTTGCTGCTAAGGTCCCTGGAGTTGCCCTGGCTTTTATCATTCTGATGCTCAGAGATTCAGTGTTTAATTTAATTCTAAGAGTAACTCAATATCTTCCCAAGAAATCTTGTTTTACTTAGGCTAGCTAGTGCCATGTCTGTTATTTGCACCCCAAAGAAGCTTGATGAATAAATCTTATGGCACTAAATATAAGGGACAATGTGTGGAAGAGGGGTGAGGTGTCTTATTCATTAGCTAATAAAATTGGAATCCTAGTCCTAGAATCCAGTTAAAATGTTGTCAAGGAGTTATGACTTGATAGAATTGGATACTCAGTGAGGTTTATTGGAAATTCCAAGGACTTTGATGTTAGAAGACCTAAACCTGAGCCATAGCAATGTTTTTCTTTTTACATGGAATTTGGCCAAGTTGATGTTAATTATAAAAATATTGAGATATATAAAAGATGTAAAAAGAATTATGAAAATATAAAATTAACAATGATAAAGTTGTTAACATAAATGAATATTATTTTACACTTCTATAAATTGGTAATGTTAATACCTGAGCATAGTACTATTATGAGAATTAAATGTGAATGTACATTGAAAGTCCCAGTATAGAGCCAGCATATAGCAGGGTTTATGTAGGAATGGCTTCAGATAAGGTCAGAAGTGAATCTGGAGCTACACACTGGAGAGTTTTAAATGCTATAGTGAAAAATTAGAAGTTGATTCATTTGGAAATTGAAAGTCATTGAAGGTCTTTGAGCAAGGAGTGATATGATTGTTGTTCTGTTTGAAGATTAACGTAACACCATGATAAAAGTTGAACAGTTGGAAGTTGGCAAATATCTAACTCTCAGGAGATATGATAGTAATCCCTGTGATAGCCATGACATCCTGAGTTAGACTGGTTAACAGAGGGATGAAAGCAGGCTGGCAGTATTTGAGACACAAAAAAAGGCAAAGCATTTGTTGTGGAGGTACGTAAGGGAGAAAATTTTAAATCAGAAATTCTTAATGTTCCAAGTCTGATGGCTTGGGACAAAATCAATATAATTCAAGATATTAGAATTACTGCATGAGATATAATTAAGAAAAAATTTAAAATATACAGAGAATGACAAAAATCATACTTTGATATTAAGTTTAACACTTTTACATCCTATACTATCTTAAGCTTCTGAACAATTATTATTTTTTGTTGTTCTTCATCAGTATTGAGTTATGAATGTCTTTATCTACATAATAAGCTTATTAAATTTCTTTAGAATTGCCTTGAAAGAAATTATCTTTTCCTCAGACCTCTGCTTTCCTGTGTAGAACACAACATAAAATTTTGTCAGATGTCCACTTCAGTTTCACCTATGAGCAATTCCACTGACCTGAAATACCAACAATTGTTTCACATTTGTTATCTTATCAATTTGTTTAATCTTTGCAAGCCCTCTGTTAGTAGTAGACACGATTGATCTTGTTTCAAAAATAGGGAGGGATAAGTTCTAAGAAGTGGTCATTTCTCAGCCCATGGTGGGTCTTCTTGGAATTGCCTTCTATTAGTTCTCCAGCCTCAAGAACAAATCAACATTATGGGCATGCCTCTTAAGGCACATGAAAAATGGTTCTGAATGATTATACTCTTTCTGAAACTTAAATTAGCTTTATTTGGAAGAATTCACAAGTTACAAGCATTGAATGTATCTGAACAAATGTATGGCAGGCTATAAAATATGATTACTTTGAAAAAACAAAATTCAATTGATTGCAGTTCTAAAATGTATTTTTATGGTGGTGATTATCAAACTTCTTTTTGTGACAGAACACTAAGTCTAGATTACAAAGTGACCAGTGATAATGGTATTTTAAAGCAGTGGTCCTTAGGGGTAAGGGTAAATGTGGCTGGAGAAAATATTTGGGAGTTTATAATGTTGCAAGAGTGACAGAGTATTTTTTTCCTAATGAATACTTCTAAGCAGTGTGCAGATTTCTTATCCCCATTGATCTCTGTACATAATACACATAGTCTTTATGTGCCAAATCTGTCCCTAGATTCATCCTGAATTGTAGTTAAATTAATAACTTTTAAAGAGCCTATGTTAAAATCACTGCAGCATGTTTTAAGGCACTTTTAAAAAATTTTATATTTTTAAATTTTTGTGGGTAGGTATATATGTTTATAGGGTACATAAAGTATCTTGATACAGTTGTATAATGCATAATAATCACATCAGTGTAAATGGGATATCCATCACCTCAAGTATTTATCATTTGTGTTATAAACATTCCAATTGTATTCCTTTAGTTACTTTTAAATGAATAATAAATTATTGTTGACTGTAGTCACGCTGTTGTGGTATCAAATACTAGATCTTATTCATTCAATCTAATGATATTTTCATACCCATTAACTATCCCCACTCTCCACCAACCCCACTATCCTTCTCAGCCTCTGGTAACCATCATTCTACTATCTCCATGAGTTCAATTGTTTTAGTTTTTAGTACCACAAATAAGTGAGAACATGCAAAGTTTTTCTTTTCATGCCTGACTTATTTCATTTAACACAATGACGTCTAGCTCCATCCATGTTGTTACAAATGACAGGATCTCATTCTTTTTTATGACTGAATCGTACTCTATTGTATATATGTACCACATTTTCCTTATCCATTCATCTGTTGATGGACAATTGGGTTCCTTCCAAAATCTTGGCTATTTTGAATAGTGCTTCAGTAACCATGGGAGTGCAGATCTCTCTTCAGCATGCTGACTTTCTTTCTTTGGGGTATTTCTTACCTAGCAGTGGGTTTGCTGGATCATATAGTACCTCTATTTTTAGTTTTTTGAGGAACTGCCAAACTGTTCTCCATAGTAGTTGTTTTAATTTACATTCCTAACAACAGTGGATGAGGGTTCCCTTTTCTCTACATCTTTTCCAGCACTTTTTATTACCTTTCTTTTGGATAAAAGCAATTTTAACCAAGGTGAGATAATATCTCATTGTAGGTTTGATTCGCATTTCTCTGATGATCAATGATATTGAGCACCTTTTCATATACCTGTTTGCATTTGTATATCTTCTTTTGAGAAGTGTCTATTCAGGTCTTTTGCCCATTTTAAAATTGGATTATTAGTTTTTTTCCCTATAGAGCTGTTTGAGGTCCTTATATGTTCTGGTTTAATCCCTTGTCAGATGGGTAGTTTGCAAATATTTTCTCTCACTGTGTGGATTGTCTCTTCACTTTGTTTATTGTTTCCTTTGCTGTGCAGAAACTTTTTAACTTGATGTGATCCCATTTGTCCATTTTTGTGTTGGTTGCCTGTGCTTTTGAGGTATTACCTAAGAAATATGTTTTATTTTATTTTAAGTTCCGAGATACATGTGCAGTATATGCAGGTTTGTTACATAGGTAAACATGGGCCATGGTGTTCTGCTGCACCCCAAGAAATCTTTACTCAGTCCAATGTCCTGGAGAGTTTTCCCAGTGTCTTCTTTTAGTAGATTAATAGTTTGAGGTGTTAGATTTACATCTTTAATCCATTTTAATTTTTTTATATGGCAAGAAATAGGGCTCTAGTTTCATTCTTTTGCATATGGATATCCATTTTTTTTCCAGCACCATTTATTGAGGAGACTGTCCTTTCCCCAAAGTATGTTCTTGGCACCATTGTAAAAAATGAGTTCACTGTAGATACATGAATTCATTTATAGGTTATGTGTTCTTGTCCATTGGTGTATGTGTCTGTTTTTATGGCAGTACCACATTGTTTTGGATATCATAGCTTTGTAGTATAATTTGAAGTCAGGTAATGTGATTCTTTCAGTTTTGTTCCTTTTGCTTAGTATAGCATTGGCTATTTTGGGTCTTATTTTAAGATGGTTTTTTCTATCTCTGTGAAGAATGTCATTGGTATTTTGATTGAGACTGCACTGAATCTGTAGACTGCTTTGGGTAGTATGGACATTTCAACAAAATCGATCCTTCCAATCAATGAGTATGAAATATCTTTCCATTTAATGGTGTCCTTTTATGTATCTTTCATCAGTGTTTTAGAGTTTTCATTGTAGAAATGTTTCACTTCTTTGGTTAAGTTAATTCGTGGGTATTTTATTTTATTTGAAGCTGTTGTAAATGGGCTTGCTTTCTTGATTTCATTTTCAGATTGTTCACTTTTGGCATACAGAAATGCTAGTGTTTGTGTATATTAATTTTGTGTCCTGCAATTTTACTGAGTTTGTTTATCAGTTCTAATAGTTTTTTGGCGGAGTCTTTAGGTTTTTCTAAATATAAGATCATATCATCTGCAAACAAGTATAATTTGACTTCTTCCTTTCCGATTTTGATGCTTTTTTATTTATTTATTCTGTCTGATTGCTCTAGCTGGTTTTTCCAGGACAATATTAAATAACAGTGTTATAAGCGGCATCCCTGTCATGCTCCAAATCTTAAAGGAAAGGCTTTCTGTTTTTCCTCATTCAGTATGATGCTAGCTATGGGTTTGTTGTATATGGCTTTTATTGTCTTTAGGTATGTTTCTTCTTTACCTAGGTTTTGAGGGTTTTCGTTATGAAAGGATGTTGAATTTTATCAAATGCTTTGTCAGCATCAGTTGAAATAATCATATGGTTTTCACCCTTTATTCTGTTGATATGATGTATCACATTGATATGAATAACAAAGAATATTAGAGGGGAAGGTAGACCTTCCTGAATTCAGAATATTCACCTATGTATGCCAAGATCTTTTACTGAATGTATTTTTTTTAAATAGCAAGAGATGAATGCATGAAATTAAAAACAAATATTTAAAATAGAGGTAAGAACTCAGTTATTTGGCACTGTAGGAGTGCACTGATTTTGTTCAAAATAGGATGGAAAGAAGAATAGTGGTGTAGTATAAATAGAAATTATGCCAATGTGCAGGATGGACGCTCAAAGGTTATCATTTAAGCAGTGTCTTGATGGATGAATAAAACTTTTCTAGGTATAGGAGGAAAAGAAAATATCTCAGTTAATTTACCCAGAAATATATTACTTTATCCCAACTTGTAGTCAAACCCTGTTCTGAGAATGTTCTACAGTCTTCATACAAAAGTCCCAATTGTCTTCAGTTCATAAAGGCTGACTTTCCACTACTAGCTTACTGCTGATACTGGAATAGTCATACTGCTATTCCTATCTTAAATATAAATGACTTACCCAGAAGAAAAAATGATGTGAAATTAGATTTTTTGCAATTATTTCATTGGAATTACTCTATTTCTCAGGAATCTTGTGACCAATGTATCTCAAAGGGAATTCATACAAAATTTTGCTAATTTGCTAATTTTCTGTACTCTATAAATTTCTATTTAATACCTTAAATTTTATAAATAATATACTTTAGTTTGGAGTTCAAAAGAATGACTCAATCTTAATCAGAAAAATAAATGAAAGGCATGACAATTTTTGATATTATATTAGTATATTCATTGATATAGATTGTCACAAAGAATGTTCAATGCATAAAAAGGTGATAAAATACTTATATATAGTAACTACACATACATATTATATTTTCTGGAAACTTTTACGTATATTTAAGTATGAAAGTCTAAAATATAACATTCATTCAATTTCATAACATTCAATTTTATAAAGTGACCAACACAAGTAATGACCACCCAGTACAAATTATAAAAATATTAACATCAGCCCAGAAGAAACCCTTATAGTCCTTTCCAGCCATTAATTGCCACTGTTAATCTATTGAGACATCTATTAACAAGGCTAATTGTGCATGTTTTGGAAATGTATGTGAAGGGAATCATACAGTATATATGTATATATAATACACTTTTATGATTTCTTTCTATTAATATAATGTTTTTGAGATTATGTATGTTGTTGAATGTAACACTGACAGTACCTAATATATATTATATGTATGATTCAGCTAAATAAATATTATCCAGTGAATATATGCTTTCTAATATTGTTGATGGATATTTGATTTTTTTCCCATTTTTGGCTATTAAGAATAATTTTTTTAGACATTATTGAATTATTTAATGGTTCAAAGAGTGGGATCTGAAGTTATATTGCTTAACTTCAAATCCCAATTCTACATATTATCTGCATCATTGCAGACAAGTTATTTAGCTATATTTGCTTCAGTTTCTTCATCTGTAAAATTAGTCATTACATCTACCAGCGTTTAATATGTTAAGAAATGCAACAGCCCTGAAAGAGTGCCTAGCACATGATTTCTGAATATTTATGTTTGTTTTTCATTTACTCTTTTTTTTGCCTTGGATTATATGCCTATTATTTATGTTGCCATTCTTATGTGTGCTATTGTTATTTCTGTAGTACATTTTTGTCTACTTCCTTTCCTTCAACAATTCTGTTAGATTTTAGTATTTTTATAGTCTTGCTAGAATATGTCCATGTAAAAGTATTTCAGAATAAGGTTGTGAGTAGCAAACTTTTGAAATTCTTGAATGTCTGAAATTGTCTCTATTTATAGTCAGCGCCATAAAATTTGAAGGTAGTTTGATTGGATGCACATTTCTAGGTTCTAATGAGCATTTTTTCCCCTAGAACTTTGTTATCCTTTTCCTAATTATCTGGTGTATTGTCCCAAGTGTGCCCATTTTCCCAGAGCCCACTAGCTATTCCCTGAGCACTACCCAAGAGTTCTTTTAGGCTGTCAGCTTTGAAGCGTCTTTCCAAGGCATGGATTGCAGGTGTCTTAGCTTCTTGGGCTTCCATTTCCAACTGGGACCATCCAGCAAGTCCACATTTCATGGAAACACACCTTTTTACTTCCACTGCTATGAATTACATTATATGTTTTTCTTTTTCTTTTTTTTTCTTTTTTTCTTTTTTCTTTTTTTAAGACAGGGTCTATCTCTGTTGCCCAGGCTGGAATGCAGTGGTGCGATCTCTGCTCACTGCAACCTTTGCCTCCCTGGCTCAAGTGATCCTCTCACCTCAGCCTCCCAAGTAGCTGGGACTATAGGTGCACACCAGTAGGCCCAGCATTTTTTTTTTTTTTTTTTTTTTTTTTGGTAGAAGCTGGTTTTTATCATGTTGCCCAAGCTGCTCTCGAACTACTGGGCTCCAGCTGTTGGCCCACCTAGGCCACCCAAAGTGCTGGGATTACCAGCGTGAGCTACCATGTCTGGCCTCCTATAATCAATGCTTTTTTTTTCTTTTTTTTTTTTAATTATACTTTAAGTTTTAGGGTACATGTGCACAATGTGCAGGTTAGTTACATATGTATACGTGTGCCATGTTGGTGTGCTGCACCCAGTAACTCGTCATTTAACATTAGGTATATCTCCTAATGCTATCTCTCCCCCTTCCCCCCACCCCACAACAGGCCCCCATGTGTGATGTTCCCCTTCCTGTGTCCGTGTGTTCTCATTGTTCAATTCCCACCTACGAATGAGAACATGCGGTGTTTGGTTTTTTGTCCTTGCGATAGTTTGCTGAGAATGATGGTTTCCAGCTTCATCCATGTCCCTACAAAGGACATGAACTCATCATTTTTTATGGCTGCATAGTATTCCATGGTGTATATATGCCACATATGTTTTTCTTATTTCAGTGGGGTTTGAGGGTAAAGAGGATAATATTTTGACAAAGAAATAGGGTTTGTTTTTTTTTAAAAAAAAACATAGTCCTTAACTTTTCTTTATTTTACTCCTTATAACTAAATACTGAGAATAATGTGAGATTTTATTCCTAGACTGTGTCACACTTTAGCTCTGCTTCCATAATCGTTTGTGCCCACTAGCAAGTCATAGATCCCTTTTGTTCGAGCATCTTTATCTCTAACATGCCACTAGTTATCATGCGGAGGTAACACATTTACAGAAAAAAGCAGTCAATTAATTCAATGTCAACCATATGTTCCTCTAAACTTTGTGAGAAATGGGGTTGGAGTTGTGGGAAGACACCACAGAGGGACTTGAAAGCTTTGGATTCTTATTATAATTAGCATGATCCTTGTTTTGTGACCTCGGATATGTAATTCCCGGTTTTTCAGCCCCAAATTTTCCTCTTTTTTAAATTAAGAGGTGTGTGTGTGTGTGTAAAACAATTACAATCACTTAAAATCTTTAAAATCTCCTGTAGTTCCAACAGTCTATGTTTCTAAGCTTAAACTGAGCTGGCACTATTTAACTATTCCTAAGTTAAAGTATATTTGTGTTTATATTGTGTGTGAGTATCTGAGTGTATGTGTGTGTGTGTATTGTGCTGTGTATGCATATGGGGGCTCCTGAAGGAAAATTTATCTTCAGTGAAGATGTTATTTTTGGTGTTGAAATTAAACAATTCTTTTGGAATGATTTTACCTTTGATCTATTTATTTATGTTGGCAGAGATATCAGGAAGTGTACTAAGTGGAGAATGGGGCTGCTGTACTGTTTGAACAGAAGCCGTTTTGCATATTTATCTGTCATCTCTCTGGCCCTGGGGAAGCCTGAGACTTCTGACCAGCCTAATTCTCCTGTTGGACAATTTCAGAGGCTACTCCTTCACTTGTTTTTCTCTCTTTTCTCTTGGTATTTATTGATATTTTGAGATTTTTAAATGTTGATTTTGGAAAGATTCTATGCAATACAGTCATTGATTATATTTTCAGTCATTTATGATTCTTAGATAATTAGCATTGCTTCTTTAAGTAGGTAATTATAGAAATTTCCCTTATACATATGGTATAGCTAAAACAGATCTCCCAATCTTACTTTATTGTAAGGGAAAAAAAAGCATGCACCACAGTTTTCATCACATTCATTTGAAGTTAGGTGGTGGTACCTGGACTGCTGTTTATTGAAATCCCTTTGGATTGTTATTTCATCTTCTCTATTCTTGGCTTCTTTAGAAATATCTTCATTTAATTTTTATTCTGAATCTACTAATTCTGTCACTAAAGCCTATATTTAATCTTTTGGTATATTTTTACAATGCTCTTTCTTTGCCAATACAAAGTTCTGTAGCATTCATTTATTCATTTTTAATTTAAAAATTTTACAAAGCATTTTGCACTGGGCATACTTGAAGAAAACAAATATGTGCTTACATCTGTGGGGCTTAGAGATTAATAAAAACCCAGGAATAAAGAATTAGGCATACATATATATATGTAGTTACAAATTCTGATAACAGCATTGAAGGAAAAGAACTGGCTGCTAGGAAACAGAATAAGATAGTTGAGAAGTTACTTTATTATGTAGTCAGGGCATCAGGGAAGTCTTCTCTGGACATAATATTTAAAATGGAACCTGAAGAAAACAGTGAAATGTACAGGTAGGATAAAGCATTCCATGCTATTTCAACATATAGGAAAGTGCCAAAATTCATCTGCCAGTCAATTAGTTCTAATATTTAGAAAAACATCCTGGTAAGTCCAAATGAACCTTTTGGTTGATTGTGGTATGATCCTATTGGACATAGATTGAAATGATGGGTTGTAAAAATGTAACAAAGCATACCTGTTCTATATGCTAACATGAGATCTTTGAGTTTATGAAATAGGGAAAGGGCAGTGAAAAGAAACAGGAGAGGAGAGAAAGATGTGAGTAGGGTCTGGTGGTGGGGCACATATCAAAAACAGAATTTAGAAGAAGCATAGAAAGATGACACATAAAGGAATTCCTAAAGGAGGGAAGAGCCCAAAATTTTACAGACACGGTGATGATTAATGTTGGATTTGAAATTGTTTCTTGCTCTTTGATGTAATTATTCTCTTTCATCTACCAATGTTTTATATAATCTGTCAAACACATCAAATTTACATTTAGAGGTTCTTTGAGAAGGATGAAGGAAAACAGTATCAACAAGCATAGGAGCTAGGGGTGATTTTAGCAGCCAGGTAATAGTGAAAGCTCAGGCCACAGCATGGATGGGAAAAAGAACAACTTAAGGCCCCACAAGCAAGCAAATTCTACATTTAATGGATGGAAGCTGAAAATCATGATTTGGATACTCAAAAAAAAAAAAAAAGGTCACTCCAGAAGCCTGGATAATTTGGAACTATCTGAACCAGTGGTTCTTAACTTGGGGTGATTTTGCCTTCAGAGATATTTTTCACCATCTGGAGATATTTATGATGATCACCAACTGGAGAGAGGTTATTACCATTGGGGATGCTACTGACATTTAGTGGCTATAGGCCAGGGATGCTTGTAAACATCCTGTGATGCACAGGAAAGTCCATATCCCCATCCACACACGCAAAAATTATCTGGCCCCAAATGTCAATAGCACCACAGCTGATAAACCCTGGTTTAGACCCAAGGCATTTTAGTCATACTAATTTCCTTATGTTTTTTAAATAAAAATTAGTTTTAAAGAATTTATGTGATCCCTGTGTCATATACCCCTGTGACACAATTTACTCCCCACAGTCTCTAAACAAAAATATGTATAAAATCACAACTTAAGAATTTTTATTCAAAAACTTTCCTGCTAAGTTTCCAACAAAAATACCAGTTTGGTCCTAATGGGTCTACAGAACAGCATGGATATTTAGATGAAACCCATTTCTACATACAGAAATCAATTCAAAATGGTAGTTTTGTTGATAGCATATTCACATAGCCCATAAGAAATGACACGAGCTGAATTTTCAAAGATGAGCAAGCTTGAGCTCTTTGAAGTAGGACATGGAGGCAGAGAGCATCTGTGTTATATAGAAGGCAGTGTGGTACATATATTGGATGAGGGAGCAGAGAGGAAGGGACACTAATAAAGAGACTATTGCAGGAGGTCTGGTGAACTTGGATGAATGTCCTCTTTGTTAGCAGGAATGAAGAAGAATCTGGAACAATGCTGTGTTCAAATAACAGTTCTTGAGTGAGTGAAGGAGGAGAATTGTATGATTTGGTCATAAATAAGGCATGAGGCAGAAAAAATAATCTTGGGTGACTCAAAGTTTGCTGAGGACGGGCATTAAGTGAATCGCGTGTGTAGTAAACAGATGTGAGGGAGCAGGTGTGCAAGATGAGGAAGATTATTTCAGAGTGGGAGTAGAGCTGAAGTTACCTAGAGAATATCCATGTTGAAATTGATGATAGTTGGATGGACATAAAAGTCTGGAATTCCAGAAAGAGCTCCAGGTTAGAACTAGAGATTGGGAGTTATTTGCATGACAAATGATGACTTGGAGAAGACTAGATAGGCATTTTACTGAGTCTTCAGCTCATTAACAGAAACATCAGCTTAACTTGCCAATGTGTTCAGGGAAAATGACGAGACAATTTAAATCGTTACTTTTGCTTGGTATTACCTCAGATGTTTTTAAACAACATTGGCTAAAAACAAAAACCATTACTTCCTTGGAAGCAGGTGCCTCAGAAACACAGCACGCTTGTTATAACAATGCTGCCAGTACTCAGTATTTTTAGATTACCTCCTTAAGGATGCCATAGAAATTTTACATATCTTCTCAGGGCAAATCACTTTTCAGAAATTAATTTAAATATATATGCTTTTTGGAAAATACAAAATAGAAATAATAACTCATGTTTATTGAGTGCCTAATATGGGGTATAAACAATATTAAGTGCTTAATGCAAATAATCATATTTAGTCTTCAGTACCACTCAGTGAACTAAGTATATTTAGTAATATTTAGTTCAGAAAAGAAGCTTAGAGGAGTTAAAAATTATTTGCCCAATGCCACAAGAGTCCATCCACCCTAGTCTTAGAGCAAAATCCTTTGAATAGATTGAGTAATAATAATTTAATCTCAAAATACAATCATGGAATAATGAAACTAATTTCCTAGGGTATCTCTGGAAAACTCCCCTTCCCACTCAAAAAAAAAAAAAGAAGGAATTCTAGAAATCTCTGAAGTGTGTAGCCTATTAAAAGCTTATTTTGAGGAATAATCTCCAATTAGGTAATATTGTTTGGGTAATATGCATTTGGTTAATAATTTTTATTATTTTATATTTATTCATATTGTTCAAATTGTAAAAATAAAAAATAATGTATGATTCTTCCATTCATTTGGGATTTACTCACAAACTCCTTTTATTCTTAATTTTTCAAGTTTGTTCCTTTTGTCTTCTATATATATATATGGTCCTTGAAGCAAGTGAATGACTTTTTAATTCTTCCACACTACAGAATCCTTGCAGAGTATTTTGTATAGAAAAGATTCAATTAAATCTTGTTACTTAGATGGATGAAGTTAAAATATTCATTATGTTCAAACACAAAGAAGCACACACACTACACACACACACACACCTGCCTGTGGATGCCAGGAATGAATCCATTATGAACCTTTGGTATACTGTAATTTCCTTCCATAAGTAAACTTCGCAATGGATATCCAGGAAATTACTTACAGGTCAGGAACGGTGGCTCACACCTGTAATCCCAGCACTTTGGGAGGCCGAGGAGGGCAGATCACGAGGTCAGGAGATTGAGATCATCCTGGCTAACACGGTGAAACCCTGTCTCTACTAAAAATACAAAAAATTTGCTGGGTGTGGTGGCATGCGCCTGTAGTCCCAGCTACTCAGGAGGCTGAGGCAGGAGAATTGCTTGACCCCAGGAGGCAGAGGTTCCAGTGAGCCGAGATCGAGCCACTGTAATCCAGCCTGGGTGACAGAGCAAGACTCCGTCTCAAAAAAAAAAAAAAAAAAAAAAAAGAAAAAGAAAAGAAAAGAAAGAAATTATTTACAAAGGTTGGTAACATTATTTTAATTAATAAAGTGCATAGCTTCTAAAATCAATGATTTCATTAAAATGTACAACTAGAAAATATCCGTGCGTGCTCATTTGATATTAAGCTGATAATGTCTTGTTTTGTGCAGGGCTCGTGATAGAGGAGAAGCTTCATCTATACTTTTCTGCTTCAGGGAGGCTTAATTATATGAAGATAGGAGGAGGATATTATCAGTCCAAACAAAACAAAAGAAAATAACTCCGACCTCTCACCCCTAAAACCTAATTTTCATCATCCTTACCTTTCCCATTTTCAGACTGATGAAAGAGGAGACATTTAACATGCTGCCTGAAAAGTCAGACTTAAAAAAAATCTTGAAAATGTCTGCAGCAGTAAAAGAAGCTATCAACAGAGTAAACAATCTATAGAATGGGTGAAAATTTTTGTAAACTATGTGTCCAACAAAGGTCTAATATTCAGCTTCTATAAGAAACTTAAATTTACAAGAAAAAAATAAACAACCCCATTAATAAGTGGGCAAACGACATGAACAGACACTTTTCGAAAGAAGACATACATGCAGCTAATAATCATATGTAAAAAAGGTCAATATCACTGATCACTGAAGTGCAAATCAAAACCACAGTGAGATACCATCTCACGCCAGTCAGAATGACTATTATTAAAAATTTAAAAAATAATAGATGCTGGAGAGCTTGTGGAGAAAAAAGAACGCTTATACACTGTTGGTGAGAATGTAAATTATTTCAAACATTGTGGAAGACAGTGTGGCAATTCCTCAAAGACCTAAAGACAGAAATACCACTTGACCCAGCGATCCCATTACTGGGTATAAACCCAAAGGAATATGAAACGTTTCATTATAAGGACGCATGCATGTGTATGTTCATTGCAGCGCTATTCACAATAGCAAAGACATGGAATCAACCTAAATGCCCATCAGTGACAGATTGGATAAAGAAAATGTTGTACATATATGTGGTACATATACACCATGGAATACTATGCAGCCATAAAAAAGAACACGATTATGTCCTTTGCAGCAGCATGGATGGAGCTGGAGGCTATTATCCTTAGCAAACCAATGCAGGAACAGAAAACCAAATACTGCATGTTCTCACTTATAAGTGGGAGCTAAATGATGAGAACACATGGACACAGAGGGGAAAAACACGCACTGGGGACTATCAGAAGGTGGAGGGGGTGAGGAAGGAGAAGATCAGGAAAAGTAATTAATGGGTACTAGGTTTAATACCTTGGTGACGAAATAATCTGTACAACAAGCCCCAGTGACTTAAGTTTACCTATGTAGCAAATCTGCACATGTACCCATGAACTGAAAATAAAATAAAATAAAATAAAATCTGCAATTCATTTTTATTGCCAATTGTTATTAAAATGTGCGTTGTCACTGTTTTTAGGTGATTTTGTGCATGTTTTAAGGATTAAGGTAAAAAGATGCTGAAAGCTCACACTAGGAGATAATCTAGCTTATTTTTAGTGGATATTTTATTATTAATTACCTGAGATTGTTAATGATGAAAGCATGATTAAGAATGTAGTGGAGTCACCTTTTGGATTATGGGGGACTGAACACATAGACTAACTTCATGGGCCCCTATACAGTTATTTTTTAGAGACTCTACTAAAAGTCTAGGCTCTATTTAAAGAAAATAAATATAAATAAATAAGAATTAGTGCAGATTAGCCAAATATGCTATTGACTTGTTCTATATACCCCAGCCACAGGGCCCTGTTAATTCTGGCTGCTTACATTTAGTGCAAATCCGAGGTGTATAACCTAGTTGATCATGGAATAGAATGTTCACTCTCATTATTACCGATCTTCTTTCATAACTAAGACGGAGGTGATGTGTGTTTTGTAAAGATTGTTTAATATGTTTGTACAATACTGAGGATAGTTGAAAATGGTTTATGCAAAATGTCACAAAAATAATTCAATAAAAATTATAACTATTAATTACATTAAAGTAACCAGTTAGATTATTGCAACTAACAGCATTTCTTGAAGGTTTCATGAGTATTTACCTTAAAGTGTAATAATGAGCGATCAGGAAAGCTGGATATAGAGTCACTGGTAAATATTCATTAAAATACAAGCAAGCTGTTAGTATGATTTTTGTGTAATATACTCAGGTCAGACAAAGCCAGAGATGTCACTTAAAATTCAGATGGAAGTAATTAAAAATATACATAAAATCTGTGGTACTGCCAGACCAGAAGAAAGAAGAAAGAAATACAGAATTTCATCTGCACAGTTCAGTTTGTAAAATTCAAAATTCGGAAGCATTGCATGAGCCATTCAAAGGAATGTCATCATAGCGTCTTCAGAGACAGGCTAGAGGACAATAAAATGTCACAAAGAAGGCAAAGAAATGCAAAGTCATAAGAAAATTAATCAAAGCTAGATAAGTAGGTGGAAGATTAAAGTCAGATGGACTAATTAGACTAATGTGTGACTTTAATATAGAGTATGAGGACTGTAAAACCAAACACCTTTTTAAATATGGAGTCTGTTTAGTGATTATATAGATTTCAGCATTTTCCAGTTTTACCTTGGGGGAAACAAAGAAAACAAAATAAAGCGAAAAGAAAAGAAAAGAAACCCCAGATCCCTGCCAAACATTTCTCTAGTCTATAGATAATGTTACTTCGCACACTTGGAAATTCCAGCTTGCTTGGGAAATATAACAGTTTCTTAATTGGGTAAATAAATTTCATCAAAGGTTAATATAATGAACTAAATCAAATATACAGTATTAATATTTTATGTTAGGAGAAAAAAATCCATATTTTGGGGAAAGTGCTTGCACTGTTTATTTATATTTTGGGGATATGTTACCATATCTAACCTGCAATATCAATTTAAAAATGTTTAAAGAAGCTATTTATATTAGAAATCAGATTTTAATTTAAAAATAGAGAAATAAACTTACTGTTTGAAACAAGAGAGGAATAATTAAGAACATTTACTATATACTAGATTTTATTTTTTAGAAATAATTTCTTAAGGATTCGTGAGATCCCTGTTTGTTAGAAGAATTTTTGCTAATCTTTTCATTTAATGCATATATAGATACGGGTGCTCCAGGCATCCAAGTTCCCATGCAGCTATCCTAAGGGCTGAGGAAATCCCTAAGCTCTATAATTCCTGGACAGCACACCAATACACTTTTGCATCTGCATTGAAAAACTCTAAGTGAGACATTTAAATTACTTATAAAAATTGAATGTTTACATTTAATTTTTATAAGTAATTTAAATGTCTCACTGAGAGTTTTTATGAGTTAATGGGTGCAGCGCACCAACATGGCACATGTATACATATGTAACAAACCTGCACGTTGTGCACATGTACCCCAAAACTTAAAGTATAATAATAATAAAAAAATTGAATGTTTAAAATTGAGAAGGCAGCTAAATATTTTAAATTGGGTGAAATATTAATCAAAATCCACCTTTAAAGTTATTATTAAATATTGACTGGATTTACAATTAGAGAATGACTGTAAACTAACTTTAAAAACTTTAATGGGTAACTTAGTCACAGGGATTAAAAATACTTCCCTGCCTGAAACAGCAGAAAAACCAGACAAGCGATATGAAAAAATGGTTCCCAAGAAACTTGACATTAGGCAACGAAGGACAGTGGTTCCTAAGAGACAGGAAACAAATGAGAAGAGCCCTTTGATTGCTCCTGTTTATTTTCCGGAGATAGTTCCTGGGTTGTGGCACAAGAAGCACACCCTGCAGGTTCCCTGAGTTGAGGGGACCAAAGCAGCAAAAGTTTGCAGAGCAGACAGAGAGGAGAGAGCTGCCCAGAGAAACAGCCAGAGCCCTATGCAGGGACACCCTGGGGTTTTCAGTTGAGTTCTGATCAGCACAAATGTGTGAAGAAACTTGAAAGCTGAGAAAGAACTATCTAAAAGGATTAAAGGGAATAATACCTGTAGCTCACACAGAGTGGAGAACAGTGCTGTTCCCAAGAGCCAGAGTAGAAACTCCTACAGAGTTTCACAGGGCATGAGGTAGATTACTCCGTTTCCTGCATTATTAGTGGAGCAAATTAATCCTAGATTAAACCTTGATCTTGCTAAATAAAGCTGAAAGGATGACCTAAAAGGATCATATTGTTTTCAAGTAATTTAATGGATTCCCATCATGAAGCTCAGGAATATTAAAGGAATACAAATACATTCAGCATTCTAAAGATAAAATTCACAGTTTCTCGTATTCAATCTAAAATAACCACACATGTAAATAATCAGAAAAGTATTAACCATAATGAGAAGAAATCTCAATCAAAACTGATCCAGAATGATCCAGATAAATTATTAGATGAGAAGCAAGAAAACAATAAAATCAAAAGTCATTTTTTATTTTAAAAAACCCTCAGTAAATTAGAAATGGAAAAGAACACTCTCATTTTGATAAAGGATATGTTTGAAAAACCTACAACTAATAACCTAATTAAAAAGCTACAAAGGATTTGAACTGATACTTCACTGAAGATGAGATACAGATAGCAAATAAGTGTATGAAAAGATCCACAACATTCCTTAGTCATTGGGAAATGCAAATTGAAACCACAAGGAGTAACTCCTACATGCTTAGTAGAATTAAAATTAATCTAATTAATCTAAAATTAAAAAGATTGACCATACTGTAAAGTTCACAGTTCACCCATCACTTTCCTTCTGTGTCTTGACTGAAAACCAGAATGATTTGACAGTTCTGTGATCCAGAAAGCTGCAGGTTTTTCCTACAAGGCTTGAACCAAAACCGGGGCCTTACACATTCCCAGGCACTGAAAACATGTTTAGATTGTTGTCCAAAATACTGAAAGAAACTGGACCCATCCCTGAGCCAAATTCCTTAAATCCTCATATAAACTCTATACCCTGACCCCCTCACTGTGGACATACCTAAGGAGAACAACACTTTCCTCTTGCTGTTCGTCACTAGGACATGCTATACCACTCTGTAATAAGTTCTAAAAGATGCTTTGGACTGATCACCCTGGAGTTTAGTGCCTCTTTCTTTGGAATCCCAACCAACTCCATCTCAGGACAGTTTGGGGAACTCCCTTGTGGGAATTCCCCTTTGCAGCTTCTGGGGTGACTGTAGCTTCAGATTCAGCAGGATGAAACATAAAGCAAGTGTAGGTAAAAATGTGAAACATCTGGAACTCTCAAGAACTGCTAATGGGAATGGTGCCATTGGAAACAGTTAACTTGGGAAAATATTTGGCACTTTCTTTAAAAATTAAACATATATTTGCCACGTAACTCTGCTTTAACCCTTATAGGTATTTAACTAAGAGAAATGAAAACATGTGTACATGCACAGACTTATATGTAAATATTTATATCAGCTTTGTTTGTAATGGCCAAAATCTGGAAACAAAAGCCCATCAACAGGCAAATGCAAAAATCACTTGTGGTATATACATACATGAAAAGCCACTCAGCAATAAAAAGGAATGAACTACTGAATATAAAGAATGAACATACCTAATATGCGTATGTCTCAAAGTTATCATTTTCCATAAAAGAGGCCAGACAGCTCTCCCTCTAAAATATATTTAAAAAGAATTTTTCCCTCTAAAATATAAAAAAGAGTACATTTTAAGCTGGGCGCGGTGGCTCACACCTGTAATCCCAGCACTTTGGGAGGCCGAGACGGGCAGATCACCTGAGGTCGGGAGTTCAAGACCAGCCTGACCAACATGGAGAAACCCCATCTCTACTAAAAATACAAAAAACTAGCCGGACATGGTGGTGCATGCCTGTAATCCTAGCTATTCAGGAGGCTGAAGCAGGAGAATTGCTTGAACCTGGGAGGTGGAGGTTGCAGTGAGCTGAGATTGCGCTATTGCACTCTAGCCTAGGCAACCAAAGCAAAATTCTGTCAAAAAAAAAAAAAAAAAAAAAGAAGTAGTATATTTTTTTCTTATTCCATTTATACAAAATTCATGATATACAACTAATATTTAGTGTCAGAAAGCAAATCAATGATTGCCTAAAGACGGGAGGAGAGGTCCAGAGAAGAGAGAAAACGAGGGATTACAATGCAAATAAGGACACTTTTGGAGATGATGGATTTGGATCTTGATTTTGGTGATAGTTTCTTGGGTGTATATAGATGCCAAAACTTATCAAATATATAATTTAAATATATGCAACTTATTGCATGTAAATTATACTCCTCATTTTCTTAAGGGAAATTTGGATTTCTGAATTTATTACTTTAATACACTGATTATTAATTTAAAAAATTAAAGTATTTCTAAAACATCTTCTCTGTAAGTAAAAATCTGTCAAATGCACCAGAAAGAATTCTACTTTCAGGCACATATCAGACTTATTAAAACTTTGGATATGGGGTTCAGAAATTTCTCTAATTTTAATAAGTCCCAGTTGATTCTTATAACCACTGATGTTTGAAAATCATGCTTTAGAATGATCAATAGCTTTACAAATTTTATATTTTGCACAAATAAATTGAGCACCTTTTAATTCCCCTAATAATTAAATAATTTCACCTTAGAAGTTTTTCAATGGATGCATAACAATTTATTTGTTTTGCCACAAATTTGATAGGACATGTTCTGTCTAATAAGCAAACATAGTCTTCTATGAAATAAGCAAGACATATTCTATCAAATAAGCAAGAATAAATACGCAAACTTATTTGGTACTCTATATTCATGCTGGAAAAACAGAACTGATTACCTAAGAAGACAGAAGGGTAGAAGCAGGGTGAGGGATAAAAAACCTACATATTGGGTACAATGTACAATACTCAGGTAACAGGTGCATTAAAATATCAGACTCCACCATTATGCAATTCATCAATGTAACCAAAAACCACTTGAACCCCAAAAGCTATTGAAATAAACAAATACATATTTTAAAAAGAAACATGGTATTGAAGTTCTGTGTGGCAAATGTCACTCCATTGCTTCAAATTCTTCTCACTAATACAGGAGAGCATAGTGGAAAGGGAAATGGCAGCAGAAGATACACAGGCTGAGGCGCCTTATTTCTGCTTACTAATTTAATACCCTTGTGAAGAACAGGGGAATTGGGCAGTTATAAAAAAAAGAGCTTAGAGAGATAATAGAGAAATGTCAATAGTAGAGCAAGCAGAACACACTATCTCAGTGCCAAAAGAAGAGAGTGTTAAACATACACAGAGTCCTAGTATGTGATTATAATGAGATTTATTGTTATATACCGTTGTTTGTCTCTCTGCCAAGAAGACCAGCTGAATGACTGATCATCTCCTCAATGACTTAAGAAATTTTCTCTTCTGAGTTAACACAACAATCCTCATATTTGTATACTTTTTAATTGGTAATTTTATTTTATTTTTTTACAAATCTGGGATAGAAAAACATACTAATTTAATGGGATTATGATGGATATTCTGTTTATTCTTTCTCATTTCTGAGGTCTGAATGGGAAGTACACAATTTCCCCAAACCAAGGAGCTATCTTTCAGAGAGTTCTGATTTTAATTAAGAGAGGTAGCTAGCAGAAAGTGGATACTTCAATTGCTTACAGATTCTCTCTGTTGAATAAATGCTGTTGAATTTGTAGTAGGGACCTCGTAATCAGGTTAATTCAGTTAAGGATATTTTCTCCTTATTAAATAATAAACCTTGTTATAATAACTAATTAATGCATGCAAAGTACTTCACTATTGCTTAGAACATAGTATTTTATAAGTGTTGGTTATCAAAAATATGGAGGCATATTGGGTACAACGTACAATACTCAGGTAACAGGTGCAAGTTGAAAGTCACTAAATTATGATGCAGAAGACTAGGGTACTAATCCTCCCCCAGGTATACAAGTTGAGAAAGTTTCTTATCCCACTCAGACTTCCTTTATTTCATGGATAAAATGGCTTTAATACCATCTCTGATGGAGACCTCAATCAGCTGGATACGTTGAGGCTCTTTCCAGGCCCAGGTTCTACTAAAACAGGACTCAAAATAACAAAATGAAAAACCTGAGAGGACAGAGAGAGACATACTGGGAAAAGCTGCATGAAAACAACACTCAAGAATTCTATCTTAGAGGTGTTGATTCTATTAATCCTGTTGTGTTGTATTTTGCCACTTGTCCTCAAATAATTCTTTTTGAAATATTTTGTAAAAATATATAGTCACAATAGAGACAAATATAGAGGGAACACTACACTTGGGTTGTGCAAGGAACATGAAAATGAACAAAAAAAGAGAAAAGTAATGAGTTGAAGAGAACCGCTAAACAGATTGAGTACCAAGGTGGCTGATCCATTCCTGATTCCAATTAACTTTAATTTGTTTAAAGGCTCAGCAACACCAAATGAATCTAACTGGCCAATTAGCACACAGCAACATGAGTTCAGCTCGCCAAAGGCTGTTTATCAGCTGGATATGATGAGGGTAAAATTCTGTTAATTCTGTGATAAGTGTCAGGGCATGGCTCTGTCTTGCAAAACTCTAACTTGGGAGCTATAGAACGTACATACTTTGAGAAAGTGTAGGGATTGCAGAAAGAATGACCTGCACTTCATTTGGGATTTTATTAGCAAATACAACTGCAGTTACCTACAAGTGAATATTAATAGGAATATTGCCTGAGCCCATGGGACTTAGACTATGATTAATTCTTTGCCGCATACAGTTCCTAGCAAGGGCTCACTGTTCAAAAAATGCTAATGGAGATGCTTATTTTATTTTTAAGCTTACTATTTCCTCAGTGAATATTCATTGCTCTTGCCAAAAGTCCATTCCACCTATTATGGTAAAAATATGATACCGTTTATTTTAAAAACAGGACTTCGAAACACTTTTTTTGTTTTGCTAACTTGGTGAGTGGTATATTTTCCTCCTGGGAAGCTATCATTTGATCTTCTGTTTAAAAGTGAAATTTTTTGCTCAGTATCAGGGCCAGCTGATATGAAATTTATTTAATAGCATTATTGGTTACTAAAACTGAATTTCTCACGTCCAAAATTATTACCATAAATACACAAATTATATTTGCAACACATGGTTATGCCAATGAAAATTAGGCAGAAAGTGCACTTGGGTTCTTATGAGGATAAGAGAGAACCTGGTGAGGTCTTAAAATGAGAATGGGAAGCAACAACTAATTCCAGCTCTGATAATAATTTGATGTGTAGCCTCAGGCAACTCATTTAATTTCAGGGTGCCTCCAGTTTTGTCATCGTGATAATAATGTATGCCTACTTCCCAAATGTGTTGTGGGGATTAATTATTTAATGTTTACCAAGTACTTTGAAGATGAAGAATAAAGACTTGATGCTATGTTTATTACTTGCAATAGAATATATCAGGCAACTGCAATCTATTTCTCTAGTGACTGCTGGTGTGCCGTGAGAAGAGCTTGATGAAAGAGTGGCTGAAAGTGTAAAAGAAATGAAGATAAAACAGCCACTTCTCAATGAATCAGAATTTTTTTCTGTCCTCTACACTTTGAAGACATGTGTTTGACAGTGAAGCATAGCAGGAATGTATTTAAAAGTTATGTCCAGAAAATATCTTCAGGGCCAAAGATATGTCAACTTGATTTTCAACCATACCTGCATTAACAGCATAACGAGTTCCCATTCTAAATAATGGCTCTCAGACGACAAGAACTTTGGAGTGCGAAGAAAGACTTACGTTGAATCTACTTTAAGAAACTGAACAAATTTAAATTGTTTATTTGAGTGTAGTTTTAATTAAGAAACAGAACTAATTTAAAAAGATTTTCAAAAACGTTAGAAACCAAAAGGATTTTCTAGATAAATTATAAAGTAAATGGAAAATCATATTAATCAGTAGTAGCACTGTGTTTTAGATATTATGAGTCATTACCCACAGACTGAGTGACCAAAGCCTTAAAATTGTTCATTTCTGGCCGGGCACGGTGGCTCACGCCTGTAATCCCAACATTTTGGGAGGCCAAGGGGGGTGAATCACTTGAGGTCAGGGGTTTGAGACAAGCCTGGCCAACATGGTGAAACCCTGTCTCTACTAAAATTACCTAAAAAAATTATCCAGGCGTGGTGGCAGGTGCCTGTAATCCCAGCTACTCAGGAAGCTGAGGCAAGGGAATTGCTTGAACCCAGAAGGTGGTGGTTGCAGTGAGCCAAGATAACACTACTGTACTCCAGCCTGGGCGATAGAGTGAGACTGCGTCTCAAAAAAAAAAACAAAAAAACAAACAAAAAAAACAAGTTCATTTCTTATACAGCTAAGTTCTGGACTTCTACTATAAAAATCATAGAAATATGGAAAAATAATATTACAATTTTATGTTATGCAAATAAAGAAACCAAGACCCTGCAATTGAAATGACTAGACCAAGTTTCCATTGCTAATTAATAATTCAAAAAATATTCCAATACATATATATGATCCTTCCTACATACTGAATCCAATAAATTACATTCTAATGTCTTAAAATAACAAAAACATGACAGAACAAATTTACATATATATGTCTGTACAGATGATAATCTTAATACAAGGGGAACACAACAGGGGTTTGCCAAACCATTATTCATAGAAAGTTCAACACATTTAGTTCTACAGAAGCTTTCAAAGCACCTTAATCCCAAAAACTGAATGAAAAGACACTTTGTGATGTTTTCACATCACAAGGGCCAGCTGGTGCTTCAAAGATATTTAGCTCCCAACTAAGGGCTGAGTCATTCTCAGATATTATGGCAAATACAAGTTGCCATTTAATGACCCCTTTTTTCCTATCACACATTTCTGTTGACCTACCAGTCTAACTGTTCCCTGTATCTCTCTGTATCTTCTTCTTCTCCTTGTTTGGGAACACTTTTGACTGTGAAAGTTGAACCTTCTTGGAGTTCTTCATCTCCCTTTATTTTCCTCTGAGTGTGGTAAGAAGTAAAGGATAGAGAAAAGAAGAGGGCAATAAGATATAATTGTGCGAAGAAAAAGACAGAAAGCCTTCCATATCCTTTGTCTTTGAATTAGGGACTTATTATTGTAATAAAAAGGAATAACCTTTATGAAACCAGTCATTCTGCTGCTGAACCCTTTATATGCCTTCAATCCTCATTACTATCAACAGGGTCCTATTTTATCCCCAAATGGCTTGTTCTAAATAAAAAATAAGTGTGAGAGCTATAATTTTAACTTAGATCTTTATTACTTTAAACTATTTTATATATAATTAATTGAGATTAATTAAACTAGAGACTAAAATAAATTGTTTGAAAAAGAATGTTATCAACTCTAAAAAGAAAGATGTGTCAAAGGAAATACAAGTAATGACAGCTAATCACTAGATGCTATCAATCAGTACCTGCTCCTTTTCCACATGTCCCTTAAAAAAATGGTTACACATTTGAAAATCTGTAAGGTTGTGTTTCTTCTTTTACTCAGTTCCTACGACTTCTAAAGCATCCTCTTAACTACCCTTAAATGAAATATAAACATATACAATTATCATTAATATGAAATTTTAATTATATTTTAGAGTTGATTAAATTGGACCCTCAACATTTAGTCACTCAGATTCTCTTTAAATTCTTTTTTTTTTTTAATCTCCTAGTTCTACAAAGCTCTCTTTCTCTGTGATCATGTGGTTTTTCATGCTGGTGTCTTTAAATGGTTCCATGTTTATATTGGGACTAGTATTCAAATTCCACATGTTTGGCCTGTTTGTCTAAATCTACTGCGAGTTCAGTCTTAGAGGGAGGAAATTCAGACTGTACAACTGTAGCTTTTGTGCTTCGATTTCTTTTTAATAAAGCAGAGTCTTTACAAAGTCGGTTCCTGTATATGAGCATTTTTGTGTTTATTTTCCACTATGACAGTGAAGGACTTTTCTGAAAATTGTGGTATGAGAGTAAGACTAACCTAGGACTTTCTAGATTTGGGTCAAAGGACAAAACCTTTCTGTTTGAGGGCCACCTGAAAATATCTTCCTCATTTTGTTCCCTTCCTGCATTTTTCTATCAAACATTCCCCTGGCTACTGTAATCCCAGATTGGAAAATTTTCAATTTCAAACCCTATTATATGTTCTCATAAAAGAATATAGTGAAGGAATACAGAGAAACAATAAAAATATTTTAAAGAACATCTCGTTGAATTAATGTTGGTCTAATCTCATTTCAGTTCTAAATACCTACAGAATCTTAGACACAGCCATGTTATCTGTGGCATATATCTACTCTGTTAAAGTAATGACAGTAATACTTCCAATTAACACTTGCACAATGTTTTAAGTTAACTAAACATGTTAACTAAACACATTAACTAAATAGTTTCTGCTTTCAAAAATTATAACAAACCAAGTCTGTATTGTGTATCATTTACTGTTATCATTTACTCTTCACAATAATTTTTTAGGTTTAGTTTTATCTACATTTAATGATAACATAATAAACCAGAAAGGCTTAGTAATCATAGCTGTTGATAGAATAGTAATGAGAATGTTATAATGGAATAATGGTTATAACAATTATAATTTAGTGCTTACTACGTGCCAGTCGCACAACAATTATATGATAAAAATTTATTGCTGATTATATTTTACAGTAGAATAAATGAAGTTCTTAAAGTCTAAGATTTCATAGATATTAATTCATAGAGCTGGATCCAAATGCAGGTCTTTCTGAAATGGTACAGAAGTTACTCAAACATAGATTTTCAGACGTCAACTTTTCATACTTTTCACCACACTGTTTTGTATTTTCTGTTTGTATTGCAGACATTACATGATTTATTGACTCTCTGTGAGTCATCTTTCATCTGTATTTATTATCTCCTCTTCCAAACAAGACCTTTAGGTCTCTAAAAGCAGAAAGTGCCCTATTCAGCTGTGTCTTCACAGTTCCTAAATTGTTATTATTAATAGTATTAACAAGTGTGCTCCTGGGCACTTTGGGGAAATCCAGCGGAAGCAGTGAAGATCTTATTATCTTGCAGTAGCCAAAATCAAGCCGTATAGGTAAAGATACAATAATATTAACTGAAGTCATTGTCATTAAAAGTATCATGCAGTGGGTTCTGTAATGGTCATTTTTATATGTCTACTTGACTGGGCCATGGGGTATGCAGATATTTGGTCAAACATTATTCTGGGTGTGTCTGTGAGGATGTTTCTGGATGAGATTAATATTTGAACCTCTAGACTAAGGCAGATTGCCTTCCCTAATATGGGTGGCCCTAATACAACCCACTAAAGGCCTAAATAGAACAAATACGCTGACCCTTCCATAAGTAGGAGGGAACTCATCCTACTTAAAGCTGGGGCTTTAACCGAAAAATGTACTCTTTTTGGATATGGAGCACACCAACTTTCTCCTGGAACTACACATCCACTTTCCTGGGTCTCCAGCTTACTGACTGAAGATCTGGGACTTCTTAGCATCTACAGTCCCATGAGCCAATTGCAGTTGTGTTTTTCTGGAGAACCCTGACTAATAGAAATTCTTCTGACAAACATTAAGAACTAACTGTTCAAGCATTAACTTCAATCATATCTACTGAGTGCATGCTATGTGTAGGATTTGTATTAGTATCTGAAGAAACAAGCAAGTAAAAGATACTCTTTCTGCTCTCAAAACTATAACAACATATACATAATATATAAGCAGCACTCAGTAGCATATGGTAAATGTCAAATAAGTAAAACCTGTAGTAAATACTATTAGACTGTTAAAGGAATGGTGCTTGCTTCATGGATAATGCGGCCATTCATCCCAGTCTAGCAGGGATGGTTGGTTTATGCGTCTCGTCTCAGCCCTATTATTTATAGCACCATTTCATTCTCAACAGTGTTCCAGTTAAACAATAAACTATAAGGTCACCTTACTCACAGATGGGGATAGAAGAAAAGGTTTCTTTAAAAGGTGAATTGTGGGCCATGTCTTAAAGGAAGTAACAGGCATGAATCACAGATCTGATATTTTGAAATGTGTCTTTTATCGTTTCCTTAAATTTGCAGTCATGAATTGCTTCAATCCTGCTGTCTGCCTTGCCTTCATTCTGGAGAGTCCTGTGAGAAAATAAGACATATTTTAGAAGAAGAGAACAGAATATTTCATTGATGTCTCAGCTGTCCTTCTCCAGAGGATGACAGTTCAAGTTCAGCATTGCTGTGCCAGTGTGTTGTGGTAGGGAGGCATGTGGTGTCATAAGCCCCTTTGTCATTATAGCTGATACTACAATTATTAGCTAGGAATTAATATTAACTGGAGTAAATTAGGTAAAAATGGCACATATTTAACTTTCATTCACTCAAAATAATTGCCCACTAAATTAAAATTGGCTCGCATTTGAGAAAATAATGTAAAAATGTCTTTAGTGGATGTATTTTAATGCTTATCAATACAGATGGAAAAGGAAAGCATTTGGAGAATGCTAATAAAACATTAAAGTAGGTTTTCCATGAAAATCATGTTCAATTTTTCAAAGCAATATAAAGATGCAACCCCTGGCAACTAATGCCACACCCCCTTCTAGAGCTGGCTTCTGCATGAGCATTCAATAAGATTAGAATTTTTAAAGCAAAAAATAAGAGTAGTAAAGGCATGTTTTTCATGCAAAAAGAGAAATGTAGTGTAGTCTTTAGGATTAAATTTATATGAATTCAAAATTTAGATTATATTATTTCACTATAAAAGGACCACACTATTTGCCAGATCAGTGGTGTCTATTTTAGAATGCGAACATTTTGAGAACAGTTGCCTTGATATATTCATCTTGGTCATATAAAATGGAGTACCTTGTATATAGTAAACACTTAAAAAGTACCTGTTGTATTAACTTGAAAAGATTATTTATTTTTGATGACTAAACTATAGACAAAAGTAGGTTTGAGTGGTGATCGATTTCTAAAATAAATTCCCAGGAATTTTCTGTGCATACACTTGACTTTTGGACATACATTTGAGCCATATACTTATACCTACTTATCATAGACTTACGATCACCAAATGCATACCCAGAAGCTAGTCTGGACACATTTAGTAGAATTAGTAAGGAGGGATTAATGGAGAGTAAGTCAGAGGAAACTTCTTAGTACTATACAGAGTTTTGCCTTTCAGATCCTCAGAAAATCCTGATATTAAGTTTTTCTATGAGGCCTAATAAAATGACAAAATTCCTGGATGTTGGCAAATTCTGCCTGCCTATTGATACACAGATAAGCAGTCTGTAGAGTACTTATTAACACTCTTAAGTCACACTGCATATTTTAGTAACAATGAGTGAAATGAGAGCCGAAAGTCCTATGTTATAGTCCCAGGTCTGCCAATGAGGTGCTGTGTGATCTTAGGCAAATCATTTAAGGTCTGTGAACAACAGTGTGCTCATCTGCATTGGTGAGGTTTAGGGTTTTTCTAATGATCTTCTTATCTAGCGTAGATTACATGAGTGCAGGAATTTCAGCAATCAGGAATTTCAGGACACAGTCACTGAATAACATGTCAGTAGACTGTGCAACATCTTTCAGTAATGTATAGTTGAGGAAAGTGAAACAAATAAGTACTTCACATAGTTAAATGAGAATTCGCATTTTAAATCTCTTGGAAAACATTGGAATATAATTTTCCTATTAATAGTTTCCTAGTTATTAATATTTGTTAATTAGAAGCCTGGAATATAAAAAAAAATCCGGCCAGAAGTAAATAAGTCTTAGATGAGGAAGTTAGAGGGTATCACAGTAGAGTGATTTGTTTTTCTATGTTGTGAGGATAAACTAATGATAATAATGGGTTATTATGAAAATCTTTTCCTATGATGAACCTGCATGTGGAATTATATAGTTTGGCAGTGTATCATGAAGAAATACAGCAGAGAATTGCCAAGCACTCACACCCTTTTGTGCTTTCATGGCACTTTCTGTGACAGTAACTCTTAGCCTTTTTGAGGATAACAAAACTCATTTGAGAATCTGATCGAAGTTACTGACCAGGGTGTTAATAAAATTTGTTACATTATGCTGTGCAAACTAAAACTCCCAGATTATTATTATTATTGCACTAACAGCACAAAAAGCATTTAGTTCTTTCTCAAATATCTTGAAGTCTTGCAGGTCAGTGGGATTATGCTCAATGCTGGTGACTGATGGTAAGTCTGCACCCACATGGCTTTCCATTTCAGGACCAAGAGTGAAGGATCTGCCCTTACTCTGAGTGCTACAGACTGAATGATTTTGTACCCCCCAGAATCATACAATTAAACCTAACCTGCAATGTGATAGTATTTGGAGGTGAAACCTTCAGGAGGTAATTAGATCATGAGGCTTGAAGTCTCTTGAATGTAGTAGTGAAAGGACTGATAAGGAGTGAAAAATTATTGAGCAGCAATTATGTCTTAACCTTAGAAAGTGAATTGTGACTATTTATTCACATTGTTTTTCTAAGTAAATATGAAAGGTGGCACACCAGTTATCAGGTTAGTTTGATCTGACAGAACTCAGATTATTCTCATTAATCCAAGAATTTGGATCAGGTCTCACTAGCTTCAAAGCTTGTAAAACTTAAGGAAAAAAAAACTCATATTATGCTCTTTGAAGAGAGTAATGGACTGATCCTATGCAGTTGAATAATCCTGTAGTTGAATAATTTGAGAGTTCAGCAGCCGTAATTCCTGTTAATAGCAGTCATAGCTAAAGTTAAAATTTCCAGAAGACCAAAGGACAACCGCTGCTAGGACGTACCAGATCATACTTCTAACATGGAGTAGAGTTTATAAACTAGGCTAACTATATTTTTTGAAGTTGTATCTAAACTATGTAGTGCAAATTTTTAAAATGACTATTTTGTGGATATAAGGGTCAAAATAGGCCTGACCTGTAGAAATTGTAAGAAGGCTGGGGCAGTGGCTCATGCCTGTAATCCTACCACTTTGGGATGCTGAGGCTGGTGGTCTGCCTGAGCTAAGGAGTTCGAGACAGGCCTGGGCAACACAGTGAAACCCTGTCTCTACTAAAATACAAAAAATTAGCCAGGCAAGATGGTGTGCACCTGTAATCGCAGCTACTTGGGAGGATGAGACAGGAGAATCACCTGAACCCGGGAGGCAGAGTTTGCAGTGAGCCGAGATTGTGCCATTGTACTCTAGTCTGGATGACGAGCAAAACTGTGTCAAAAAAAAAAAAGAAAAGAAAAGAAAAAGAAAAGGAAAAAAAAGAAATTAAAAGAAGAGCAGACTTTGGCTTAACTTCAGCATTTTCTAATTTATTAACTTAAGTATTGTATACCCTTGTTTATTAGAAAAGGTCTTACCATTTTCCAGGAAGCATTTTTTTTTAATTTTTTTATTTTATTATTATTATACTTTAAGTTTTAGGGTACATGTGCACAATGTGCAGGTTAGTTACATATGTATACATGTGCCATGCTGGTGTGCTGCACCCATTAACTCGTCATTTAGCATTAGGTATATCTCCTAATGCTATCCCTCCCCACTCCCCTCACCCCACAACAGTCCCCAGAGTGTGATGTTCCCCTTCCTGTGTCCTTGTGTTCTCATTGTTCAATTTCCATCTATGAATGAGAACATGCGGTGTTTGGCTTTTTGTCCTTGCGATAGTTTACTGAGAATGATGATTTCCAATTTCATCCATGTCTCTACAAAGGACATGAACTCATCATTTTTTATGGCTGCATAGTATTCCATGGTGTATATGTACCACATTTTCTTAATCCAGTCTATCATGGTTGGACATTTGGGTTGGTTCCAAGTCTTTGCTATTGTAAATAGTGCCACAATAAACATACGTGTGCATGTGTCTTTATAGTAGCATGATTTATAGTCCTTTGGGTATATACCCAGTAATGGGATGGCTGGGTCAAATGGTATTTCTAGTTCTAGATCCCTGAGGAATCGCCACACTGACTTCTACAATGGTTGAACTTGTTTACATTCCCACCAATGGTGTAAAGGTGTTCCTATTTCTCCACATCCTCTCCAGCACCTGTTGTTTCCTGACTTTTTAATGATTGCCATTCTAACTGGTGTGAGATGGTATCTCAATGTGGTTTTGATTTGCATTTCTCTGATGGCCAGTGATGGTGAGCATTTTTTCATGTGTTTTTTGGCTGCATAAATGTCTTCTTTTGAGAAGTGTCTGTTCATGTCCTTCTCCCACTTTTTGATGGGGTTGTTTGATTTTTCTTGTAAATTTGTTTGAGTTCATTTAAGATTCTGGATATTAGCCCTTTGTCAGATGAGTAGGTTGTGAAAATTTTCTCCCATTTTGTCGGTTGCCTGTTCACTCCGATGGTAGTTTCTTTTGCTGTGCAGAAGCTCTTTAGTTTAATTAGATCCCATTTCTCAATTTTGGCTTTTTGTTGCCCTTGCTTTTGGTGTTTTAGACATGAAGTCCTTGTCCATGCCTATGTCCTGAATGGTAATGCCTAGGTTTTCTTCTAGGGTTTTTATGGTTTTAGGTCTAACATTTAAGTCTTTAATCCATCTTGAATTAATTTTTGTATAAGGTGTAAGGAAGGGATCCAGTTTCAGCTTTCTACATATGGCTAGCCAGTTTTCCCAGCACTATTTATTAAATAGGGAATCCTTTCTCCATTGTTTGTTTTTCTCAGGTTTGTCAAAGATCAGATATTTGTAGATATGTGGCATTATTTCTGAGGGCTCTGTTCTGTTCCATTGATGTATATCTCTGTTTTGGTACCAGTACCATGCTGTTTTGGTTACTGTGGCCTTGTAGTATGGTTTGCAGTCAGGTAGCATGAGGCCTCCAGCTTTGTTCTTTTGGCTTAGGACTGACTTGGTGATGCAGGCTCTTTTTTTGTTCCATACGAACTTTAAAGTAGTTTTTTCCAATTCTGTGAAGAAAGTCATTGGTAGCTTGATGGGGACAGCATTGAATCTATAAATTACCATGGGTAGTATGGCCATTTTCATGATATTGATTCTTCCTACCCATGAGCATGGGATGTTCTTCCATTTCTTTGTATCCTCTTTTATTTCATTGAGCAGTGGTTTGTAGTTCTCCTTGAAGAGGTCCTTCACATCCCTTGTAAGTTGGATTCCTAGGTATTTTATTCTCCTTGAAGCAATTGTGAATGGGAGTTCACTCATGATTTGGCTCTCTGTTTGTCTGTTATTGGTGTATAAGAAGGCTTGTGATTTTTGTACATTGATTGTATATCCTGAAACTTTGCTGAAGTTGCGTATCAGCTTAAGGAGATTTTGGGCTGAGAGGATGGGGTTTTCTAGATATACAATCATGTCATCTGCAAACACAGACAATTTGACTTCCTCTTTGCCTAATTGAAGACCCTTTATTTCCTTCTCCTGCCTGAATGCCCTGGCCAGAACTTCCAACACTATGTTGAATAGGAGTGGTGAGAGAGGGCATCCCCGTCTTGTGCCAGTTTTCAAAAGGAATGCTTCCAGTTTTTGCCCATTCAGTATGATATTGGCTGTGGGTTTGTCATAGATAGCTCTTATTATTTTTAGATACATCCCATCAATACCTAATTTATTGAGAGTTTTTAATATGAAGCGTTTTTGAATTTTGTCAAAGGCCTTTTCTGCATCTATTGAGATAATCCTGTGGTTTTTGTCTTTGGTTCTGTTTATATGCTGGATTACATGTATTGATTTACATATATTGAACCAGCCTTGCATCCCAGGGATGAAGCCCACTTGATCATGGTGGATAAGCTTTTTGATGTGCTGCTGGATTCAGTTTGCCAGTATTTTATAGAGGATTTTTGCATCAATGTTAATCAAGGATATTGGTCTAAAATTCTTTTTTTTGGTTGTGTCTCTACCCGGCTTTGGTATCAGGATGATGCTGGCCTCATAAAATGAGTTACGGAGGATTCCCTCTTTTTCTATTGATTGGAATAGTTTCAGAAGGAATGGTACCATTTCCTCTTTGTACCTCTGGTAGAATTAGGCTGCAAATCCATCTGGTCCTGGACTCTTTTTGGTTGGTAAGCTATTGATTATTGCCACAATTTCAGAGCCTGTTATCAGTCTATTCAGAGATTCAACTTCTTCCTTGTTCAGACTTCGGAGGGTGTATGTGTAAAGGAATTTATCCATTTCTTCTAGATTTTCTAGTTTATTTGTGTAGAAGTGTTTGTGGTATTCTCTGATGGTTGTTTGTATTTCTGTGGGATCGGTGGTGATATCCCCTTAATCATTTTTTATTGCATCTATTTCATTCTTCTCTCTTTTCTTCTTTATTAGTCTTGCTGGTGGTCTATCAATTTTGTTGATCCTTTCAAAAAACCAGCTCCTGGATTCATTAATTTTTTGAAGGGTTTTTTGTGTCTCTATTTCCTTCAGTTCTGCTCTGATTTTAGTTATTTCTTGCATTCTGCTAGCTTTTGAATGTGTTTGCTCTTGCTTTTCTAGTTCTTTGAATTGTGATGTTAGGGTGTTAATTTTGAATCTTTCCTGCTTTCTCTTGTGGGCATTTAGTGCTACAAATTTCCCTCTACACGCTGCTTTGAATGTGTCCCAGAGATTCTGGTATGTTGTGTCTTTGTTCTCATTGGTTTCAAAGAACATCTTTATTTCTGCCTTCATTTCGTTATGTACCCAGTAGTCATTCAGGAGCAGGTTGCTCAGTTTCCACGTATTTGAGCGGTTTTTAGTGAGTTTCTGAATCCTGAGTTCCAGTTTGATTGCACTGTGGTCTGAGAGACAGTTTGTTATAATTTCCGTTCTTTTACATTTGCTGAGGAGAGCTTTACTTCCAACTCTGTGGTCAATTTTGGAATAGGTGTGGTGTGGTGCTGAAAAAAATGTATATTCTGTTGATTTGGGGTGGAGAGTTCTATAGATGTCTATTAGGTCCACTTGGTGCAGAGCTGAGTTCAATTCCTGGGTATCCTTGTTAACTTTCTGTCTCACTGATCTGTCTAATGTTGACAGTGGGGTGTTAAAGTCTCCCATTATTATTGTGTGGGAGTCTAAGGCTCTTTGTAGGTCACTCAGGACTTGATTTATGAATCTGGGTGCTCCTGTATTGGGTGCATATATATTTAGGATAGTTAGCTCTTCTTGTTGAATTGATCCCTTTACCATTATGTAATGGCCTTCTTTGTCTCTTTTGATCTTTGTTGGTTTAAAGTCTGTTTTATCAGAGACTAGGATTGCAACCCCTGCCTTTTTTTGTTTTCCATTTGCTTGGTAGATCTTCCTCCATCCTTTTATTTTGAGCCTATGTGTGTCTCTGCACGTGAGATGGGTTTCCTGAATACAGCACACTGATGGGTCTTGACTCTTTATCCAATTTGCCAGTCTGTGTCTTTTAACTGGAGCATTTAGTCCATTTACATTTAAAGTTAATATTGTTATGTGTAAATTTGATCCTGTCATTATGATGTTAGATGGTTATTTTGCTCATTAGTTCATGCAGTTTCTTCCTAGCCTTGATGGTCTTTACAATTTGGCATGATTTTGCAGTGGCTGGTACCAGTTGTTCCTTTCCATGTTTAGTGCTTCCTTCAGGAGCTCTTTTAAGGCAGGCCTGGTGGTGACAAAATCTCTCAGCATTTGCTTGTCTGTAAAGTATTTTATTTCTCCTTCACTTATGAAGCTTAGTTTGGCTGGATATGAAATTCTGGGTTGAAAATTCTTTTCTTTAAAAATGTTGAATATTGGCCCCCACTCTCTTCTGGCTTATAGAGTTTCTGCCGAGAGATCCGCTGTTAGTCTGATGGGCTTCCCTTTGTGGGTAACCCGACCTTTCTCTCTGGCTGCCCTTACCATTTTTTCCTTCATTTCAACTTTGGTGAATCTGATAATACGTGTCTTGGAGTTGCTCTTCTCGAGGAGTATCTTTGTGGCGTTCTCTGTATTTCCTGAATCTGAATGTTGGCCTGCCTTGCTAGATTGGGGAATTTCTTCTGGATAATATCCTGCAGAGTGTTTTCCAACTTGGTTCCATTCTCCCCGTCACTTTCAGGTACACCAATCAAACATAGATTTGGTGTTTTCACACAGTCCCATATTTCTTGGAGGCTTTGTTCGTTTCTTTTTATTCTTTTTTCTCTAAACTTCCCTTCTTGCTTCATTTCATTCATTTCATCTTCCATTGCTGATACCCTTTCTTCCAGTTGATCGCATCGGCTCCTGGGGCTTCTGCATTCTTCATGTAGTTCTCGAGCCTTGGCTTTCAGCTCCATCAGCTCCTTTAAGCACTTCTCTGTATTGGTTATTCTAGTTATACATTTGTCTAAATTTTTTTCAAAGTTTTTAACTTCTTTGCCTTTGGTTTGAATTTCCTCCTGTAGCTCGGGGTAGTTTGATCATCTGAAGCCTTCTTCTCTCAACTCGTTAAAGTCATTCTCTGTCCAGCTTTGTTCCGTTGCTGGTGAGGAACTGCGTTCCTTTGGAGGAGGAGAGGTGCTCTGCTTTTTAGAGTTTCCAGTTTTTCTGCTCTGTTTTTTCCCCATCTTTGTGGTTTTATCTACTTTTGGTCTTTGATGATGGTGATGTACAGATGGGTTTTTGATGTGGATGTCCTTTCTGTTTGTTAGTTTTCCTTCTAACAGAAAGGACCCTCAGCTGCAGTTCTGTTGGAGTTTGCTAGAGGTCCACTCCAGACCCCGTTTGCCTGGGTATCAGCAGCAGTGGCTGCAGAACAGCGGATTTTCGTGAACTGCGAATGCTACTTTCTGATCGTTCCTCTGGAAGTTTTGTCTCAGAGGAGTACCCGGCCGTGTGAGGTGTCAGTCTGCCCCTACTGGGGGGTGCCTCCCAGTTAGTCTGCTTGTGGGTCAGGGGTCAGGGACCCACTTGAGGATGCAGTCTGCCCATTCTCAGATCTCCAGCTGCGTGCTGGGAGAACCACTGCTCTCTTCAAAGCTGTCAGACAGGGACACTTAAGTCTGCAGAGGTTACTGCTGTCTTTTTATTTGTATGTTCCCTGCCCCCAGAGGTGGAGCGTACAGAGGCAGGCAGGCCTCCTTGAGCTGTGGTGGGCTCCACCCAGTTTGAGCTTCCTGGCTGCTGTTTACCTAAGCAAGCCTGGGCAATGGCGGGCGCCCCTCCCCCAGCCTCGCTGCTGCCTTGCAGTTTGATCTGAGACTGCTGTGCTAGCAATCAGCGAGACTCCATGGGCATAGGACCCTCATGTGTGGGATATAATCTCCTGGTGCGCCGTTTTTTAAGCCCATTGGAAAAGCGCAGTATTAGGGTGGGAGTGACCCGAATTTCCAGGTGCCGTCTGTCACCCCTTTGTTTGACTAGGAAAGGGAACTCCCTGACCCCTTGTGCTTCCCAAGTGAGGCAATGCCTCACCCTGCTTTGGCTCGTGCATGGTGCGCTGCACCCGCTGTCCTGCGCCCACTGTCTGGCACTCCCTAGTGAGATGAACCCGGTACCTCAGATGGAAATGCAGAAATCACCCATCTTCTGCATTGCTCACGCTGGGAGCTGTAGACTGGAGCTGTTCCTATTCGGCCATCTTGGCTGCCAGCTGCATTTTTTTATTAACCAGGTTGGGGCCAAGTGTGATGACTTCTTAAACCAGTTTTACTACTGAAACTATATGTCTCATAATTCCTTCCTTCCTTCCTTTCTTCTGTCCTTCCTTTTTCTCTTCCTCTTCCTTTCCTTTTCTCTCTCGTCCTTTTCCCTGCCCTTCCTTTCTTTTTCTCTCCCCTTCCTCCCTTCTCTTCTTCTTCCCCCTTCCCCTCTTCTCACTCTCTCTTTCTTTTATTTGACTCTCTAAAAAATGAAAGCATATTTTTTCACCTCACTGAATACGTCTGTTGTTTTGGTATAACTTAATCAGATTGTTAAGGATATGATCTTCAAGTACTCTTGTTTAAATAATTTCTTGTATACTACCAAGGGATATTTTCTTTTTCTTTTTTTTTTTTTTTTTTTTTGAGATGGAGTCTCACTCTGTCGCCCAGGCTGGAGTACAGTGGTGCGATCTCAGCTCACTGCAAGCTCCACCTCCCAGGTTCACGCCATTCTCCTGCCTCAGCCTCCCGAGTAGCTGAGACTACAGGTACCCACCACCAGGCCTAGCTAATTTTTTGTATTTTTTTTTTTTTTTTTAGTAGAGATGGGGTTTCACCATGCTAGCCAGGATGGTCTCTATCTCCTGACCTTGTGATCCGTCTGCATTGGCCTCCCAAAGTGCTGGAATTACAGGTGTGAGCCACTGTGCCTGGCCGGGATATTTTTTCTTAGCTAATTATTTTTAGAAGTCCATTTTACATTTTCAGTTTCTTATAGATTTAATACTAATTGTATACCTTAGTCCATTTTACATTTTCAGTTTCTTATAGATTTAATATTAATTGTATACCTTAATCATTTGATTATAAAAACTTCTATTGAAGTTTTTTAAATGAATAAATATGAATAATGAGAGAATTTCCAAATCTTATTGATTTGGCAATATCACATGGGTCTTCACTTGAAGCCTAAAGTGACACAATGCTTTAGCAATGCATAGTGTTAAATTGAATCATACTGTTGTCCAGTGGACTTGATAACATGATTGATTTCTGTAATTTAACCACATCTAGTCAAAAGTAAGTTGCTTTATGCTAACTACATGGATCACCATTTTCAGATAATTAGAAATCAATGACCTCTACTTAATACTAAAGGATTCTTAATGTCTTTGATGTTAAAAGACAATTAAGGACCTTAAAATTAGTACTACAAGGTCCTATATAGGTTCTATAAAAACACATTCTTCTTCTTTTTTTATTATTACTTTTTTTTTAAGTTCTTGGGTACATGTGTAGGATGTGCAGGTTTGTTACATAGGTAAACATGTGCCATGGTGGTTTGCTGCACCTGTCAACCTATCACCTAGGTATTAAGCCCAGCATGCATTAGCTATTTTCCCTATTACTCTCCCCCTCCATCCTCCTTCAACAGGCACCTGTGTGTGTTGTTCCCCTCCCTGTGACCATTTCTAGTTGCTTATATTCTTAACGAATGAGTTTCTATACTTTAGTAATGTGGACATGTTTTGTTTTAGTCTTTGTTTCCAATTTTTATATGTCCTACATTTTCAGCTTTACCAAGATTTTGATGCAAACATGGATTCCTTTTCAAATTCTAAATATTTTCCATTTTTTCCACTTGCTATAAAATGTTGCAAGTATAAATTAATACATGGGCAGGCAGGTGAATGAATGATTTCAGCGGTAACACAATAGACAGTGGTGTGGGCTATGGTGGGATGGGAGCATGCCTGTCCCACCTAAACAGGCCAGTGACTGCTTAGTTTCATCTGCCTGTCACCATGTAGGCAAGTGGGCCCTTGTTGTCAGATAATCACTTTTTCAAAAGAAGACAGAAATGTGGAATTCTATGTGACATCTTCAAATAATAAATATCATCCATTAACATTTCTCTCTTCTTATCTTAGCCATACAAGCCATAGGAAATACATTTAAGGCAAAATCCAACTGGCAGTTTCAGACACTTTTTTTATATGTATATTAATATTTACTTGTCCAAAGTTCTAATTTCAGGATTTCTTTTTTGATGACGTTTAGGTAATGAGATGAACCAGGTAATCATGGCTATCATAACCTCAATTAATCACTGCATATTCAGCCCAGTGAAAATAAAAGCATATTCAATTAGTCTTTGAACATAGATGCTCTGTAGTTTGAATAATGATAATGCTACTTGGGAATTTTTCAAACCAAATTAGTCATGTCATATTGTTAGATATTTGCCAGTTTCCAAGAATTAGTGCAAATCAGTTCCTCATTTTGATTATGTTTAATGTTTTCTATGTTTAAAAGATAGTACTGAAACTATAGTTTCAAGAATTTTGATGATAAGGTTGAATTTTGACATTACCCCTGTGCCTCCTCTAAGTGATTTGTCATTACTGAATATATACAACATAGCATAAGATTAAAATACATTGGCTGGGCATGGTGGCTTATGCCCATAATACCTTCACTTTGGGAGAGCAAGGCAGGTGGATCACTTGAGGCCCAAAGTTCAAGACCAGCCTGGCCAACATGGTGAAACCCTGTCTCTATTAAAAATACAAAAACTAGCTGTGTGTGGTGGCACACACCTGCAGTCCCCACTCCTTGGGAGGCTGAGGCATGAGAATCAATTAAACCTGGGAGGCGGAGGTTGCAGTGAACCAAGATCCCACAACTGCACTCCAGCCTGGGCAACAGAATGAGACTCTGTCAAAAAATAAAAATAAAAGAAAGATTAAAGTACATTAAAAATAAAAATTTTGAATTTCATTGGAGGACCAGGTTCTTGAATAAATCCTCTACTAAAAATAATTTAAATGCTAGATAAAATTTGAAATTTAAAAATTTATTACTTTTTTATTTTAATGCATCCATGAGTTGTCAAAATTCAAAGAATGCACAGGACAGGGAACTTTGGGTTCCAAAGAGATCATGTAAACAGACTAATATTGAAATAATATTAAAATAATTTTTTAAATGTCTGAAATTGATTGTTCCCTTTCTTGGCTTATAATACTTAATAGGGAGTGACTTAGAGCCTTTGTCTTCTCTTGTCTTAAAAAGGATGCAATAATAAATATTTCTGAATGTGCATTTGCATTAAAGTGTATAGTTTAAACAGCCCCTGGCTTAATTACAGAGTGTGTAAATTAGTAAGGAGGGTTAGTCAATATCTCATATCTGTATTCATGTTTCATATTTAACCATAGATTTGAATTGCAGTATAGAGTTTTTGTTGAAGAGATAAATTACTTTACACAGAACTCTGAATATCCTTAAGAAATTTTAAAATGAGAAGGTACAAATTTAAAAACCAGATGAGAATATTATTAAGTTTTCAGAAAACTGCTTTCTTTTATAAAGTGGATGACTATGCACATTTCGTTATAAATAGCTTTCTCTATTGGAGTTGAACATTTATCTAAAGATGCTGGATTAGTGGACAGCAAGGAAGAGGACAGAAAATCTTAAAGTGTTAGTAGTCACAGGAAAGCCAATCAATAGATATTTATTGAATATTCACTTCCATAAAACACAATGTAAATATAGAAAAAGAGCTAAACACTTGTTCTCAAGAGAATTATCATATAGTTGGGTAATAAATAACTTCAAGAAAGTTAAATATAACAACATAAGAAATTCAGAAATAAGTAATATGAGTAAATAGAAGTGATAGATGTTGTTGCGAAGGACTTTGAACATATGATGACAGAATAAAGAATTAAGCTCAGCAGATTTTATAGACTGAATTTTGTACCCCCCAATTTCATATGTTAAAGTTCTAACCGCCAGTACGTCAGAATGTGATTATATTTGGAGAGAGGACCTTTAAAGAGGTAATTGTAGTAAAATGAGGTAACCTGTGTGGGCCCTAATCCAATATGACTGGTGTCTTATAAAAAGAAAAGATTAGAATAGGGACACACACAGAGGACAGATCATGTAAAGACATCAGAAAAAGACAGCTATCTACAAGCCCAGGAGAGAGGCCTCAGGCAAAACCAAACCTGCTGTCACCTTGATTTTCAACATCCAGCCTCCAGAACTGTGAGAAAATAAATTTCTGTTGTTTAAGCACCCAGCCTGTGGTACCTTTTCATTGAAGCCCTGGCAAACTCATACAACAGGCAGGCAACTGGAAACACAGGCAAAGAGGCCTGACGTGAGTGGTTTGCTAACTACTAAGAGATAATTGCCTCTTAGTGGAGGTAAAGAGAACTTTATGGAGGTGATGAAGTGGGAAAAAAAGAAAGTATAGGTTTATTATATTTACATCAATTTAAGAGAGCATCTTATGTGAAAACAGGAGGCTAAATTGCATTAAAATTTGTACTATTAATGTACTGAATAATATAATTTGATTCAATTCATATTTATTAAATGGAATGCTTTGCTCATTTATTTTCATTTTGCTTTGTGCTATAAACACATTAAAGCATTTTTTTAAAATCCAGCTTTAGTTGAATTTCCTACATTTTAAAATATGCATAATATTTGGTGTTATTTTATAATTCAAATTTTCACATGTTCTTTAAATTAAAATAAGTCAAAAATTTAAAGACATTAAGTGAACGAAAGTTGTTGATGGTGCTACAAAAGTGAAATGGGCTTTGCTTGAAATTATTTTGGAGACATAGGATAGGATTGTTATCTTGAACATCTCTCTCCAAATTTAATATCCTGAAGTCAGATAAAATATTATTAGCAAGAAACCTTATACATTGAAAGATAAAAAGAATAAATGGTTACGTACTCCTATTTTACCATTATTTAAGTTGTAATTCTGAGATTTGATTAGGCATTACTTTTCTACTCTGCAGGCATTACTGAAAAAAAAGCTCTTTTCTTGATTCATTAATACTTTAGGCTACTTGATTATTGAAAGCCTTGTCCTTGAGACAAATTATTATACCTCTTAACAAAATACAATATTCTACTTTATTTATTTATTGTTTTGAAATGGCCCAACTTATGACAATACCAGAGAATTATGCATTAAATGGTATCTAAGATATCTGTCCTTCCCATATACAAATCTTTTCAGCTGTCTAACTGACAAGTAATTATCCAAACTCCAGTAGAAAATCTGCAAAGATGGATTTTTCACTAAGCTACAATATAGCCTTTTGAAGGTTTTCTAAATCCTGAAGTTTGTGTCACCAACATATGATGAGCTGGTCATGAAATATACCATGACTTAGTCATTCTTTTATCTCCAAAATCTCTTCCTGGGCCATACAGGAACTTAATATTAATGTGTGCAAATAAATTGAATTGATTGGTATTGACCTGACCTGAGATTACTCATCCACACTTTAGTGAGGTTTTCTTTCACCCTGGACAAAGTCGAACATCTCTGTTTTCTGCAAGAACTCCAGGAATGTGTGAAAGGACTAGAGTTTCTGCTCTATTCTTAAATGACCTTGGGATGCTAGCCTATTCTTACGTAACACCAAGTTAGAACATTTACTGATCCAGTTTTAATGCCAGTGTTAAAGGTATTCGGAGTGAGTCCTGACATATTGCTTTGTTTTGGTCATTTTAGCCCATATTTGGGTGCATTCCATGTTTTCCAGTCCCTTGTGGTTTGTGTTCCTTCATTCTCTTGGAGGTAGAGCAGACGTTTTAAAGGAACGATGTGGTATGTGGCAGGAGGCTTACAAATAGATAGTAGGCCATACTCTAGGAGAACAATTAATGGAAATATTTCCACTTATTTTAATCATCGGTCTAACAGTTCATGTGCCAATGAAATAAAGTATTTTCCTTGAAAAAGAGAAATACTTTTCCAAGTCATGTTGCATCCTGAGAGACCCCTGGTTCCAATCCTTCTACACTCTCTGAGAAAAGAAAATAACTGGGTAGTAAGAACATTTCATATAAAGCCTTTGAAGAAAATTCCTAATAGATTGAACCTCTGTAACTGGGCCAAATGAATGAAGTACTAGTAACCTGATATCCAAATTGAAACACTCGTGAATCAATAGTTAGGGGAAGTATTTAGGTCAAAGAGTGAAAAGGATGGCCACATACAATTTTCAATACAAAAAAGGGGAATTATGATTAGGCATATATTTGTTCCAGTGTTAGAGATGTTAGTCAAACAGCTCTGGAAATAATGCTATACAGAAAAATGTGTACTAGATGGCAGTCTAAGTACCCTTTTCATTTACATCTCAGTCTGATTTTTGGATTCTGATCCAAATGAGTAAGGGAGAAAAAAACATATTTTTAATTATTTTGCCAAATAAATGCTTTTATTATTACACAGTAGCATAGTGTACACGCAATTAAACAGATGAGTTGTGATTGAAGTTTAAAATGTCATAATGCATCTTTTACTGGTACATCATGAATAATTATAACTGCATCTAAGTAAGTGCAAAAATACCCTCTGAGACACCTTGACACAAGTTAAAATTGTGTTTGTTAGATATTTAGCATCCTGTCATTTAAACAATTCATCATTGCTTATCCTCACTGTCTTGTTTTAAATAAAACAATAATAAACAAAAATTAGGAGCAAAACAGATAAATATTTTATAATATTTCAGGGACCTCAAGACTCTTAAGGATGCAGGGCAATTAAATTGCAGCCACATCTGATACTAGTGAGTGTTTTAGTTATATGTATGGATTTTTGCTATCCGTACAGCTACAAAACCTTATTTTTATTCTTATAATCTGATGTTTATTCTCATTCTGCTATTTCAAATTGATGCAGAATTTTTCATTCTTATTTTCTTTATATACTTCCCAGGTTTCATTTTGTTTTTTTTCCTGAATGTCATACAGGACTAAAATATATCTAAATAAAAAGCCAAAGTCACACCGTTGGAATTACTTTGCTTTCACTGTGTTTGATCATGATCTTGACTTTTTTATTATTTTTACAGAAGGTGCTGGAATCATTTTTTCATATGTAATCAATGCTGGCTATTTAAATCTAATTTGCATACTTGTTTTAGAGATGTTTGGAAAGCCACAGACAGCCCTCTTGTCCCATTTGCATAAAAGCCCCAGAGCGCCAAGCTGCTAGGCAGTTAGGATACTGGAATCCAAATTGTTCAAGCTATTGAAGAAGCTGAGGACTTTAGGGGGAATGCCATACTTTTAAGCCTGGATCTGAGAAGGTAATAACAATAATAGCCAACACTTCTTTTGAACTTACTAAATGCCAAGTACCACAATAAGCTCATTACATGGATTATTTCAGTTAACATTTAATCTGTTGAGGTAAGTAGTACTATTAATCTCACTTTATAAATCAATAAACTAAGACTCAGCTTAAGTAACTGTCTAAAGTCAGAAAGACAGTAAGTTCTGGAGGCAAAGTTTGAATCTAGACAGTCTAGCTGCAGACTCTAAACCATTCCCAAGATTTTTAACCACAAAGCTATACTACCATCGTACAAATTACAGGATGCAAAGCACTGTAAGATTCTAGGTAGAGATATACTTGAAATTAATTTAAACAGCAACATTATGGTTCCTGATAGTCCATTCTCAAATAGGGCTCAAAGATTTATATGAATTGAGGGCAGAATACCTAAATCCCAGAGACTGGTGCTACCAGGAATTAGGCAAGATGACTGACCGACAAGGTGACAACTTTCAGCAGGACACACAACTGACTATCATGAATTGAGAGAGTGATCCATGAATAAATATATACAGCTACCAGACCTACTGATCATATAATAGTTGTACAACAAATGGCTAATTAAAATACCACATAGCTATCTGAAATGCAGGTTTGCATATATTCTGCATGAAAAAAAAAAGAGAAATTGTTCCAAAATTTTGTTAGAAGCAGCGGAACCACAATCCTGTGCCACATTTCCCACTTCACAGAGGCAACCACCTGCACAATTCTTACTCTTTTAGTATTTCTCTTTATCTATTTACCACTGTTTAGTTTTAGCATTATTATTTAATTTCCCAGTCTTTTTCATGTATAGCCCCATCATACCCTCCCCAGCCCCGCTTTTCTATCTCCCGATCTTGCAATTTTCCTTATACCGTAAACTTGGTGAGATTAATATTTGCATTATTATAACTATCATGATTATGTGACTGACTCCCAGCTGAGCCTTGTGATATGCCATGATTACTTTTTATTCCTGTGCATTGTTTTTTTTTTTCTTAGACTTAATAATACCTTTTAAAATGATTAGGAGGCATAGGCAGGTGGATGACTTGAGGCCAGGAGTTCAAGATCAGTCTGGACAACATGGTGAAACCCCATCTCTACTAAAAAAAAAAAAAAAATTAGCTAGGTGTGGTGGCAGGCACCTGCAATCCCAGCTACTCCGGAGGCTGAGGCGAGAGAATCGCTTGAACTCAGGAGGTGGAGGTTGCAGTGAGCTGAGATTGCACCACTGCTCTCCAGCCTGGGCAACAAAGCAAGACTCTGTCTCAAAAAAAAAAAAAAAAAAGTTTAGTGAGCACTTCTCACTAATTAATTTATCCCTAATTTGTCCCCAAATTTTGTAATCTCCTCTCATTTTATTCAGTCACATCAGTTATTCTATCAATTTCTTATTTTCGAAAAGTTTTGTAAAAGTAGTTTCTTGTTCCAATGCAGACTGTTTCTCTGATGGTTTTTAAATTGATTCCTCCACACATCATCACACTAATAATTCTCTTCATCTCTCCTAATTTAGATTTCTAGTTTCCTGGCTTCCATGATTTCCATATTTCAGTTTTCCTTCCTGATGTTGCTGGATAAAATTCCCAGGAGCTTTCTAAGCATCAGTGGAGTACATTTGTTGACAGCATGCATGTCTGAAAATATGTTTTATTTGTTTTATTTTCTCCTTACATTATTGTTTGACTTCCTATGGAGTTCTAAGTGGGAAAGCATCTTCCTCTTAGAATTTTTAAGACTTGGCTGGGGATGGTGGCTCACACCTATAATCTCAGTACTTTGGGAGGCCAAGGTGGGTGCATCATTTGAGATCAGGAGTTTGAGACCAGCCTGGCCAACATGGTGAAACCCTGCCTGTGCTAAAAATAAAAAAAATTAGCCAGGTGTGGTCGTGGACGCCTGTAATTCCAGCTACTCAGGAGGTTGAGGTAGGAGAATTGCTTGAACCGGGGAGGCAGAGGTTGCAGTGAGCTGAGATCTTTTCACTGCACTCCAGCCTGGGCAACAGAGCGAGACTCAGTGTCAACAACAACAACAACCAACAAAGGTTTTTAAAGACTTTTATTCACTGTTTCCTCGCTTTCAGTATTATTGAGAAGTCTGATGTCTTCATATGAAGCCTCTACTACCCAACCCCTGCCTTGGAATTTCATGGGAACTTTGCTTCATTCTGTTTTCTAAAATTTCATAATGGTTTAGATTGCTGAAAAGGGCCATTGCATTGCAATAAGCCAGGGCAACATCAAAGAAGGCACCAAGAGGTTAATTCATATTGTAATTTACAATGTTGCTCCTAAAGTTGGGCAGTTTATAGCTGGTATGGTTATATGATAAAAACCTATTGTGTAGGATTATTTTCATCAATTACCCTGGATACTCAAGTGAATATTTCAGTGTGGAAAATTGTGGCTCTTACTTCTGGAACATTTTCTTTAATTATTCTTTTCTTCCTCTCCATTCCTCTATTGTCTCTTCTTGAAACACCTATTATTTATATGTTAAGAGGCCTACCTTGGTCCTCTGAGATGCTTAATTTTTTCTTTTCTATTTTTTACTTTCATTGTTTTACCTTCTCAACTTTTGTCTTCCATTCTTCCTACTGAAATTTTCATTTCTAATATCATATTTCTAATTCTCAAAGACTCATTTTTTTGCTTCATGTTTCTTTTTTCCAGCATATTCTTATTTATTTGAAAATATTAAGGTTTTGTGTGTATGTGTGTGTTTCCTTCATTACCTTTAGAACTATTCTCTTGGGCTGGCCAGACTCCCCAAAAACTCTTTCAGTTTGGCTACAGGACATAATTATGGCTTCTAGTTCTCAAATCCTAGTGGAGTGACACAAATAGTATCTAAATTTCCTCCCAATTTCCTTGTTTTTAATATAGCATTCTGGTTACCAACTCTGATCAGGTATATTCTAATTTGCCCTCTCCTTTTGATAAACTACCATTCATCTGCCTGATTGGTATATCAGTGAAAGGCTTAGGGTGGAGGGAAATAGCAGAGCCTTAGGTATGTGGAGGAGGCGAGGTACTCAGGAGATCTAAATAAGCTTTCAACTGATTTTAACACTACCTTTATTCCAACTTCCGTAAGTACCCAACATTACCAATTCCTAAGTCATTTGTTTTTTTTGGTATGTATAAAGGCATTTGGAAAATTCTGAGGTTTCTTCATTGTTACATTAGGACTCAGTTGTCTTGAATCTGTTAAATCAATTACTATTAATACTTTCCGTTGCATTTCAGTTTCCACCATGTTTTTCTCTTTATTCTTTGGGTTTATTTCTCTTTTGAAAAATTACTTTTTTTAGTGGGATTTCAGAAAGGAGTGGTGGCTACTACTCGTTTTAAATTTTTCATCTTTAGCAGGCATGACATTGTTCTATTTTCTAAAACACATTTTACCTGAATAACAATTAAAGATAAGTTGTGCCAATGTATCTTATTTTTCCTTTAATAATTTTGAATGTATTTTGTATTTGTTAAAACTACATAAAAGTATTATAAGCATTTACCCTCATAAATTATTTTGATATATTTATCATAACTAGTGTTTTCCTCTTAATATAGATTCCATGTCTCTCTTGACATTTTCCATTTCTTCATGCATGTTGTACACTTTTTTCACTAGCACTTTTAGATTTTTATCGTATTTCATTAAAGTCCATCTGAGCCATGTCTGTCTTCTTTCATTGACTGACGCCTCTCTTGCTCATGAATCACATTTTCTTGCTTTTTTTGTTGTTGTCATTTCTTGCTTAATTTTCTTTTTCTAAAGATAAAATGTACATAAATATCTTCTTGCCTATTAAGAGTTTGGCACTTTCTGGAGTTTATTTTAGGGTCTCTATGTCATCAGCTCTTTAGTTAATTTTTTAAATCAATTATTTTGTAGCAATCATTTCTTGAAAATTTTTACATCCAGATAGGGGCATGCAACTTGTAAATTATTCTGAAAAGTATATTTTATGTAAAACGTGTATTACCTACAAATATGTTAATGTACTTTTTACACTGAAAGATGGTGATGCCTACAGGCTTTGTAACTTTGGGGAGTTACAAAGTGGCATAGGATGAAATGGACAAATAGATCAATGTTAGATTAGCAAACTCTCACAGTAACAACGTGGACGGCCACAGCAATCTGAAAGAACAGCATTATACTGGAAGTATAGATTGTAAAACAGTTCAACTGAAAGGATTTGGCACTGGAGACACAAGCAGTTTGTGCTTCTATTCATAGGAGTTCATATTTATAAAGGTTTGCTTCAGGTTTGCAATAATAAAAACAACATTTGGAGCTCTTGATTTCATACAGTTCATAAGTATCAGAGAAGAACTGTTGTTGATTTTGAGTCATATAGGAAAAATAATTTGAAGGTGAAAAAAATCCTATGAATAAATATTTATTTTGAAAAACATTATTAATATTTAAAAAACTGAGTCAGAAAGCCATTACAGGATTTATGAATGTTTATATAGTTCTTTGATCACACCCCAAATAATAGCCTTCTAAGCTCTTTCCAAATGCATCAGAAATATATGTGAAATTGGAATTAAAATAAGATAACTTAACATAATTACATACTTTAGCTAGTTCAGTGAGCAGAAATTGTTGGCACCATCTTGCCAGATTTTCCAAACTGAAGCTGCCATGTTTTGTATTATGAGCAGTTCAGCAGTTTTGTGCATCTGTCCCTCCCCTCCAATTTAATTAGACTGTCTGTTGCAGACAAATCAGACTGTGGCTTTTTTTTTTTTTTTTTTTACCCAACTGCTATAAATGCCAAGTCAAAATATGAATAAGATGAAAACAAGATGTTCTGCAAACACATACCACTTTATTGGGCAAAAACATGATAGGTGGATCTACTCTCACTCTCCATCAGAGATGAGACAAGTGAGGGCTGGACAATGAGGTTATAAAAGGGTCAGATTGATGCTATTGTCTTTCTCGGCTCCAATAGAGCAGGGACTTGATTCTTCCCCCAGTGTAATCTTGCTTTGACACTGCAGCCAACACAGATTTATGATTACACGTTCTCCTGTTGCAAAGAGAGTGAGAATCACAGCAGAGGAAACACAAGAGACAAGTAAGCTAGAGATTCTTGGAGAAATTTATAGTCTTATATGCTTTGCATTCCTGTGGCTAGTTTGAACCATTATGCCCTAGTAGGTCACTGTAATGTCACATTTTAGCCGTTTTAATAATCTGTAATAAGGTTGAAAAATTGTTACTCTTACAAAATGAAAATGTTATCTACAGGTAGCAATTAGTTACATTCCATGGAGGATAATAGCTGAGTTTTGGAATGCCTTTGGAATACCTTTCTCTAGCTTATTGCCTGAGTTAAGCAGTGATCCATAGAAAAAACTGGGTCTTAAAGTTAAGATGTCACAAGCAGCAGTAATGCAAAGGTAGAGCAATAAAGTAGAAAAGCTTTCAATGGGTAAGTAAAAAGTGGTGAAATATATCAGTAGGTAGGTGATTGGGAGCAGGGGCCAGGACACAGCTGTGAGCTGGGATAAATGAGGTCAGGCTGATGAAGTCCAAGGATGCAGAATGTCCTGGAATGCAAAAGGGTCATTACTAGAGGACAGTTGCATGAGAGAGGTGAATACAGTTCTTTGTACATAGTCTTGAAAAAGATTCACATTTCCAGTGGATTCTATTAAAAAGTCCTGTAAAACTGGGTCTTCCTTTTTGAGAATCTGACGCTATAGTTGGCTATTAAATTATACCACTGCTCTCTTGAAATTATTTTTTCTAATAATTGTAATGAATGGCATGAAACTATCCAGACTTTTCTTATTCCATTTCCATGGACATGTTTGTAAAACGTTTATTGAAATAGAGGTTTGAGTTTACATTCATGGAAAAAAACTGTAGATAATTTGTTCATCCTTAAATTTATTACATCTTAGTTTGACTTTATCATATGTATGATGTGCTAAACGATGAACTCTTTGTATCTGAAATATGCCTCCTCAGTATTTCTTCTTGTAAACTTCTTCTAATCACTGAAGAATACAGTACTTCTCTTATGAGCTTTCCCAATTCTCAAAGAATCAGTTACTCCACAGCAACTTTCACACATAATTCTATTGTAGTCACTATTATTACCAAGAGATTTCTCCTCCATTCACATTAAGTCATGGTGCCCGTATGGTTCTGAGTTAATGTGAAGATAAATATCTGAATGGCCAGTGGCATCCTGAGGAAAATCACACACCCCAAGGTGAATGTGCAAGAGTACATATTTTATCCACTTATATAAATAGTGCTTTGAGAAAATATCTTCTACACCAACTTCCCATCTTGTCCCTCCTTCAATCATCTTAACAGACCCTTTGGACAAGTGTCAAAAATGGTAAAAGAAAGAGCCTTTTAACATTCCTCTTTCGGAATTCCATCTTATTTTCTAAGTTTATTCTATAGGATTTTGCCTTCTTATTACAGGCAACATTTAGACATATACACTATACATGTTTCCAGCAGATCGGATCCTCCCAAGATCTTGGAACAAAGTGTCAAATTAAATCCACTTGTGTCCATCATGCACACATAAAAACATGAGCATGTACTTATATAAATTTTCATAGCCAGTTAGGGAAAGGTAAAACTTTTCAACTTGAACAAATAATTATACGCAGCAAATTTGAATCATCAAGGAAGCTATCAAAATTATCTGGGTCAAAAGAGAATGCAGAGTGCCACCAATGGTCTCACTTTCAGATAAGGAAATGAAAATGTGAAAATGTATGAGAAGTTCTCTATTCAAAATGATTCTCAGCTGGAAGACGGAAGAAACCAAAGTAAGTTAGTCTGAGTATCTTCCCTTTCAGATTTGCCCTGCAATTAACTTTAGTGTATTGAAATTGCAGGCATTTGTACTGTGAATATAATAATTATTTACTAAATTTCTATGGAATGAAAGAATTGATAAATCTGAATTGCATGGACAATTAGGAAGCTTATGACATACAGCAGGTCCTTGAATTTGCATGTTCTCCCTATCTCCACATGGGTTTCCTCTGTGTACTCCAGTTTCCTTCCACATACCAAAGCTGTGCATGTCCAGTGAGGTTCATTACAGTATCTAAATGGTCCCAGTGAAGTGAATGTGGCTCTGTGTGTGGAGTGCACCCTGCAATGGAATGATATTCTGTTTAGGGTTGGTTCCCACGTTGCAACCCTGAGCTACTGGGATAGGCTCCTGCCACCTGTGACTCTGAACTGAAATAATTATCTTACTTGTTTTTATGAATCTTTCATAAGTATATATGTAGCTCACATTTATTTTGATGTTTGATATTAGAAGTGTTTGGGGTCTTTATTTAGAAATTTGGTGATGCTTTTGTGACCAAAAATATGCTGTATGAACTTGACTTTTGTTTATATCAATTAGCCTATGGTAAAATTGGTTTTGTTATATGTCATTTTGCTTAAAGTCAGTTTCCAAGAACCTAACGACCATGTTAAGTGAAGACTTCCTGTATTATCCTTTCTTTGTATCAAAGATGTAGATAGTTACTATTTTTAATTTGCATTAGAGGGCTTTGTAAATTACAAAGCTGTTAACTGGAGACAAATTAAGAGAAAAGTTACAGGAAATTCTTTCTATCATTAAAACTGTTAACAAAATGCCAGTCTCTCTAAAGGACAAGAAAATGAATTTAAAAAAAACCTGAATATTAATAGCTCCATTACTTGAGATAAAGGGTTTAGTTTTGCAGGTCCATGGTCTTGCTCATTAAAATCATGTGCTGAAATATTTGAGATAATTATATTATCAGAATTCTGGCACTTGCTTCTGAGCAAGAAAAACAAGGCACATATGCTAGGCAATGTGCTAAA